>NC_000023.11:12743548-13046578 GCF_000001405.40 Homo sapiens
CCTGAACCCCCAACTTAACACTCAACACTCAACATATAATTAATTTCCTTTTTTTATGCAAACAAATGAGATTAGCAAACTGAAACTCTCTAATGAACTTAAGTCATGCCAAGATCTGTAGACATCTTTTCTAGAAGACAATGTATACATATTATACATATTTTGTAATTCATTCATACATGTTTTGCAAGTATCACATATTCTGTGAGAAATCTCTCTAGAAATTGCACTTGCATACTGTTTTAATACTCCAATTCAGAATTCGATGGAGACTTCCCCATGAATGTGCTATGAGTGAGGTAACAGTTATGGCTGGATATCCATCACTGATCATTTTTTACCTGGGGAAGATAATAAAACCAGTTGTCTTACTGTGTCCAATGACCTTGCCTACAGCTTACGGACAGATCTTTCTTGTCATCCCTCTGAAGGAAACCAAAGTGTTTCTCCCCAAAATATACATCTTTGACATATTTCAAGATGGCTATTCAGAAGGGCTGGAAATACAAGAATAGCTGAAAAGCTGTCTTCTGTGGGGGAGATTTGCATCTTTAGAGAAAATATGCATTGATACAGCCAAGCTTTCTCTAAAGCCTTCTCTTGTCCAAATTTAGGGAAGATTAACTGGGAGTCTGGCACCTAAAGGTCTGAAAGAAATACTCACCATCTAGTCTTTCTGAGGGCTGCTACCTGTGAGGTTTTATCTGCATAACAAGAACACCTTTGCTAACCAGGCCTCTTCTCTCCCTATCATAACCAGTTTTACCAGGATCCAAGCCCCTATTCTTTCTGTAACCTCAGGATGGTGTCAGTGTCAACCATCTTCTTTTTCTCTGTGATCTTATAGTTTGTAAGACTCTGTGCACGTTAATAAATTTACATGCTTTTTTTCCTATTAATCTGCCTTTTCTCAATTGCTTTTTCAGTGAAACTTTAGAGGATGAAGGGGAAGTTCTCTCTTGTTCCTCATACCTCAAGAAAGGAGAAATTCAGGCAGGGTCAGCAATACTCAGATGTTTAAGAAGGCTGAAACCAGTGTTGAAAATGGCAGAATGGATAGACAAAGAGGTGGTAGAAAAATGCTTTGACTAAACCAGCTATAAAAGCCAGGAATGAATTTGACATTTTATCCGCTCAATACTTGCATGTACCTTTAAACACAGAGATCATATTCAATTAGCAGTTCCTCAAATGATTAAACATAGAGTTACCATATGACATAAAAATACACATCAACGCAAAAACTTGTACACAAGTGGTCGCAGAAGCATTATTCACAGTACACAAAAAAAATAATAATAAGAAGAAGAAAACAACCCAAATGTCTATCATCTGATGAATGGATAAGCAAAATGTGGTCTAGTCATCCAATGGACAATTATTCAACCATAAAACAGGGTGAAATTCTGATACGTGCTACAACACGGACGAACCTAGAAAATATGCTAAGAGAAAGAAGCCAGACACAAAAGGACACATATTGTGTGATTCCATTTATATGAAATGCTCAGAATAGGGAAATCCATGGAGACAAAAAGTATTAATAGATTAGTGGTTGCCTGGAGCTGGGGGTAATGGGGGAAGTGGTGAGTGAGAGCTAAGTAATTTGGGGTTTCTTTCTGGGGTAATAAAATATTTTAAAATGGATTGGGGTGGTGGTTGCACAACTTTTACAAATATACCATTGAACTGTACACTTTAATTGGGTGAATTATATGGCATGTGAATTATATCTCAATAAAGCTGTTTCTAAAAAAAAAAAAAACCCCATCCACATACAGGTTTTTGTAGAAACATAAGTTTTCAAATACACCGAGACAAAAACAATCTCCTCCTCTCTTCCTTCTTCCTTCTGTGAAAGAAAAATAGCAATGTACATCTTACATATATTGATTGATGTCTCATGTCTCCCTAAAATGTGTAAAACCAAACTGTGCTCTTACCACCTTGGGTACATGTTGTCAGGACCTCCTGAGGCTGTGTCACAGATGCACGCGTCCTCAATGTTGGCAAAATAAAATTTCTAAATTAACTGAGAGCGTCTCAGATATTCAGGGTCCATACCTCCTGCCAGGCCTAAAATGCTCACCTGCAGAGAAAAGACAGGTGCCCCTTCTGTTGGCAGCAAGGACTCAATTATCCTTTGCAAGGGGCCCCAGATTTTGATGGTGATGCCACTGCATCAAAGTGATCTTTCGGAAATGCAAAATTTCCCCTGCTTAAAACTCTTACCCAGCTTCCCTGAACACTCCAAACTGTTTCATGTCTCTGTACCTTTGGTCAAAAGACTCCTTGTCTGGAATGTCTTTCTTTCACTTTCTGCTAATGAAGTCCTGTTCATTTTTCAAATCGTATCTCAGAGGTCACTTCTCCAGGCAGTCCTTCGTGATTGTCCCTCCAACCCCACTCAAGAGCAACACCTACTGCTACCCTGACTGAATATTTCTGTTACTGTATTAGTTTTTGTTTTGTTTTCTTTTCTTTGTAAAATCTGTTCTACTTAGTAGAGTACCTGCATTTTATTCACATTTATATTCTTGGTGCTTCGAACAGTACCCAGCACAGAGCAAATGCCAAAATAATGTTTTTAAAAAAATTGTGCTGAAATGCCAAGGGCTTTATGTATTCACATAGTGATGAAACACCCATTGAGGGTGGGCTTATATTTTTTAAAACTTAAAACACTTTGAGGCTGGAAGCAGTGGCTCACACCTGTAATCCCAGTACTTTGGGAGGCCAAGGTGGGCAGAACACTTGAGGCCAGGAGCTCGAGACCAGCCTGGCCAACGTGGCGAAACCCTATCTCTACTAAAAATTCAAAAAATTAGCTGGTCCTGGTGGCGTGCACCTGTAATACCAGCTACTCGGGAGGCTGATGCAGGAGAATCGCTTGAACCCGGAAGGCGGAGGTTTCAGTGAGCTGAGATCATGCCACTGCACTCCAACCTGGGCCACAGAGCGAGATTCTCTCTCAAAAAACAAACAAACGAACAAAAACTCTCTGACATGTAACCACATTAAAACTCACAGAATTATACAACCTGGACTTCAGAATTGAATGCTATCTAGCCCAGCGTGTCTCCAACTTTAGCGTGCATATAAATCATCTGGGAATTTGTTAAAATCCAAGTTCTACTTTTACACTGTTGGTGGGACTGTAAACTAGTTCAACCATTGTGGAAGACAGTGTGGCAATTCCTCAAGGATCTAGAACTAGAAATACCATTTGACCCAGCCATCCCATTACTGGGTATATACCCAAAGGATTATAAATCATGCTGCTATAAAGACACATGCACATGTATGTTTATTGCAGCACTATTCACAATAGCAAAGACTTGGAACCAACCCAAATGTCCATCAATGATAGACCAGATTAAGAAAATGTGGCACATATACACGATGGAATACTATGCAGCCATAAAAAAGGATGAGGTCATGTCCTTTGTAGGGACACGGATGAAGCTGGAAACCATCATTCTCAGCAAACTATCGCAAGGACGAAAAACCGAACACTGCATGTTCTCACTCATAGGTGGGAATTGAACAATGAGAACACTCGGACACAGGAAGGGGAACATCACACACTGGGGCCTGTCATGGGGTGGGGGGAAGGGGGAGGGAGAGCATTTGGAGATATACCTAATGTAAATGATGAGTTAATGGGTGCAGCAAACCAACACGGCACATGTATACATATGTAACAAACCTGCACATTGTGCACATGTACCCTAGAACTCAAAGTATAATAATAAAATAAATAAATAAATAAAATGCAAGTTCTGATCCAGGAAGTCTGAGACAAGCCTGAGATTCTGCACTTCTAATAAGCTCCCAGGTAATGTGGTGCTTTTGGTTTACTAACCATACATGGAGTAGCAAGAACCTCGTCCCCCCTGCCAATCAAACACATGAATTCTAGTTACAACATTTGGACAACTGGTCAACAAGCAAACAAATGTGAAAGTGAGCTTTTTGGAACTTCTCTAAGACAATGGTTCTCAAACTTTAGCTCCATCAGAATTGCCTGGAGGACTTGTGGAAGCACAGTTCATGGGATCCATGCCAGGCATTCCTGACTCAGCATTCCTGAGGTGGGACCAGGGAATCTGCATTTCTAGCAAGTTCCAAGCTGAGGCTGATGCTGCTGGCCCAGGGACCACACCTTGGGAACCAATTCTCTGAGAGTCACCCTGAAACCATTGTAATCAATGAACAATTTATCCATGATTGTCAGAGTCCAACCATGTGCACAGTTGATATTAGACAAACAGATTGGTGCACCTGGGAACCATCTGCCTCGTGAGAGTGAGTTGGTGGCCCATTATATTAAGAGATGCCTCCCCACATTGGTACAGAGAAAAGAGCACTGGATCAGAAGCACAGAGCCGGCTTCCAATCCTGGATCTTGAACATGTGATTTACATCCCTTGGGCAATCACTGAACCTCCCCAAGTCTCAATTTCTCCATCTACAATATATCTATACTTCAAGACTTAGCTGAAGCAGACTCTGCTCAGCTGACCCACCAGAGCAGGTCTCCAACCCCTGCAATTCTCACCTCCCACCTTACTGGACCTCATGAGCAACTCAATGTAGCTTGGCAACTAGGCGCTGCATTCCCTGAGGGCAGAGATGAGTTTTAATTATATTGATTCTCAAACAAGCAGTGATATGCCTGGCAAATAGCAGGTACTCATTAAATGTTTACCGTTGAATGAATAAAAGTAATAAACCCAGGACTCCAAATAGCCCTCCAGGACCTGGCTTTATGCTAATTTGCTAATGTTAGCTGCTTTGAAGTATCATTAGAATACAACATCCCACCAAGTAGTGCTGGGAATTAAGGATACATAATTCAATGCTTAATACGACTCTCAAGAGAAGAATACATGGTTAGACTGCTGAGCTATAGATTATTTTTTTTTAATTTTCAGATTTAATGATACATGGAATTATTTTTGCAAGTAAGGATTTTTACTGCTGCTCTTTATCACAGCTTTATGAAGGAAAGAGATCCTATAGGGCCTTGCTTTTGTAGATGAATGGGGTTTTTTATTATTGTAAAAGTTTTCATTAATAAAAGCAACTTTTTTGTACTTAGGTATTTGTTTTTTAGATTTTAAGAGCTCTTTTTTAGTTAGAATCACTTTACTGGTTAATAGAATAATAAATCCATATTTCTGTTTTCCCCAGCTCTACGACATCCCAGCCGTGACTTCAGATGAGATGCCTAATGCTTAAATGCCTCAATTTCTTTATCTGTAAGACAGGGATAGAACAGTTCCTCCATTATAGATTTTGTATGACATTCATGAGCTAATAGATGTCTTCAGAAGGTTATCTGATATATAATAAGCCCTGACAAACAAAAGTAAATTATTATTTTTAGCTCGAGTATAAACGAACACATTTGTAGGAAGGTGCAGGCTTTTTGACCACAACCAGAGACAACGTTTGTACCCAGGCAGAGCTTGAGACAGGCAAGGGCCGCCTTTGGGTAGTTCTCACAGCACATACAAAGACGGGCTCCCCCTGCCTAATTCAGGGGGTGGGTCACTCATTTTGTTTATGGCTTAAGAGAGGACAAAGTGCTTCTCCAGGTCTTGTTCTTTCTCCTAACTCTACTTGTCTTAATAATGATTCATAAGGCTTATATAGTGTTTTCATTTACAAAAGGCATTCACAATTGTCCTCCTTAAATCCTCCAAACAATTCTGTGGCTATCCCCACTTCACATCTGAGGAAATGACCTTTAAAGCATCAAAGAAGTTGGCAGACCTGCTCAGGGGCCTCTGAAAAATAAATGGTGGAGGCAGAAATGTGGCTCTGGTCTTTGACTAGAAGCCCAGGGCTCCCACCCTGAAACCATCCCATATCATGTTGCAACTCATAACATTCGAACGTAAGAAGAACGGAACTGAAAAACTCAACTATTCACTAATGTCTCTTATTTGAATCCACCAAAAATTCCTCTGCATTCCTCTTTGCTCACTCCATAGTAGAGGCCACCAGCCACAGGGACTATCTCCAAAGTAGGGAAGGTGAAACTGAGGGCTAACCTGTTTAAGCCTGCCAAACTTACCCTGACTTGCTTGCTTTTAATCACTTACTTCCCATTGATTTTAAACACTGTATAGGCCAGGGGCAACGGCTCATGCCTGTAATCCCAAGACTTTGGGAAGATGAGGCAGGAGGATTGCTTGAGTCCAGGAGTTCAAGACCAGCCTGGACAACATAGCAAGACCCCATCTCTAGAAAAAATAAAATTAGCCATGCATAGTAGTGCACCTGTAGTCCCAGCTACTAGGGAGGCTGAGGCAGGAGGATTAATTGAGCCCAGGAGGTTAAGGCTGCAGTAAACTCTGATTGTGCCACTGTGCTCCAACCTGGGTGACAGAGCAAGACTCCGTTTAAAAAAAAAAAAAGATTCTAAATAACTAAAAGTCACATAGCCAAACAATATACAACTAAACTTCCACTAGCTTCCTTATAAAGAACACCTCTGATATATATAGCACTATGGTAATGGTTGTTTGAAATTGTGTTTCAGGAACTAGGGGGCAGCTTTTATGCCGTTTGAACCAGCTGAGACCACCTACCCTTCAACTGGGCCTGTGCAAATGCTCAAGAGGTGACCTTCTGATGTCACAGGGCCAAAAACTTCTTCCTCAGATCATGCTAACACTGTCATTTTCTGAACATGCATCCTATGAAGAGCCATGAACCCTGACTACATTTACACAGACCATCAATGCATCATTTTTCCCCACTTATCAATCACCCTTCCCCATGCCTTAGACCACTCTGCTTTTTATCCCATAAATATCCCTAAGCCCTATCCTCAGGATGCTGATTTGAGACCTATTCTCCCACCTCATCACTTGGCTACCTCGTGAAAAAACCCTTTCTCTTTTGCAAAACCCACTGTCACAGTGATTGGCTCACTGCATGGGGACAGAATGGGCCTGGTTTGGCATCTGGGCAGATCAGAATGAAAGACTAATAGGCGTGATTTGCATTACCTCATAGTCAATCTGAGCCCCACGAATTAAGGGGGAGCAGGTATCCTTGATAGCCAGCAGGTTGGGGATTTGGCTACACTTGTATGCATAGATGCAAATCTACATACCTATGCACTTGTATGCGTAGATGGCTTTTATTGTATGGACATAGCCTCTTCCTGTTTGCATGGCTTAAAGCAGGAGCAGTGGCCAAAAAGTACAAAGGCAGACAAAGGAAGAAAAACCAGCTAGAAGCATAGATTACCTGAAGATGCTTTATCCAGCAAGTCAGGTCTGCTGTCTAGATTCAAGGGGTTGCCATGTGGGTAATTGAGGCAATGAAGAAAAAAAAATGGAGTTAAGGGAAAAACAGCAATGGAGGCCTAGGAGGGAACTGTGACCATCAAGAAGGCTGGCCCACAGGTGAAACAGCTAGGACATGGGAAATCTCAGACAAGCCTGTTAGGTGAGGAGATACTTATGGCCCAGTTGTTCCTGATATCCCAGCTCATAGCCAGGCAACCCCCAGAAACAGAATGGCCCAGCTGACTTGCAGCTGGCCATAGCTGCATGATGGAAGCCAGTGAGAACCAGACCTGCCCAGCCATGCTCAGCCCATATTGAAGGCCCAGAGAATCTCAAGCTAAGTAAATGATTGTTGTATTAAGGCATTATCATTTTGAGTGTTTGTTATACCACAGTAGGTAGCTGATTCAGGGATCAATGATGGTAATTCAAATATAGACTCAATATTATGTTATACCAGGCTATTATTAATTTCCTTAAGTGTGATGTTAACACGATTATGTAAAAACATGTCCTTTTTAGGTGATATAGGGGTGATATGTCATAATGTCTGCAACTTTCAAGAGATTCAGCAAGAAATATATATAGGTAGCTTGATAAATAGGTAAAGCAAATACAGCAAAATGCTGTCAATTGTTGACTCTAGTTGATGGGTATATGGGTAATCATTGCACTATTTTTTAGCTGTTCTACAAGTTTAAAAATCTTCATAGCAAAAATTGGAAAGTAAAAATGCTTTTAAAACACTCATATCCCACATTAAACATACATTTATATTTTAAAATAAAATGCTTTTATAATTTGCCTATGAAACTATTAAGTTATGAGTAATCATTCAATTAGCTTTTGGCTATAATTTCTTGGTTCTTCTCATGGACACTCAGGAATTTCATGAAGAACAAAACCCAATTTATAAATTGTATTCAAATATACAGAAATGTCTACAACATTTATGAATTTTTGAACACTAAATTTATGTTTACCAAATTTAACAATGCATAAAGCTAGAATGCTAAATCTGGCAGCCACTTAATTGAACACATTAAGTTTGACTTGGAAGTTTTATTTTGCATTTAGGAGCCAGTAATTTTCTCCCAGTTCTAAAATGTTTTCATAGGCTGTGTATGAATAGTGATTAACACATAGAACAACACTTCAGTGGCCTAAAACCAGTTCTGCCCTTTAATCAGCTATGAGAAGAAGCCAAACACCTCAGCTGGCAGAGGCGTTAGAGAGAGAGAGTCATTCCTTGTCAGAGACCAGTGAACTTTGGAATTGTGGTCTTGGGAGCCAGAGAGACCTGGGATCAAATGCCAGTTACACCATCTTCAGGAAGCCACTTAACCACTCTGAGTCTCAACTTCCTTCTGTTTAAAATGGAAATTAAAATGACTATGTGACTGGATTTTCATGACAAAAATGCAGGAATCATAGGTGGGGGCCATTCATCATGCCCGGTGTCACTGTTATTTGGCCTCATGGTTATTTCCTTGAAATCAAATGACTGCAGAGAAGAAAGAAAAGGATGACATCCAGTGGGATTCTCAATTCAGCCCTAGGTGGGTCTCAGTGCGGCCCGAGGTTGGTCTCAGTGCACTTTCTATTCTATAGTGCCCTGCAGGAGCTATGCGGCTTTGCCTTGCAGATCACCACAAGACCAATCCAATAGAACAGTGGGCCTTCCCCATGGGAGAGCCTCAATAAATAGCTGTCAAATAAATGAATGGGACTTGCCACACTCATTTGAGGAAATATTGTATCTGGGGAATGTTCCAGAGTCAAGAGCATGGAAGTTGATAGCAGAAGTAGCTAGAACACAACCACTTCATTAACCCTGTCACCACTAAGGTTGCCATTAGTCCAGATAGATGACATCTTTGGGCAAATTAGAAAAAGGTGCCTCTGCCTAAAGATACTTTACTTCATGTGTTGGAAAATTGGTGAAGTATACTGAATTATTTTTTAGACCAAGATGACTTATTATTGTCTGCTAGGTAATTATCATAATAAATACACAAATTAATTCCATCTACCTTGTAAATCATAGAAATGTTGCTTACTTTTTGTGGTAATGCTTGGATATTTGAAGTTGAAAGATATATATACACAATCTCATACACTGTTATGCTCAAGTGTGACAGTGAAATTTATCTATGTTCATCTCTTCCCCGAACAGCTGGGAAAGTATAAAAAGTGCAATCCCAGTAAAATTTAAATAATTTGTAGCATTGAATCAGAAGAAAGAAAAAAGCAAAATCAATAAAGGAAAAATATACCCTGCACCTGTCATAAAATTATTTCTTCTCGACCTTTATTGGACACAGACTAGCATTTGTTCCTGGCTTTACTTTTAATCTCCCTGGAAAAAATATATTTTAATTTTTATTCCTGTTAAGCTGGGACCATTCAAAAAAGTCAACAGAAAACAGCCTAGCCTAGAAAACAGCCAGCTGTTTTCCAAACTGGCTAAAACCATAAACACCTGGAAAATTATTTCTAAAAACAAAGCCAAAAAAAAAATCCACAGGCCTAAGCTTTTCACTTCAGCAAGGTTTTGGACCCACTGGTTTAATCCAGTCAATCAAATATGAAGAGATAAGATGGCAGTGTCAACCAGAGACCCTGAATTCCTTTCTCGCCCAATTCCTATTTAATTTCCTCTCTCAAGCCAGCTGGCATGCTGACAGAGCCCTGAGAGCATCCAAAGCCTCAGAGCGGGCAGGGAGCTCTAAGCTAGTGGTCAGCAAAGTGGAGTGCAAGCATCCAAGGGGTCATACAAGATGATTCACTGGAGTGGAGAAGAAAACTGTAGTTATATATTTTTCATCTTTTTATAATGCATTTGCTGTATTAATGAAGTGGTACCTCTTTAATTTATAGGTAAATATATGTAATACATTTGATTTAGTAATGGAGTGGTACATGTATACAATTTATAAGTAAATACACTTATTTATTTATAAGGTGATGTTCATCCCTTTTTTTTTTTTTTACAAAGGGAGGTGGAGTCTGATAATGGACATAGGACTTTCTTCTCCAGTGAACCAAGAGACTAAAGATGGAGCCACCTGGCTGAAGACCACACTTTAGGTATCTCTGGAGAGGATATGTATTAGTCAGAGTTTTCCAGAAAAACAGAACCAACAGGATGTGTGTGTGTGTATGTGTGTGTATACATACCTACATCACATATACATGCATATATATACACACATACATACATATGTAGAAAGATATACATATATACACACATACGTATATACATATATTTGTACATATATATAGAGAGAGAGGGAGAGAGAGGTTTACTATAAGGAAGCGGCTTACCTGATTATGGAGGCTGGCAAGTCAAAAATCTGCAGAGTCGATATGCCAGTTTGAGTCTGAAGGTCAGCAGGGTGCTGCAGAACAAGGAAGAACTGATGTTGCAGTTTAAAGACTGACAGGCAGTAGAATTCTCTATTGGGAGTCAGCCTTTTTGTTCTATTCGGGCCTTCAATTAATTGGCTGAGGCCCACCCATATTATGGAGGGTAATCTGCTTTACTCAGTCTACCAATTTAAAAGTTAATCTCATCAAAAATCCCCTCACAGACACACCCAAAATAATGTTTGACCAAATATCTGGGCACTGTATGGCCCAGTCAAGTTGACACATAAAATGAAATATCCTAGGGTGTTGCAGGTATGGACTGAACCCTTCCAGTGGAGTCTCTTTCAAGTGCACCATTTCTGGTGACACCACATCCATTCCAGGCACCAAATTAACACTTCCCCTGCCATTGTTAGTTTTACTCCTTTTCCTGCCATTGTTAGTTCTACTCTTTTTAATGACTAAATTTTCCCACAAATGGTCATAGTTTAAGTCCTACCCCTTTCCCGAAAAGTGAGACTAGGGAGACTGGATATATAAACAATGGGTTTTCAAATCACCAAAGATTTCCATTTTACAGCAAGCTTTGCAAACATTTCACACAAATTTTCTTTATCAGGAGCAGAGTGCACACAATACATTCAAATAGAGACCCATAGAAGTAATAAAAGGAACTAAATCTAGAGTTCCTGATAAATGAATCGCCCCTGGGAAGTGTGTTATCTACCTTTGTGTGTCTTTTTTTGAGACGGAGTTTTGCTCTTGTTGCCCAGGCTGGAGTGAAGTGGTGTGATCTCAGCTCACTGCAACCTCCGCCTCCCAGGTTCAAGCAATTCTCCTGCCTCAGCCTTCTGAGTAGCTGGGATTACAGGCACCTGCCACCACGCCTGCCTAATTTGTTGTATTTTTAGTAGAGATGGGGTTTCGCCATGTTGGCCAGGCTGGTCTCAAACTTCTGACCTCAGGTGATCCACCCGCCTCGGCTTCCCAAAGTGCTGGGATTTCAGGCATGAGCCACCGTGCCCGGCTATGTGTCTTAACCTAGAAAGGCCACTGGCTCTTTCTTCTCCCAAAGAACTAGTGAGTCCTACCTGCTCAGGTGAGCCTTGTTATTCCTATCCCTGAGATGAAAGAACCAAAGAAACAATAAGCAAAAAGACCTTAAAAGCTGCAACTAGGAAGAGCTGGGAGCAAAAAGGCGTTCTCTCCCAACATCCTACCTGAGGGTCAACCTTACCCCATAGGAATGGAGACTGAATTTTGCCACCCCTAGAGGGACAGCAACAGCTCACCTGACTGCGGAAGGGGAACTCTCAGCAAATGAAGCCCAGTAACCTGAGAGAGGGAGACCAAACAGAACAGTAAGAAATAGAGGAGACATACCACCAATAGCCAGAACAGAAAATGAAAGGGAAGACTTAAAGAAATTCCATTTTAGCATTACAATAAGACTTTGTGGGACTAGGAACAAAATAAATGATTTCTACTTTTTTTTTTTTTTTACTTTGTGGGACTAGGAACAAAACAAATGATTTCTACTTTTTTTTTTTTTTTTTTTTTGAGACGGAGTCTCACTCTCTTGCCCAGGTTGGAGTGCAGTAGCGTGATCTCGGCTCACTGCAACCTCCGCCCCCCAGGTTCAAGCAATTCTCCTGCCTCAGCCTCCCAAGTAGCTAGGATTACAGGCGTCTGCCACCGCGCCTGGCTAATTTTTGTATTTTTAGTAGAGACGGGGTTTTGCCATCTTGGCCAGACTGGTCTTGAACTCCTGACCTCGTGATCCACCTGCCTTGGTCTCCCAAAGTACTGGGATTACAGGCGTGAGCCATCGCGCCCGGCTGATTTCTATGTTTTAAGAGGGGATTTGTGGGTTTTGATCACTGCTCTGTATATCTGTTCATTAAACATAGGAAGTACACAAATACTGAATGACTAAATTAATAAAATGTAGTAGATAAAATAGAAGAGGCAAAAGGAACCAATGAGAACAGAATTAGTGGCCTCAAAGTACGTAGACTAAAGATGCCAAACAATTAAGAAAGTGCATGTCAAAACCACAATGAGATACCACTTCACACCCATTAGGATAGCTGTTATCCAAAAAAAAAAAAAAAAAAAAAAGGAGACAAACAACAACAACAACAATAAAAATCCCAGAAAAGAACAAGTGTTGGTGAGGATGAGGAGAAATTGTAATCCTTGTGCTTTGTTGGTGGGAATGTAAAATGGTGCAACCGCTGTGGAAAACAGTATGGCAGCTCCTCAAAAAATTAAATATAGAGACCGGGCACGGTGGCTCACACCTGTAATCCCAGCAGTTTAGGAGGCAGAGGCAGATGGATCACCTGAGGTCAGGAGTTCGAGACCAGCCTGGTCAACGTGGTGAAACCCCATCTCTACTAAAAATACAAAAATTAGCTGGGCAGGGTGGCGGGCGCCTGTAATTCCAGCTACTCAGGAGGCTGAAGCAGGTGAATCGCTTCAACCTGGAGGGCAGATGTTGCAGTGAGCCAAGATCACACCATTGTCCTCCAACCTAGGCGACAAGAGCGAAACTCCGTCTCAAAAAAAAAAAAAAAAAAGTAAACATAGACTACCTTATGATCCAGCAATTCCACTGCTATGTATATGCCCAAAAGAATTGAAGGCAGGGAGTTGAACAGATACATGTATACCAATGTTCACAGCACCATTTTTTTAATAATAATAATCAAAAGGCAGAAACAACCCAAATATCCATCAACAGATACATAAATATCTGACTTGTGCTACTATCTGAATGAACATGGACGACATTATTCAAAGTGAAATAAGCCAGACACAAAAGGACAAAAATTGTATGAGTCCACTTATATGAGGTACCTAGAGCAGTCAAATTCACAGAAACAGAAAGTAGAATGGTAGTTTCCAGAGGCTGAGGGAAGGGGCACAGAGTTTCAGTTTGGGAAGATGAAAAAGTTCTGGAGAAAAGATGCCAAAACAGAATTTATGAGGAGCAAGATAAGATACACAAAGACAAGAGATTGTGAAGACCTAACATGTCAGTAACACGAGTTCTAGAGGAAGGAGGAAAAGCACTAAAAGAAGATGAACAATTAAAGAAATAATAGAAGGCTGATCTTCCTGGTCTGAAGAAACACAAGTCCGCAGATTCAAAGGGCTCACTGGGGTCCAGATGGGACTAATAAAAATCAAAGGCACTTGCCTAGTGGCACCGTGATAATATTCCTGAACTCCAGAAGTACGGAGAACATCTTATAAACATTATGCAGACCGAAATAATACATAAATTACAAAAGCAGAAGAATCAGACAAGCATCAGACATCTCATAAACCACACTAAAGGGTACTAAAGGGTAGACAGAAGTGAGATAACATCCATAAACCACTAAGAGAAAAGAATTACAGATGAAGAACCCAGTATTCAGCCAAGATGGCACTGACCTTTCAGGGTAAAATATAATCCCTACGGTAAGCCTATTGAGCACTCACTATGTTTCAGATACTCTGCCATAGGCAGTATAAGTAATATTCATTTCAGCCTCACAACAATCCCATGAGGTGAATAATTTTATTATGATCCCAATATTACAGATGAGGAAAGTGAGACACAGAGAAATAAAGTTGCTTAACAAATTAATTACATGGCTCAGAAGTGGCAGAGCCAAAATTCAAATTCTGGTGTTCACACTCTCACACCATTCTACCATTCCTAAGATTAGTTGTCTTGATGAGGGGTGAAGATAGGTCAGGAAATGGATGTTTCACAGAGGCAGAGGGAGAAGAACTGGGGGCAGAAGCCCAGCAGATGGAAGAAAATGCATGGTGTAATGTCTGTAGTACATATCAAACATAAAATGCTGTATTTCATTGAAAATATGTAAAAATTGAAGAACTCGAAAGTGATAGGACATAAAAAAACATGGATTTAATCTTGGTAAATTTGCAAGCAATTTTATTCTCAGATTTTATTCTCGGATTTCTGTTATTTCAAGATAATGTCTGTTATCAAGGGTTCAAAAAGGATAGTTCTGACTTGGAGATAGACTGCCTGGGTTCCAGTTCTCATTCTAGTTGTTCAGTAGCTCTGTAATCTTGGAGAGTTCCGGGGTGTTAATTTCACCATAGAGTGTGGTCCACTTTGAGGGAAAAGAGCTGGGCTTTCCTGCTCTTGGCCCCATTAGTCAGTAGCTGCAGCCACCCAGGGAAGGTGGATGCTTTGATGTATCTTGTCTGGCTGCTGTGGCTCCAGTAGCCTTTCAGCAGACCACAAGATGACGTCATAGCTGTAAATAGCTAGAAACAATGTGCACCAAAACTAGAGAAGTAGCCCTTACAATCCATAAAGCACATTTGAGGAAATTTGGGCAAGACACTGCGGTGTCCATATGGGGTTTTTTCTCCCATAACAAAAACCAGAGGGAAGCAGTTGGAAGAGCTGGATCAGAGGGATGATAATGGTATCAAGAAACAAAAGATGGATGCAGCTCCTCCATCCTTAGCATGTTGGCTTTTTGCCTAGGGGTTTACATGCTGCTCAACCTCCAGGAAGAACATCCATGTTTCAAAAGGAACAAATGAAAAAGGGCGACAGCCAAGACTTTTACATTCTTAAAAACTCTTTATAGGGAAGGGAAACTTCCAAGCAAATTTCCCCTTTTATCTTATTAGCCAGAACTGGAGGAAATGCCCACCCCCAAACCAATGAATGGCCAAAGGGTTGGTTGACTGTGGTTTCAACTCATCACAATTCAGTTCCTGGAGCCAGGGCAAGAGCCCAACCTCCTTGGCATCAAGGGTTGCCACTGGAACAAGTCAGCGTTCTGTCAGCAGTGGTGATGGCTGTTGGGTTGGCTTTCATCAGTATCTGCCACCATCCTTTGCCCTGATTGAGATCATGGGAATAATGGGAATTATGTGATCCAAGGAAAGAGCAAAGAATGGAAAGAGAAGAGGATGGGAACTTGAGGAACCAAGCTATTGGAGGGACTGGCCCATGAAGGAGCCTGGAAAAGGAGCCAATTTTGAGTATTTGAATAAATACTCAAAAATTTATTGAGTATCTTCAGAATCAGTATCTTTTTTTTTTTTTTTTTTTTTTTTTTTCAGAAAAAAAGCCCAGGGAGTGATATCGCAGAAGCCAAGGAACAAAAAATGTTCAGTTCCTGTGGCAGTTACCTATTGCTGCGTAACAAACCAATCCCAACATTGTGCCTTAAAACAACATTCATTTATTGTTACGCTCTCAAGTTTTGGAAAACTGACTGGCTTAGCTGGCTGGTTCTTGCTCAGGGTTCCTCGTGTGACTACAGTCAGATGATGGCTGCTCAAAGGCTTCCTCATTTCCACATCTGGTGCTTGAGCTGGGAAGCTTCAAACAGCTGGACCCTGGATCAGCTGAGCATCCTTAAGCCTCACTCTCTATCTCTCTGTGGTCTGTCTACACGATCTCTTCCCTGTGACTGCTTCAGGGTAGCCACCTGTTATCTTTCCAAAGATGTGTGATCCAAGGAGAGAACCGGGGCAGATGTGTTGCTTTTGATGATGTAGCTTCGAAGTCCCCAAGCATCACCTCCTGCCACATTCTCATTAAAAGTGAGTGATGAAAGCCCATCTATATTCAATGGCTCTTGATGGGAGCCAAGACAAAAAATTTCCAGACATTTTTTGAAACCACTACATCTTGGTAATTTTCATTTTAACCTACTGCTTGGTTGTCACAACAGGACAGGGATATAATTGCTAGAAAGGTGCTAACAGCCCCAGGTTAAGGACAGACGTTTCTTTAATGTAGCTATTGGATATAAAGGATCCATGTGTGATCTACTCACAGAAGGCACCCAGTCGCACCCCCAACTGGAGATACAAGCTTCACTAAGCTTTATAGCCCCCCAGGTTGCCCAGCTGATCAAAGACAGTAACTCATCAGATCTTTCCAGAAGCTCATGTTTGCCATGCCCTTAGGGTTTTTTCTACCCTCTAGTGAGTATCCCTATCTCACCACATATTCTGGAGTCCTGCCCAAGCAGATCTGCTCTCAGGAGCAAGCCACTGATAATCCCTGCGCATTGCATCTTCCTCCGTGTATGCGGCAAACCTGAATGATCAAAGGTCATATTTCCAGCCATAGCTTCTGCTAGCTGGCCGTGGCATCCAGGCTGCCCGTGGTCTTTCATGCACCTCGTTATCTAAAATCCTTACCTTGTCTATTTCCAAAGGCATCGAGACTACTCATGATCAAGCAGAAGGCGCAGTGGGGTAATTAGAGAATAAAGAGACCCATGTGAAGAGGACAAAGGGAGCAGAGAATTATTGTGCAGCTCTAAATTTCCTGAGAGTGAAGCCAAAAAGGCAAATCTTGGGTTTTACATTTTTTTCATTTCTCTTCAGAGACAAACTTTCTCTCAAAGTAAGCTCATTTATTACAACAGGGCACTGAATAAAGGACACTTGGTCACAAAGTCGACACAACACCTTTAACTGCAGTTATGCAAGAGTCATCAGCTGTCTGCATGATGGATTCTTCTATTGATCCTTTATAAAGATGAAAGATATACTATGCCCATTAGGCTGTCTCTTCCAATATTGTGTGTCTTAAGTGAGTCTTTCTCAGGTAATTTCCGTGAAAAATTTATTGAGCATCTTCAATATGTCAGACACTATGCCAGGTGCTAAAATAGCAGTCAATTTATCCCTGAGTCCTCTAAGACAGTACCTCTCAGACCTGAGTGTGCAAAACAACCCCGTGGAGGGCTTGTTAAAACTCTGGGCCCCATCCCTGGAGTTTCTGATTCACCAGAGGTAGAGTTTGAGAATTTGTATTTCTAACAAGTTCTCAAGTGATGCTGATGCTGCTGGTCCAGGAACTACACTTTGAGAACCACTGCTCTAAAAGTCACCTGTAGGGGCTGAGGCAGGAGGATTGCTTGAGCCCAGGAGTTCAAGACCAGACTGGGCAACACAGTGAGACCCCATCTCTACAAAAAAATTTTTTTTAAATTAGCCAGGCTTGGTGGTGCATGCTTGTAGTCCCAGCTACTCAGGAGGCTGAGGTGAGAGGATCACTTGAGCTCAGGAGTTCAAGGCTGCAGGGAGCTATGATCATGGCACTGCATTCCAGTCTGGACATCAGAGCAAGACCAAAAAAAAAAAAAGAATTAGGTCTATTTCCAGCTAGAGGGAATACCAATTCACTTCATGAAAAGTGTGAGAAATAATGGGGTAATGGGGCCCATTATAGAAAGAGTAGTATTTTTTTTCTCAGCCAAGAACTTTGGATTTTTTGAAGAATGTATAAGGCCCAAGGTTATTGCCAATCAGCATAGAAGAGATGATATTTGGGCTGAGAATTGTGAAACACCTGTTTTCTTCTCATAGCTTAACCCATAAAAGAACCCTAGTGTTACCTCTAAGAATATTCCAGCTTTATGAAGATCATTATCTCGGTGGACTTGTAAGAAAGAATTAAGGCTAGGTGCGGTGGCTCATGCCTATAATCTCAGCACTTTGGAAGGCCGAGGCGGGTGGATCACTTGAGGTCAGGAGTTTGAGACCAGCCTGGCCAAGATGGCAAAACCCCATCTCTACTAAAAATACAAAAAAATTAGCTGGGTGTGGTGGCGTGTGCCTATAATTGCAGCTACTAGGGAGGTTGAGGCAGGAGAATCGCTTGAACCCTGGAGACGAAGGCTGCAGTGAGCTGAGATCATGCCACTGCACTCCAGCCTGGGTGACAGAGCAAGACTCTGTCTCAAGAAAAAAAAAAAAAAAAAGAATTAAGTGCAAACTATGCTTCTCATAGACTAAATGAATTGTTGTTTCAATGAAGGTTAAAACATCTCAATGCTTTCTTGCCACATATTCCCTAGATAATTATCACTAATTTCTTTCATAATTTGCTATGTAGATTTCAACCAAAGTCAGTCAAATACAGAGATTTGGTGATAATTCAAAAACCTTCTAGTATATTTATTAAAACATTTTTAAAAAACGGAATACTATAGCTAATTTCACTCACATTTGATGGACTCCATGTAAATTATGAAAAATCAGATTTTCAAATGTTCAATTTATTTTGGTCTCTGTCAAATCATACAACTTACTTTACCTGGACTTCCAATTAAAATTGCCCATTAAAATTAAGCACTTATTTCTGCTCCATGTAAAATCACCCTCAAGCAAATATTGGGATGCATTTTTAAGGCATAAATTTAGCAAAAGGAAATAAGAGAAGAGAATATACAGTAATAACACAATTTTGGAAGTGAGAAAACAGAAAGACATGTGGTAACTGACTTGGTAGCTGGAGACAGCCAAAGCCTAACCCTGTAGGGGAAGAAACCAAGCAATGGGAATTATCCTGTAGGTCTCCCAGAAGGCTCAGGAATGGGTGGCCCCATTTACCACTAGAAGTGGAGATAAAATGTGTTGCAGCTGAATTGCAACCCCTCCCCACAAAAAAATTCATATGTGGAAGACCTCATTCTCAGTGTCTCAAAAGGTGACCATATTTAGAGACAGGGTCTTTCAAGAGATAATTGACTTAAGATGAGGACATTAGGGTGGGCCCTAATTCTGTATAACTGGTGTCCTTACACAAAGAGAAAATTTGGACACATGTGGACAGAGGGAAGATGATGTAAAGATACAGAGAGAAAATAGCCATCTACAAGCTGAGCAGAGAGAAGCCTGGAACAGAGCCTTCCCTCACAGCCTTCAGAAGGATTCAACCCTGCCAACACCTTGAACTCAAACTTCTAGCCTCCAGAACTGTGACACAATAAATTTCTGTTATGTATGCCACCAAGTCTGTAGTACTTTATTACAGCAGCCCTAGCAAACTAATATAAGATGGAATTGAAAAATAGGAGAATTGGTTGAAGCAGTTGAGCCCTCAGGGGGCGAATCTGATAAGGGCCTTCTCGTTGCATCATAACATGGTGGAAGGAGTCATATGGTGAAACAGAGGTAAAGTGAGTGAGAGAGAGCACCAAACTCACTTTTATAACAAACCCATTCGTTCTACAATGAACCCAGAGATGGAGTCTCACTCTGTCGCCCAGGCTGGAGTGCAGTGGTGCGATCTCGGTTCACTGCAACCTCCGCCTCCTGGGTTCAAGCGATTCTAGTGCTTCAGCCTCCCCAGTAGCGGGGACTACAGGTGCGCGCCACTGTGCCCAGCTAATTTTTGTATTTTTAGTAGAGGCGGGGTTTCACCATGTTGCCCAGGCTGGTCTTGAACTCCTGACCTCAGGTGATCCTCCCATCTTGGCCTCCCAAAGTGTTAGGATTACAGGCGTGAGCCAACCTGCCTGGCTGCACAATAAGGACATTAATCCATTCATGAGCGCAGAGCCCTCATGACCTAATCACCTCTTAAAGGTCCCACTTCTCAACAGTGTTGCACTGAGGATTGATTTTTCAACACATAAACTTTGGGGGACACATTCAAACCAGAGCAGGTACTGTAATGACAACAGGAGAATTAGGTTAAATCTACATGTACATGTACACATACCCTCCAGGCAGGAGATAAGAAAATTCCTAGCAAATTCCACCTGCCTGAGTGAAATGACATTGGGGTTTTTGCAACAGAATGGGTGGTGTGTTCATTTCCGATTGTTTCTGTAACAAATTACCACAAGTGGTTCAAAATGACAAAAATGTATTGTCTTAAAGTTTAGGAGGTCAAAGGTTCAAAATGGGTCTCACTGGAATAAAATCAAGATGTCGGCCAGGCGCAGTGGTTCATGCCTGTAATCCCAACACTTTGGAGGCCAAGACGGGAAGATTACTTGAGGTCAGGAGTTTGAGACCAGTCTGGGCAACATAGTGAGAGCCCATCTCTACAAAAGAAAAAAGAAAAAAATTAGCCAGGCATGGCGATGCATGCCAGTAGTCCAGCTACTCAAGAGACTTGAGGTGGGAGGATGACTTAAGCCCAGGAGTTCAAGGCTGTTGTGAGCTATGATAGCACCACTGCACTCCAGCCTAGGTGACCGAGTGAGACCCTGTCTCTAAAAAAATAAAACAAAAATTTCAGGCCAATATCCCTGATGAACATCAATGCGAAAATCCTCAATAAAATACTGGCAAACCGAATCCAGCAGCACATCAAAAAGCTTATCCACCATGATCAAATTTGCTTCATTTCTGGGATGCAAAGCTGGTTCCACATACGCACATCAATAAACGTAATCCATCACATAAACAGAACCAGTGACAAAAACCACATGATTATTTCAATAGATGCAGAAAAGCCCTTTGACAAAATTCAACAGCCCTTCGTGCTAAAAACTCTCAATAAACCAGGCACTGATGGAACGTATCTCAAAATAATAGGAGCCATTTATGACAAACCCACAGCCAATATCATACTGAATGGGCAAAAGCTGGAAGCATTCCCTTTGAAAAGCAGCACAAGACAAGGATGCCGTCTCTCACCACTCCTATTCAACATAATACTGTAAGTTCTGGCCAGGGCAATCAGGCAAGAAAAAGAAATAGAGCATATTCAAATAGGAAAAGAAGAAGTCAAATTGTCTCTGTTTGCAGATCACATAATTGTATATTTAGAAAACCCCATTGTTTCAGCCCACAATCTCCTTAAACTGATAAGCAACTTCAGCAAAGTCTCAGATACAAAATTGATGTGCAAAAATCACAAGCATTCTTATACATCAATAACACACAGAGAGCCAAATCATGAATGAACTCCCATTCACAATTGCTACAGAGAATAAAATACCTAGGAATACAACTTACAAGGGATGTGAAGGACCTCTCCAAGGAGAACTACAAGCCACTGCTCAAGGAAATAAGAGAAGACACAAACAAATGGAAACACATTCCATGCTCATGGGTGGGAAGAATCAATATCTTGAAAATGGCCATATTGTCCAAAGTAATTTATATATTCGATGCTATCCCCAACAACCTACTATTGACTTTCTTCTCAGAATTGGAAAAAACAAAGCTGGAGGCATCATGCTACCTGACTTCAAACTATACTACAAGGCTACAGTAACAAAAACAGCATGGTACTGTTACCAAAACAGATACATAGACCAATGGAACAGAAGAGAGGCCTCAGAAATAACGCCACACATCTAAAAACATCTGATCTTTGACAAACCTGATGAAAACAATCAGTAGGGAAAGGATTCCCTATTTAATAAATGGTGCTGGGAAAACTGGCTAGCCATATGTAGAAAGCTCAAACTGGATCCCTTCCACCTTATACAAAAATGAACTCAAGATGGATTAAAGACTTAAACGTAAGATCTAAAACCATAAAAACCCTAGAAGAAAACTAGGCAATACCATTTAGGACACAGGCATGGGCAAAGACTTCATGACTTAAACACCAAAAGCAATGGCAACAAAAGCCAAATTTGACAAGTGGGATCTGATTAAATTAAAGAGCTTCTGCACAGCAAAAGAAACTACCATCAGAGTGAACAGGCAACCTACAGAATGGGAGAAAATTTTCGCAACCTACTCATGTGACAAAGGGCTAATATCCAGAATCTACAAAGAACTTAAACAAATTTACAAGAAAAAAACAAACACCCCATCAAAAAGTGGGCAAAGGATATAAACAGACACTTCTCAAAAGAAGACATTTATGCGGCCAATAAACATATGAAAAAAAGCTCATCATCACTGGTCATTAGAGAAATGCAAATCAAAACCACAATGAGATACCATCTCACACCAGTTAGAATGGCAATCATTAAAAAGTCAGGAAACAACAGGTGCTGGAGAGGATGTGGAGAAATAGGAATGCTTTTACACTGTTGGTGGGAGTGTAAATCAGTTCAACCATTATGGAAGACAGTGTGGCGATTCCTCAAGGATCTAGAACTAGAAATACCATTTGACCCAGCCATCCCATTACTGGATATATACCCAAAGGACTATAAATCATGCTGCTATAAAGACACATGCACACGTATGTTTATTGTGGCACATTTTCTCGCCTTTTCTGGTTTCCAGAAGTGGCCTGCATTCCTGGCCCATCCTAACCTCTGCTTCCATCCTCACATCTCCTTCTCTGATTCGGACTCTTCTGCCCATCTCTTTCATTTATAAGGACCCTTGTGATTACTTAAGGCCCACCTGGGTAATCCAGGCTACGCTCCCTATCTCAAAGTCCTTAACTTCATCACATATGCAAGGTCCCCTTTTGCCATGGAAGGTAAGATATTCACCAGTTCCAGAGAGTAGGGTGTGGACACTTTTGGAGCCATTATTCTGTCCAACACAGGGGGTTCCATCACTCTCAGTGAAACCCACAGTTGACAAGCCCCATTCACTGGCACAGAGCTTTCGGTCCTCTTTGGTGCCACATCTTAAAATATTGGCAGACAGCTTCAACATCTGAGCCTCAGTTTTCTCATCTCTAAAAGCCCGCTTGGGATTGTTGCTAAGATGAAATGAGTTCACATGCATGAAGCATTTAAAAGTGTTTCTGCCAGATAGTAAGTGCTATTGAAACGTTTGCTTTTACGATTTGATATTATCATCATCTGAGAAAAATTTATAATGCGAAAGGCACAGAACAAAACAATTAGACAGAAAAAAGCAACTGGGAAAAAAGGCTACATAGGAAGATGAAACCATTCAAAAAATCTACCATTAATATATTCTCAGAGAAATAAGAGAAGATATTACGTCCATGAAATGAGAACTGGATGCTATCAAAATATTGTAAAAGAAAAACCAGGAAATAAGAGCATGCTTTTGGAAATTAGGAGATTGCCATTTTGTAAGATTAAAAATCATCAAATATTGGCAATTTCATACGGTTTCACATTAATGAACACAGAAATGAAAAACTCAAATAGAACAAAAAGTTGAGGAAGTCTCTCAGAGACTAGAGCAAAAAGATAAAGAAATGAAAAATAGAAAAAAAAAGTATCACTCCAGGCAGGCGGGCCAACGACTAAGTGGAAAAAGTCCCAGAAAAAGAAGACAGGAAAAAATGCAGGGAAGGAAATTGTCGCAGAAGTAAACCAAGAAACTATCCCAGAATTGAAGGCATAATTGGAAGGGTCCCCTGAGTGACTAATACAATGGATGAAAATAGAACCATACTGAGACACATGCTAGGGTCAAAGAGAAGCTCAGAGAAGCTTCCAGAGAGGAAAACTGAGGAAGAAACAATCTTATTACAAGGTTTGAAATGCTTCGAATCTCTCAACAGAAACAATGGAAACTACAAGTATATAGAATAAAGCCTTTAACATTGTGAAGGAAAACTGTCTCCAATCAAGAACTCTACCATCAGCCAAGTTTTGAGTTAAGTGTGAAAGCATGCTTAAGACATTTTCAGACTTGCAGAACGTCAAAAATATATTTCCCAACTACCATTCCTCAGGAAGCTACTGGATGACAGGCTTCCCCCCAGCCCCCGCCTCCAAATGAAGGAGTCTAAAAGAAAGAGGAAGATATGGTGCCAGAGAAACTTTGGAACTGGTGATAAAGGTAGGGCTAGTAACAGAAGTACTGGGCTTAAGAAAAAGCAAACTTAAATACATATATATATATACAATAATGTGAAAAAATTATCTGGAGCATGTCTTTCAAACTTTAATGTGAGTCATTTGGAGGGCTGGTTAAACCTGAGCAAGCTTTCTGGGCAGAAATTGTTCTGTACACATGTTATTGAGGGATATGGAGGTTAATTAGAAAAAAAAGTGGTTATATCCAGGGAAGAAAAACTGGAGCCACAGGGGCTGGGGGTGGGGAGGTGCAGTGCAGGAAATTATTGCTAATGGCTGCAGTGGGTCCTAGCAGGAAGACATCTGGCCCTGTATAACAGGGGTCAGCAAATTATGGCCAGGGAGCCAGCTGCCTATCTTTGCAAATAAACTTTTATTGGAACACAGCCACGTCCATTTATTTCAGTGTTGTCTATGACTGCTTGCCCAGGAGAATGGCAGGGTTGAGTAGTTGCCACAGAGTCTGTGTGACCCACGAAGCCTACAATATTTACTATCTGGTCTTTTACAGAAAAGGTTTGCAAATCCCTGTTTTAAACCATCGGTGTTTAACTGATAGAAATAAAAACTAAATTCTAAAAGAGCAAAAAAGAAAAAAATAATGACTATAGAATGGTAAAATGTTAGAGCTGGAAGAAATCACCTCCATCTGCATTGCTTAAGGAGAGAAGACTCAGGTTCGGGGAGGTGAAGTATGAATTGAAAGTAATGGCAAAAACCGCAGTTACTTTTACACCAATCTAATAGCTTGTCCATGGCCCGAAGGTAGTGGGAAATCCAGGAGTATGACCCAGGTCACTGATTTCCCCCATTGCCACATGGTTATCTCTTACTAATCTATCACTGTATTTAAATGGCTTTCCATCTAGGCAAGTTATAAAACATTACTTAGTTTAGTAAAGTAAGGTATTCATGACTTAAAACTGGCATGTGACTAGGGTTCACCGAGAGTTCTAATTCAGCATTCTACAATGAAATCTGTGAACCATAAAGCCTGCATGCAGCTGAAATTCCTAAACTTTTCAGGAACACTGGAGTACACAATCAACGTTGCCTTAAATGTGATTTTCAATGGCTTTCAATTGTAAAGCATTACGCTAGCTTGTTGTCAGTTATTTCATCAAACCAAGTATGTATTTGCCACTTGGGGGGGCTATCATCTTCCTAAAGCAGGGTTTAAGGTGCCTAAGATGGAGAGTTCCAGTGTGAACCATGCACGTCCTTTGTTACAACCTAAAGCGCTGTGACAGGTAGAACGAAAAATGTAATGGCTCACACACAGAGAAGTTTCTGATTCACGTAACACTTTGAAGGGATAGGAGTTGGGGAAGGGAGTTGGTTTATAAAGTAGGGGGTAGGGAAGAGAAGGGCTCTGTTTCACATGGTCATTCAAAGGCCCAGGCTGATGGTGGCTCTGCCATCTTCAAAATTTGGCTTCCCAGAACACTCTAGTCATTATCATTCCGGCCAGCAGGAAGAGGGGAAAGTCATGGAGGAGTATGTGAGGTTTAATGCCACATCTGTTCACATTGTACTGGCTAGAACTCAGCCACACGCTGGCACCTAACTGTGAAGGCAACTGGGAAATTTACAAGGATTTGAAAAATCAGGAAATATATAATGAACTTTGTATTTGTTTATTTTTATTTTTTAGAAATGGAAGTCTCACTATATTGGCCAGACTAGATTTGAACTCCTGGGCTCAAGTGATCCTCCTGCCCCAGCCTCCCATGTAGCTGGGATTACAGGCACGTGCCACCATGCCTGACTTGATGAACTATTTTAAAACAATATTTTCTGTACATCTTCAATTAACAAGCTCAATATGTTTTCTTCAGCTTCCAAACACATTTTCACATGTGTGGCCATGGGCCTGGGGAAGGGGTAAATGAATGTTCGTGGTCTTCACCATATTTATTGCTAAAGACTGAGGTTTATAGCCAAAAATGCTTGCAAAGCAACATTCCATTGTTATCACTGAGATCTTTTCTCCATTGGAAAGTGGGAATGAGACAGACAGGTGTCCTACAGAGGTCTTTTGTCCACCTAACTATATCAAAAACACTTTCAGTCATTACTATTGAAGAGCAGTTTTGATCTATAACTTAGTGGGCTGAAAATTAGGGTGTGGGCATTTTAGTTGTGGCATAAACTGGGCATAGTGTCCCCAAGGACTCAGGCTTAGGAAGAGGGCTTACTTGACCTGAAGCTAAACATTTTTTAACAAATAGTTGCAGAAAAATACATAGTCACCTGCAAGCACTGACAGGTAATAGCCTGGCATGAATCTAAATACCTTTATCTTACATACCTGTAATAGTTTAAATCTGAAGACAACCTGAATCCCAGCTGATGCAGCTTGTACACCCAAGCCAGTGCACCTGATCGTCTAGGGTCCCACAGGCCTGTGGCTTCCTCCTCTCATGGGGTCAGCATGAGTTATAAATCCTGCAGCAGCATACCCACCTTTCCTTCCTGGTTCTTCTATTTGCACTGTTGCCTGCAAGAAACTATGGATGGGGAAAAGTAAAAATTCACTCTCCCCAGTCTTGCATCAGTTGGCCTGGAATTAGCATGATCCATGTGGTCTGCCATTTGGTTTGCTGTCCAGCCCTTCCTGATCACCAGGAGAGACCGAGAGCTCAGGAGTGAAGCAGAGAGCACATGCACCAATGTGGGGGCCGGTGGTCCTGATAGCCCTGGAGCTACCCAGACAGACGGGAGAAAGGGGACTCTCTAGGCCATCAAAGATAAACTGCATTTCCCTTAGAATACTACCTAAGCCTGCTCCATCTTCACCTAGGAGCCATTTATTTGTTTTTATATTAAGAATTTTATTATGCGCTTTGGTTTATATTCATTATGATTTACAAAGTCCTGCCATCTAGTGGCCAAATTAATAACACATCTTCTCTGAACACGCCAGTATCTGCCCAGGACTCAAATATCGGATCCTTGAAATGTTTTTTAACAATGCCTAATGTAGAGCAGATATTCAGAAATATTTAATGCAAAAGTAAAATGTAGTTCAACCAACAGTTTCAAGATATGGTATATGACATACAAGGAAATGAAAGAAAGCAGACATCCTACGATATTTATGGCTAAGCTCTATTGTCAGTGTGTTATAATCCAGTAGGGATCTCTCCAAAGAGAAATCTCAGAAGGGCCAAATATGGTGAATTATTGTATGTACACTCATGGTCTTCATCATCGTGGTCATCATCATTATCATTACACAGACAAAAGGGGCCAACAACAGGCTTACCTTGAGAGAAGGGGAGAAATGGACTACAGCAGAGTTTCCCAAATTTGTCTGCATATTTATAATCACCTGGAGATCATTTAGATTCCAAAGCCCAGACCACATTGCATGCCAGTTAAATCACAATCTCTGGGAGTGGCCCAGGCATCAGTATTTTTGAAGTTCCCAGATTCAAATACACAGTCATGTATGGGGATCACGGGATTATGAGTATCCAGCATTTACATCCGTGCAATGGTATCTTACACGAGCAGTTTACAAGAGCATTTTGGACTAGATTAACTCATCTAATCCTTGTGCATTAGGATTATAAGTAAGAATAATCCCTGTGCGATAAATAAAATCATTTCCCTGTTGGTTCCTAATTTTCCAGAAAGCTTGGGAAGTCATCTGGGAGCTACATTGGCACAGCAAGCCTGCCCTCTTCCCTATATTATGTGGTTGCTTGAGGTGGCTGGGGTGGGGAAGCTGACCAAGAGTATGGGGGACTAAAGCCCCATTCCCCACACAGTGCCCCCACTGATTAATTACCTCTGCTTTCGAAAGGCAGAGACAGAGGCTTCTCATTTCCTTAAAGCGGCACAGCGGTGCACAGCGGTGCACAGCGGAGGCGGCACAGCGGTGCACAGCAGAGGCAGCACTGCGCCCTCTGCTGGAGGGTCCGAGTGGGCTCTTGGGTATGCAGTGGCAACAGCAGCGCCCTCCGGCGTGTGCTTTCCACTCACGGAGCTGGGATCCATGCACTGCAATGCCCTTCATGCAGATTGAATGTAGACAAATCCGAATTTTTCTGATGTATTTCTATATAAAACGATTATTTACTTCGTGGAAGCCTTTTTTTTTTTTTTTTTTTTTTGAGGCAAGGTCTCAATCTGTCACCCAGGTGAAAGTGGCAGTGGCGCAATTACGGCTCATTGTGGCCTCTATCCCTGAGCTCAAGAGATCCTCCCGCTTCATTTAGTGATTTTTTGTAGAGACCCCACCTCTACTATTTTTGTAGGTCCCGTGTTACCCAGGCTGGTCTCGAGCTCCTCGGCTCAAGTGATCCACTTGCCTTGGCCTCCCAAAGTGTGGGGATTACAGGCGTGAGCCACTGCGTCCAGCAAGGCTTCCTTTCCCTAAAAAAAGAATCACCACAGAATTTCTGAAGATAACCAACCCATTTTCTATATTTTACATTATTCCATTTAAAAATTCAATTCTATATTCATCTTCTTCAGCAATCGTTTTTGGGTCGAAGATAAGCACACTGAAATACTTATCCAAGCCATTGGTTTTACATTTTTATACTTGCCCATCCAGCAGACAATAAAACAGAAAGAGAAACTTTTCAAAACCCAAAGAGATCCCCCTCTCTCAGGGCTGCTGTGTACGGGTACACAGGTTGTGCACTGTACAACTTCAGGAGGCACACACCATATGGACAGTAATGTGAATCATAGCCCTTCATTGATGCAACAAGGTGGGACTGCTCTGGTGCTAGGTGTTGCAGAAGAAATAGAGAAGCCTGCCTTCACTTGTGTTTCTAACATGAGTGCTGGTGACCCACGAGCTCTGTCGTGAAACACCCCACAGCCAACTCTAACGGTTATCACTTCAAAGCCAGTGCTGTTTCTCCTGGGATGGCTTCGTGCTGCTTCTAGGTCATTTTTCCAGTCATATAAAATGCGTATCTTTCTTTTGTTTTTAAAAATACTTTCTCTGAGAACGTTTTAAAAAAAGATTTGTTCCAGCTCATCCATACTCAAGAGAACTTCATGTTTTGTACCCTAAACTTGAAAAACTCAGATAACAGAGAGAACGTAATGTTTGTGTTTACTCCATGACCCTTTATGAACCTTCAGTATCATACTTGCCTTTATTCTTCTGAGCAAATGCTGATTCTGCTTGTATTCAAATTCGTGTTTGACCTCTTCTGAAATATATGATCAGTATTGTGTTTCAAATCGCCTTCGAAGTGTACTTACTTGTGAGTGCAAGCCTCTCCTCAGCTGGAGATCACACGCAGCTCCTTGGGAGGGAAGGGGGTCTGGGTCCAATTGGATTGCTTGCCCTCATATAGAACACAGAACTCATAAAAATGGATATGTGAGGAAGAGAGGTGCTAAACTCATCATGGCCAGTGGTCCTTACATTTCTTACTGCAACTAGCTCTTCAGCAAATGCTAAAAGCCATCTTTCAAGATCCCGAGTCTGGCCAGGTGCAGTGGCTCATACCTGTAACCCCAGCACTTTGGGAGGCTGAGACCGGTGGTTCAAAACCAACCTGACCAACATGGTGAAACCCCGTCTCTGCTGAAAATACCAAATAATAATAACAAAAATAAAATTTTTTAAAAATCCCGGGTCTGCCTGTATACCCCGACACCATCACCACCGGGGATCACATAGACTACTTTTTCCTTCTCTGCTTCTCTTAGGTGCCTAGAACATCGGCACTCTTTGGGGTTTCAAACGTTCACTTCTAACTTGGCTTTTGTTTCTTTTTTGAGATGGAATTTCGCTCTTGTTACCCAGGCTGGAGTGCAAAGGTGTGATCTCGACTCACTGCAACCTCCGCCTCCTGGGTTCAAGCGATTCTCCTGCCTCAGCCTCTCAAGTAGCTGGGATTACAGGTGTGCGCCGCCACACCCGGCTAATTTTGTATTTTTAGTAGAGACGGGGTTTCACCATGTTGGTAAGGCTGATGGCAAACTCCTGACCTCAATTGATCCACCCGCCTCAGCCTCCTAAAGTGCTGAGATTACAGGAGGGAGCCACCGTGCCCGGCCCTAACTTGGCTTTCTAATGTAATTCTTTTAAATCCACTTGGTCTTTTTAATCTTGTGTTAGTATGTCCGGTTTGATTGTTTCTGTGTTTTTTATCTTCAAGCTGGCCCAAATCCCTTTAGGAAGGGAAATAAAAAACACACAAATTGGAAAATATGTAGTTGCAACTCCAAGCCTATGAGATCTGGTCAGGACATGGGTGCCACAGAAACCAGAGGTCGGGAGACCCCTGAACCCTGCTTCCTGCTCACGGCAACAGCAGGGGTGGCTGAAGCCAGAGAGATAGTTTTGCTCTCTTATTTCTTATCACATAGGAATCACAGGACATAACGCCATAGCAATTAGCAGGGGCAGTGTGTGGAGTAGTTCAGTTGACAGGCTTGAAAGATCATACACACCTAAGTTCAAATCCCAGCTCTGCCACTTAGCAGCTATCGATCAACTTGCTTATTCTCTCTGCCCTTCAGTTTATTCATCTGTAACATGGAGATAGTAATTCACACCTTTTCAGCTTTTGTAAGGATTAATTGAATTAATGAATGTGAATACTTAGCACAGTGCTTAGGGAATGAACAATATGGGTGCAAAACATATTAGAGCCAAATATAATAAGTATAGTTTTATAATTTTTTCCCAGAAGAAAGCTGGATAATAATATATGACTGGCCAGTGGGAGGGAGAGCATCAGGATCAATAGTTAATGCATGCGGGGCTTAATACCTAGGTGATGGCTTGATAGGTGCAGCAAACCACCGTGGCACACGTTTACCTATGTAACAAACCTGCACATTCTGCACATGTATCTCGGAACCTAAAATAAAATAAAATAATATATATATATATACCTATATATGACTGGCTATTTTATCACTCATCTTTCTAAATAATAGGCACAATTCAAATTGTTCTCTTTTATTAAAAGGTTTGGGGCTATGGAAAGAAAATCTTGTAGAAAACACCTTATTTCTCTCTTCAAACGTTTCCCCAATTTTTTTCCTTTGATTTTTATATCTTTGAAATGTAATTGCCCTCAAACACTAATTTATTAACAGTTGAACATTTGATTTGCATACAGTCATCTTTCATTCAAAACTACTAAATTGTTTCGGAAGTTTTTTTTTCCAAAAATAAAAATTACCAATACAGATTCTCAGCACGCACTCAATAAACTGATTGAGAAGAAATATACTCTTAAATTTCCTTCACTTTTAGAAAGACAAGTTCTCTGGAATTTGCTCTATTTCAAAAGGTTAAAATAGTAAGTTCTAGTTCTTTGCATTCTAGATGCTTTGCCATGAGACCGATATACTTCCCATACTTTAATTTTTCCAAAATATAGGAAAAATGTACAATAGGTTGGACGCAGTGGCTCACACCTGTAATCCCAGCACTTCGGAAGGCCAAGGTGGGTGAATGGCTTTGAGCTCATGAGTTTGAGACCAGCCTGGGCAACATGGTGAAATCCCATCTCTACAAAAAAAATACTAAAATTAGCCAGGTGAGGTGACATGTGCCTGTGGTTCCAGCTACTCGGGAGGCTAAGGCTGGAGAATCACTTGAACCTGGGAGACAGAGGCTGCAGTGAGCTGAGATCATGCCACCACACTCCAGTCTGGGTGACAGAGTGAGACCCTGTCTCAAAAACTAAAAATAAAATAAGATTTTTTTTAATGCACAATAAAAATTAGAATAATACCAAAACAATGATGATACAATAAAAGCCTTTCTCCAGAAGAAAATGAAAATATAAACATATTTCTAAAATAAGTATTATTTGGGAGGTTAAGCTAAACCAGCAAATCTCAAGCTACATATGGTTACAATTTATATGAAAAAGAAAATTTCCAACCAACGGCATCTGAACCATAAATCTAGATTTAGACAATTCCACTGTTACTTGTTTTCCCAGGGCTGCATTATTCATTTTAGAATTGGAATTTTCTTTAATTCTCTAAAATACAAGGCAGGAAGCAGATTCGTTGCCATGTGGAAGAGTGCAAGTCCTTTGACTACGTGGGTCTCTGTCCCCGACCTCAACGCTGCCGGCCATGCTCTGTTGAGCCTAGTTCAGGATCAAGAGCTTCAGAATACCCTCCATCTTAAGGCAACATTTATACAGACCTATTTGATATGCTCTTTGGTTTTTTTCTCTTCAACAGTAAAAGCACACTCCCTCTTCAGGAGGATAATTAAATTTCTCCAGTCCCATGCACGTCCTGAGCTGCATTGCAGGCCCAGGTTAATTGGAGACAGGCAGCTATTTGCCCTCTAATTTAAATGAGTCCTAAGGCTGAGAGGCATACAAGCAAAATCAGACACCTACAAGAGCCAACAGAACAAACGGAAAGGTGTGCTTAGGGCATGGCCTAACAGCAAACACAAGCACAGTCGAGAGGATAGGACAATCGACATTTGGCTTCCATGGGCAGAAAATAGAGACCACTGGAGCAGACAGCAGAGAGGAGAATGTTGCCCCAGGAAAAGGGGGCAGCCTCTACCCAGGGGCAGACAACTATGGCTAGATGTGCAGGCAGGATGTATGTTGCCAGATCTTCTGGTTTTTCAAGAGATGTCAAAGATTTGGTGTTTATATGGAGTTTTCTATATTTTAAAAGTTAAGAACCCAGCCAGGCACAGTGGCTCACGCCTGTAATCCCTGCACTTTGGGAGGCTAAGATGGGCGGATCACTTGAGGTCAAGAGTTTGAAACCAGCCTGGCCAACGTGGTGAAATACTGCTTCTACTAAAAATATCAAAAAAAAAAAAAAAAAAATAGCCGGGTGTGGTGGTGCGTGACTGTAATCCTAGCTACTCGGGAGGCTGAGGCAGGAGAACTGCTTGAACCTGGGAGGCGGAGGTTGCAGTGAGCCGAGATTGCACCATTGCACTCCAGCCTCGGCGACACAGTGAGACTCCGTCTAAAATAAATAAATAAGTAAATGTAAATTAAGGACTGGTTCAGACTAAAGACAACAACACAACATTGCTACTCAGACCAAAGAGAACAGAACTGCAAGACGCTGGTTTCCTAATTGTGGCATAGAGTGATGTTTTCTTCAGGGTTGCATTTCTCCCCAAAATATAAATTGAGACCAATGTCATTCTTTCAAACACTCTTCTTTAAAGGAAATATCAAAGAAATAAACCTCTATACTACATGCAATGTAGGATCCTGGATTGGATCCTGGAACAGAAAAAAAGACCATAGTGGTAAAGTAGTGAAATCTAAATAAAGCCTAGAGTTCCGCTAATAGTACTGAACCAATGTTCGTTTCATACTTTCAACAAATGTGCTGTGGTTGTGTAAGAGGTTAACATTGGGAGAGACTGAGTGAAAGATATATAGAAACTACACCATCTATGCAACCTTTCTGTAGATCTAAAAGGATTCCAAAATAAAAAGTTTAGTTAAAATAAACTATATGGAATAATATGCGTGAAATATGGCCCATCAATTAAATTATAAAACACACATTAAGCAAGTTGTCTGTGAACATCACCATAGTAAGTATAGTAAGTTTATAGTAACTAAGGAAGAATGCACAACTAGGTTCTGGCATGGAATTGGGGACAGGACAGTAGGGAGTTGAAATGCCAGAAAGAATAAGATACCTTAAGGCAATTGGTAAACCAATGTGAGCAGGTCAGAGAGACTGGGAGGGGAGGATTTAGGTGAAAACCTGAAAGAAACGGAGAGCAAACTATTACAGACCTGAATTTCATGTAGAGAGGGTAGACAATGACATTGCTCATTTATTTTCTCTTTACTTAAATATTGTTGTAAAATCAGTCAAAATAAGGCTTCTTTACTCATCTATGGTTTACTACTTTCCCAGCTGCTAATTTTAAATTAGCCTCCCCTCTGCTGAGGATCACAGTTAACAAAATACAAGGTATTTACAAGCAAAAGTTAAGCACAAATAAAGGCCTAGCTGAAAATGAAAAGGAGAGAACTCTAAACCACAATGACACCTATACACATGTGGCCATTTAGTCTGTACAATTTGCCTATAGCAGGGCTTCTCAACCTTGGTGCTATTGGCATCTGGGGCTGAATCATCCTTTGTTGTGGGAGCTTTTCTATCCATTGTAGGATGTCTTAGCAGCACCCTGGCCTCTTCCCACTGGATGCCAGTAGCATTCCCAAGCTGTGACAAAGAGAAATGTCTCCAGACATTGTCACATGTCCCTTGGCAGGCAAAATTGCCCCTTGGCTGGGAATCACTGGCCAAGAGAAAAGTATAATTGTCTAAATCAGAGAGGATATTCCACAGGTATAACCCAGTATTGCCACTCAAGTTTTTAGAACTATCTGGTGGAACCATATGAAACTACTGTTTTTGTAGGTTAAAAGTGGTTGAACATCAGTGATTTCATAAGTTTCAACCTGAAATGTATATACTTCTATATGAATCAGTAAATAGTAAAATAGCAATTGTTATTAGTGGTAAAAATAACTTATAATCTGCATTATAATATGAACTTGTTTGTTTAAGGTAATTGCCATGTCATTGAATGTCATGATGACCAATGATGACGTATGGTCTTCTGGTAGCTGTGTGACCCAGAAAATTATAAAAATATTAAATATATTAACATACCAGCTAGGAAAAGTGGCAGGAAAATGTTTTTTATTAATTTGCTATTGGTTCATCAGAAGCTGAAAGTAAATTCAGCACTGAAAATAGTATTGTTACTCTTAACATATATTCTCTGCTGATTAGATAAGAAGTCACCTCTGACTGCTTCAAAGGCGGGCCATGGGACATGGCACAGGTCATGGGACATGGCCCTCTGACAGCTTCAAAGGTGGGTCATGGGACATGGGGGTGGTGCCAATGTAGGGAGCCTAGCGCTGGTGTTGGGAAGGGGGGAGCCGAGCAGGCTGGATCAGGGGACATTGGTGGCCCTATGGTTTGCAGAGCCATAGTTCTGGAGTCCATGCCATGTAGAAAGCTCTCATATCCAAAGCCTCAGCCAGCTGAGACCTGGGTACTCATCCTGGTGGCCCCTGAGCAGCAATACATCCAAGAGCTGGCATTGGGGCCCTAATGACACTCCATTTAAGAGGGACATCATTGGATGAGTTGGATTTGGCACCTTGCATCAAATCATGGCTCAGACAGAGGCATCATTCATCTGGTCATAGCTGTGTCAAACAAAACAGAGCAGCAACAATTTCTAAAAATCAAGAAACGATTTAGAAATTATTAGAATATTCGATGAGCAATATGTTGCAACTTAGATGACTTGGTAAGCAGTTTTGAATTGGTATAGCTCAGTTTAGAGAATAAGAGGGAGGATGTTTATAATTTTATATGTGTACTGATTTTTCTGTTAAGTTTACTCCCATTCCAGTTGTAAATATATTTATTGTCACCTGTGGTCTATCATCAGATGTCTAGAAACCCACTGGTTCCATAGGGACAGTTCGCCCTATCCAATAGAGAAGAGTGAGCAATTATCTTCTGCGTTTCAATATGAAAAATCAAACTTATAAACAGAAAACAGGGAGTTTGGATCCTTGCCCACCACTTACTTGCCAGGTAACCTTGGATGCATTACAGTCCAGGAGCCTCAGTTTCCTTATCTGTACTAGTGGAACACTATCCGACAGGGTTATTGTGAGAATGAAAGGTGAATCTATGAGAAGGAGCTTGGCACACAGTAGGGACTCATGTTCCCTTCTTGGGATCCCATCAATTATTGAATAAACAAGCAACCTTTTTCTTTATTAAACTGATACAATTTATATTTATTTGTATTTCACACAATATGGATATTTATTAAATGTATCTTATTGGCTTCCTTTAAGGTATCTGAAATTGAGGGTCTAAATAGTAGAGAGAAGTGTGCTTGAACTTAAATTCCTAATGGTGGCTGGCGCAGTCCTCTTATCTATGACGGAGTGACCTTGAAGGAATGCCAAGGAAGTTAATCATTTACTAAGTGTGGCTTTTTCCCCAAAGACACTTGAGCTGAGGCTTTTTCAAGCCTGAATAAGGTCACATAATTCTTCTTTTCAAAGATCGAGAAAATTACGTCATGCTTTTGAGAATTGATATGTAGATAGTTGTTATGGTAAGTTGGCATTCATGGAAAAGAACATTTTTTTGGTTAAAAATCTATGGTAATCAATCAGATTCTTATATATGATAAGCTGTCAGAAAGTACATGCCAAACTCTCACCTCCTTTAGAGGTCTGTTTTCAAAGAAAAAAATGTTTTCAAAAATTATTCATTTTCTCTTTTAAAAAAATAAATAAACACTAGCTTTTGAAATAAACAGTTTTTTAAAAAAACACTAAGAAAATATTTATCTCAGCATTTCTCTACTACTTTGGCTAAATTAATTAGGTACAATAAGCAATTTGTATTTTTTTAGCTGACACCTCTGATCCCTGGGGAGCAAAAGATGCTGAACGTGGGAGAATAAAGAGAAATAGTGTTACCATCACAGCCCTAAAGACCTGATGTTGGTGGGAACAGAAAATGGTGGTAAAGATCTAAGTCAAGAATAAGAAAACTAAGAACACATACATGAAACACTATTCTCTGGTTTACTACCAGTTTCTCCAAGGAAAAGTGCCTCAGTATTCTCAGGGAAGAGAAGGAAAAGATTAAGATAATTCAGAATCCAGAGAACAAAAAACCAATGGTAGAATTGAAAAAGTTAGCTGTGTATGTGTGTGTGTGTGTGTGTGTGTGTGTACCTTATTATACAATGAACAGAAAGGCATGCTTTGTTAGAGTTATTCCTTATCACTCTAAAAAGTTTCTGAGGGTCACTGAGTACTAATTCCTTTTCATATCTGGGTTACTTATGAGAGTGGCTTTGTCTGCACAACATAAAGAGAAGTGGGTGTTTAGGAAGATGCCAGATATTAATGAACTCTTGGTTGCTGTCTGCATGGATCATGTCGATTGCAAATATAAGGAGAATCAGTTGGAGAATATTTCTAATTTTGAAGTTCTTGCTTGCATGCCTTCTTTATTTAAAAAAAATTATGAGACTCTGCCAAGCAATATGCTAGATGAGGGATTGACAAACTACTTAAGGCCTACTGGCCAAATCCCAGCTGCTTTGTTTCTATACAGCTTTCAAGCTAATAATGGTTTTTACATTTTTAAATGGCTGGGAAAAAAAAACCAAAAGAATATTTCATGGCACATTAAGATTAAATGAAATTTAAATTTCATTTCTATAAACAAAGTTTTATTGGAACACACCACACCCAGTCATTTACTTGTGCTACCACTGAAGACTTGTGTAGTTGTAACAAAGATCCTATAGCTGACCCACAAAGCTGCATGTATTTGTTCTCTGGCTAGCCCTGTGCTAGACTCTGAGGATAAAGCTGTGTCCAGGACTGATCCAATCCCTGACCTAACGTTACTTATGTTCTAGTCACCAATGGCAAAGATATTCAACATGCAATTAAAGGCAGCAAATTGATCATTACAGATGAGGATAAATACTATGAGGGCAATCAACAGACAGAGTAATGAGACCAAGAAAACTGAGCTGGGGGTTGGGGGAGGACAGAGAATTGTTGTCTAGAGGGAGGTTAAAGAAGTGACCTTTATAAACTGAGACTAAAAGATTAAATGAACCGGCCGGGCGCAGTGGCTCACGCTTGTAATCTCAGCACTTTGGGAGGCCGAGGCGGGCGGATCACGAAGTCAGGAGATCGAGACCATCCTGGCTAACATGGTGAAACCCCGTCTCTACTAAAAATACAAAAAATTAGACAGGCATGGTGGTGGGTGCCTGTAGTCCCAGCTACTCAGGAGGCTGAGGCAGGAGAATGGCATGAACCCGGGAGGCAGAGGTTGCAGTGAGCCGAGATGGCGCCACTGCATTCCAGCCTGGGTGACAGAGCGAGACTCCATCTCAAAAAAAAAAAAAAAAAAAAAAAAAGATTAAATGAACCAAGCCTGTGATAGAGGAGCCATTTTGAGCTTTCTGAGAGAGCAAGGTGCATGTGCAAAGTTCCCATGGCCAGAAAGGTTCTGTGCATCTTAGAAAGGAGAGGAGAGAAGCTGAAGGTCAGTGGGGGAAGGTGATATGAACTCGGAAAGTTAAGCAGGGCCAGTTTCCAAGTATTATGGGAGGCCATTGACAGGTTTTAAGGAGAATAGTAATTCATTAGCTTTGATTAAAAAAAGAAAAAAAAAGTCAGACTGGGCGCTGTGGCTCATGCCTGTAATCCCAGACCTTTTGGAGGCTAAAGCAGGTAGATCTCCTGAGGTCAGGAGTTTGAGACCAGCCTGGACAACATGGTGAAACCCCATCTCTACTAAAAATACAAAAATTAGCTGGGCATGGTGGCAGGCGCCTGTAATCCCAGCTACTTGGGAGGCTGAGGCAGGAGAATGGCTTAATTCCAGGAGGCGGAGGTTGCAGTGAGCTGAGATCGCACCACTGCACTCCAACCTGGGTGACAGAGTGAGACTCCATCTCCAAGAGAATAAATAAATAAAATAAAATAATAAAAAATTTTAAAAATCATTCTGATTGTGGTGTAGAAAGGGATTGGAGGGAGGCAAAGATCTTAAGAAGAGAGCCCTCCTTGGGGGTTCAAGGAGGCTGATGCAGGGGCTGCCTGGTGGCCATGGCAATGGAGAGAAGGGCAGATTTGGCAAACAGAATCAACAGTCTTGGGATGGAAGGGTGACAGGAAAGACAGAATCGAGGGTGATTCACACATTTTGCCTCTGATTAACTGGGTGATTGGAGGTGCCACGTACTCAGGGAAGAGCAGGCTGGACCAAGAGCATGAAGACTTCCCATTGGAGAAGACCAGTGTTTTCTCTAAAGGTCCAAATAGTCAATATTTAGGCTTTGAAGGCCATGGAGTCCGTACCACAACCCGTCGACTCTGTGCTAGTCACACAAGAGAAGCCACAGATAATATGTAAATGAATGGATGTGTACATATGTAAAACTTGATTTACAAGAATGGGTTATAGACAGGATTTGGCCTGTGGGCCACAACTTGCCAACCCCTGTTGTAGATTTGTATGTTCAAGTTGGACCTCAAGTGTGAAGTCTGAGCTGAAGATACAAACATGAAAGTCATCAAGATTAAGTCATGGGCCTGGATGATGTCAAGGAGAGTTTGTAGAAAGAATAAAAACAAGAAAGCCCAGGGTCATGCTTGGAGGCATCCCAACAATTCTTGGCGAGGTGGAATAATCCTTATCAATATTGTGTTACCGGGATTATTTAGAAGCAGAAAACATTATCATAAGGAAGGAGAAGGACTCTTTATACACTACGTTGATCTCTAATTGAAAGCCCTCTTCAACTGCTCACACTTACATGGGAGAGTGAAGTGGGGAGCAGGAGAGAGTAGTGGTAAAGAGCTGCTTGGCTCCACTATGTAGCTGTGTGATCTTATCTAACTTCTCTGTTTCTCAGTTTCTCTACCTGTGAAATGGGGATGAGAGTAATAAGACCGAACTCACAGGGTTGCTGCAAAGGCCTGCCATAGTAAGTGCTATATACATGTACAATATTGTTATTTCTTCTCTTAATTGCTACCTTATTCCAGAAAGGATTTGAGACAACTCGCTTTTATTGGCCCTTGCTTAATTTAGACACTCACAGTAAAGTTAAGCTCAGCCTAATTTCAATTACTTCATGTTATTTCTTTCATCAGAATATTATCCACCTCCTCCCCCACAATGTAAATCCTTTACCCCCTTTAAGAATCTTCCATCTCCACTATTACAAAACTTCCTTCCTCTTCCACCTGCATCCTGGGTGTGGATTCCTGTGCTCCTTATCTGGCCTTAACTCCTCCTCTGCTTGAATTATGTATGCAGTATCCAGCTATCTTAAGCTGACTGAGGGCACCAGATCTTTGTTCTTATTTCCAGAAGTGACTGATACAACCTGCATGAAAAGGACGTTCCCCTTGGCAGCATCAGATTACATGGAATTACCAAGAGAAATCAATGTAATTCCATCTTCACCTTGCCTCCGAAGAAAGCTTTAATGACCAATTTTCACAGAAAGAAGCTAGTTTAATATTCATCTTCACTGAATTCAAGCGAGTTTTGTTTTGTTCAGGTTTTCATTTTGTTGAGTATCAATATGGACTCACTGATTTTTACATATTTGGTACATTTCAGGCAACTAAATTTGCATTAATTTTTGATGTTCACACTGTCCTACCTTTAATCAATAGTAGCCACTTCTTAATTAATTAATTAATTTTGCTTTTGAGAGACGGGGGTCTCACTATGTTGCCCAGGCTGACCTCAAACTCCTGGGCTCAAATGATCCTCCTGTGTTAGCCTCCCAGTCGCCAGGTTTATAGATATGCTACCGCGTCTGGCAATAGTAATCATTTTAAACTGGGACCTTTATCCTTCTGACGTATTCCCCATCATCTTTGCTATATCTGAGACAAGATGTTCTAGTTCACTTCGTCCGTTCCTGACCCAGACCTTGAATTGGTCAAATCGCAAGAATACTTGGTTCCTTTCCATGGAAAACAATATTCAAAAACCAATCTTCTGATTCTGGAAATTGGTAATGAAAGGGAAGAAAATTTAAAATTTTTCTCTTGCTTCTCTAGTACAAACCTTATTTTAGGGTAATCAAGTAGCCCAGAAGACGAAGGGAATTCCGGCTAATATTGTACACAGCAAAGATTAATAGAATTAGAAAGTTTGCATTTTGCAAGGCTAAAATGCAGGCTTATAACGCTGTCAGCACCTTAAACCAGTGATCTATCTCAATATTGTATCAAGATAACCTGACATGTTAATACGTTAGATGTGATAATGGTCTTGGAATCATAAAGAAAAATGTCTTTATCTCTCTTTTTAAGAGCTTTATTGAGATACAATTTATATACCATTACAATTCACCCATTTAAAGTGTAAAATTCAATGGCTTTTATTACGTTCACAGAGTTGTGCATTCATCATAACAATTTTAAAACATTTTTATTACCGCCCCAAAGAAATCCCACACCCTTTTGCTTTTAGCCCTGCCATCCCTCCATCTTCCCATCTCCCTAACTAACCCTAGGCAACCCCTGATTTATTTTCTGTATATAGATTTTCCTATTCTGAACATTTCATGTAGATGGAATCATGCACTATATGGTCTTTTGTGTCTGTATTCTTCACTTAGCATAATGTTTTTCAAAGTTTCTGTAGCACATATCAGAATTTCATTCTTTTTAAAAGCTAAATAATATTCCATTGTACAGGAGACCACATTTTGTTTATCCACTCATCAGTTGATGGACATCTGGGTTGATTTCATCTTTCGGCTATTGCGAATAGTGCTGCTGATAACATTCATGTAAACTATTCATTTGAATGCCTGTTTTCAACTCTCTTGAGCATATACCTAAGAGTGGAATTCCCGGCTCATATGGTCACTCTGACCATTTGAGGAACTGCTAGATTTTTCCAAAGCAGCTGCACCATTTTGCATTCCCACCAACAGTGTCTGAGGATTTCAATTTCTCCACATTTTTACCAACATTTGTCATCTTTATCTGCCTTTTTTATTATAGCCAACATAGTGGGTATGAAGTGGCATCTCCTCGTGGTTTTCACTGGCATTTCTCTGATGGCTAATTACGATGACTATCTTCTTTTTTCTTTTTTTTTTTTTTTTTTTTTTTTTTTTGGAGGCAGAGTCTCACTCTATCTTCCAGGCTGGAGTGCGGTGGCGTGATCTTGGCTCACTGCAACCTCCGCCTCCCGGGTTCAAGCAATTCTCCTGCCTCAGCCTCTGAAGTAGCTGAGATTGCAGGTGCCTGCCACCATGCCCGGCTAATTTTTGTATTTTTAGTAGAGACGGGGTTTCTCCATGTTGGCCAGGCTTGTCTCAAACTCCTGACCTCCAGTGATCCACCTGCCTCGGCCTCCCAAAGTGTTGGGATTTACAGGCGTGAGCCACAGCGCCTGGCCTCTTTTCAAGTGTTTATTAGCCATCTGGATATCTTTTTTGGAGAAATGTCTACCAGATCTTTTGCCCACATATTTTTCATTTTTTAAGAGATTAAATTTTTTAGAGCAGTTTTAGGTTCACATAAATTAAGTGAAAAGTACAGACAATTCCCATATACTCTCAGCCCCCATCCATGCACAGCCTCTCCTACTAACTAAAATCAATGTACGTATATTGACACGTCATTATCACCCAAAGTCCATAGTTTACATCAAGGTCCACTCTTGGTGTTGTACATTCTATGGGTTTTGACAGGTATATAATGACATGAATCCACCATAGTAGTATCATAGAGTAGTTTCACTGCCCTAAAAATTCTCTGTGCGCCACCAATTCATCTGTCCTTCCCCTCTTCCCTGACAACCACTGATCTTTTCACCATCTCTGCAGTTTTGCTTTTACCAGAATGTTATACAGGTGGAAGACTACAGTCTGCAGCCTTTTCAGATTGGTTTATTTCACTTAGTAATATGCATTTAGGTTTCCTCCATGAGCAAAATAGCTCATTTATTTATAGTGCTGAATAGCTTTCCATTGTCTGGATGTATCACAGTTTATCCGTTCACCTACTGAAGGACATCTTGGTTGCTTTGAAGTTTTAACAATTATGAATAAAGCTGCTATAAACATTCATGTGCAGTCTCCTTTGCCCATTTTAAAATTCGGTTGTCTTTTTGAGTTGTGGTCATTTTTTATATATCCTAGATACAAGACCCTCATCAGATACATGATTTGCAAACATTTTCTCCCATTCTTTGGGTTGCCTTTCTTTCTTTTTTTTTTTTTGAGAAGGAGTCTCACTCTGTCGCCCAGGCTGGAATGTAGTGGTGCAATCTCGGCTCACTGCAACCTCTGCCTCCTGGGTTCAAGCGATTCTCCTGCTTCAGCCTCCTGAGTAGCTGGGATTACAGGTGCGCGCTACCACGCCCGGCTAATTTCTTCTGTATTTTTAGTAGAGACGGGGTTTCACCATGTTGGTCAGGCTGGTCTCGAACTCCTGATCTCGTGATCCGCCCACCTCAGCCTCGCAAAGTGCCGGGATTGCAGGCGTGAGCCACCATGCCCGGCCTTCTTTCACTTTCTTGATGGTATCCTTTGAAGCATAAGTTTTTCATTTTGACGTCCAGTTTATATATTTTTGTTGGTGGCGCTTGTGCTTTTGATGTCATATTAAAGAAATATTTGCCTAATCCAAAGTCATGAAAATTTATACCTATGTTTTCTTTTAAGAATTCCATAGTTTTAGGCTTTAAGTTTAAGAATTCCGTAGTTTTGTAAAGATGCCATCTCTACAAAAAATACAAAAATTAGCTTGGTATGGTGGCGTGTACCTGTAGTCCCAGCTACTCGGGAGGCTGAGGCAGGAGGATCACTTGAGCCCAGGAGGTCGAGACTGCAGTGAGCGGTGATCACACCACTGCACTCCAGCCTGGGCAAGAGAGTGAGACTCTGCAAAAAAAAAAAAAAAAAGAAAGAAAAAAGAAAAGGAAAGAAAAGAAAAGAAAAAAAAGAAAAGAAAACAAGAAAAGAAAAAGAAAAGAAAAAAGAGAAGAAAAAAAGAAAAAAAGAAAAGAAAAAGAGTTTTATAGTTTTAGCTCTTGCATTTAGGTCTTTGATCAATTTTAAATTAACGTTTGCATACGGTGTGATGTCTTTATCTTTTTACAGATATATGCAGGCTAAATAATTTAGAGGTGAATATATAACATCTGTAATTTACTTTAAAATACTTTAGATAAAAACAGATAAAGCAAACATGGGAAAATTTTGACAGCTACAAAATCTAGGTGGTGGGTATATCGGTGTTCACTCTATTTTCATCTCGGTTTTTGGATTTTTCTTTAAACAACAGAAGTAAAAGGTAAAGTTCTAGAAATAAAAATCAGAAAAATTACTTGATTCTGAGTGAAAATGTTATTAATAGAGAATTAAAGTTGAATCTATTTTAACTTATTTTTAAAGTACATTGCTTATAAATGTTAGCATTTCATAATAAGTTATAAATTATTTGCCACACCCCTAATAAAAACATACAAGAAAAAGGTTATGTCAGAGTGTCTTGGCATTGCTCTTAGGAACTAGTGTTCTAGAACTTCTTGTTCTAATACAGCAACTATCAGCCACATGTGGCTGATGAGCACTTCAGATATGGCAAGTCCAAATTAAGATGTGCTGTAAGCGTAAAATCTATATTGGATTTTGAAGGCTTGACACAAAAAGATGCAAAGTAGCTCATTAATATGTTTTATGTTGATTACATGTTGGAATGATAATATTTTGGATATTGGATTAAAGTGTATTATTAAAATTACCTTCACTTGTTTTTTATATTCTTTTAAAATACAGCTACTAAAGTGTAAATTACATATGTGGCTTGCATTATATTTCTTTTTAAAAAGTTTAAAATTTTTTCATAGAAACATATAGGAAACAATCATTACATTTCTTTTGGATGGTACCATTCTAGAGAGAAAAGGACTGGACTAGAAGATCCACATTCTAATTCCTTTGCTGCTTTCAACTAGCCATGTGACTTGGGGAAATTTCTTCCGTTTCTCAGCCCTAAAATAGTCAGGGATAAATTCACTCAGCAAATACTTAGACTTCTTACTATATACAAAGAACTTGGCTAGATGATGTGGGAAATAGAAGACGTGAAACTGTTCATAAATTCAAATCATTGTTTTACCGTTAATCTCTATCCATGAGTCAATGAAGATAGAAATCAACAATAGAAAATATCTCATCATTTTAATTTTTTCCACTAACATTTTATCTTAAGATAATGTATATTTTATAAACGGTCTGAGACCCAGATCACATATGCACAGAGTATATGTTCTTTTTCTCTTCTAAGTCTTGGGTCTTTGAACAAGTGTTCCATTTTTCCAGAGGCTCCCCAACTTCAAATGTTGTTCAAGAAGTGCACTGTGGTAGACAGTTGGTGGACAGTACTCATGCCCTCCAGTTGTCCCATACCATGTTGACAGCTGGTCTTGGCCATGTAACTTGCTTTGGTCAATGAGACATTAGCAAGCAAGTTAAAAACAGAGGTTTGATAAGCACTTGCTCATTGAGACTTATCTTCTTGGAACACTCCTTGGAACCTTGCAGCCATGCCGTAAGGAAGCCCAAACAACCATGAAGAAAGGCCCACATGGAGGAGAGAAGGGCCAGGGGTTCTTTCAAACTAGTGATTCTCAACCTGTGGTGATTTTGCTCCTTGTAGGACATTTGGCAATGTCTGGGGACACTTTTGGTTGTCACAGTGGTGGATAGGTGCTACTGGCATCTAGTGGGTAGAGGCAAGGGAGGCTGCTAAACAATCTGCAATGCACAGGACAGTCCCACAACAAAGAATTACCCAGCCTAAATATCAGCTGTGCTGAGGTTCAGAAACCTGCTCTAGACCAATGTTTCCCACAACCTGGCTCCTATGGATCAAGGATAAAGGCATTTGGGAGAGAAAGTTTTCACACTTAAATAAAATTATCTGTAGCTGCTCATTTACAAGTGACAGCTTTCTGAACAGTCTGTGACTCATGATGATTTTTCAATGATTCCCATTAGTATTCTCATCAACCCCAATGGCACATTTCACCTTGTTTACATTTAGCATTTAAGCAGAGTAACTCATCAAACTATTGAACCAACAATCATTGTATTAGTTGCCCCAACTGAGATATTGTTTCTCCTTGGTGCTATCAAGTCCATGGTTTGTCACAATTCAATCCGAGCTTCCAAATCTGCAGCCATTTACCCACCCAAAGACCAGGGGCTTTAACTTTTACTGTTTTATAGTCCATCAGCTTTGGTTCTGTGTTACCAAAGAACCACAGCCCCATCATGCTAAGAGGATGCCACTTTCCCTTTGAGAAGAGCATCTATATATTTAGAAGAAACCATTATTAGTCAATTTTATCTATGAGAGAAATATTAAGAATATAAAAATTATAGTAATTTGCTGATAGTAAATTTTATTAGAAGAGTTTAAATATAACTACATTAGCAGACTCAATAAAAATTTTAAACATAGTGGGTCAAGTATAAATCTCATTGCTATGGTAATTAGCTGTGAAATACATAGATAATAAACCATTGCAGATAGGGGTTTTTGTTTGTTTTCTCACATAATAGGGCACATATGCATCTCTAGGCGGAATGAAAAAGGGCCAGAAATGCTGCTAAAATTGTCAGTTTGAATAACTTTTTGATAGGCTGGCAGATACAAAAGTTTACAAGAAACACTCGATGTGCCAAGTAATCTCCTTGCAAAGTACAAGGACCCAGATGAAAAATCCCAATGATGCGAATCATCCCTGTAATCTCCCAAATCCCATTATGAAGTCTGATTAGAGTAGGCTACAACCCAATTGCAAGTGGGCTTTGCTGTTGATGGAGAGCCAATTCGTGGCAAACATTAGTAAAACCAAGCCATTTATCTACCCGGTTGAATCAGCCTTTGTTGAGGAGTGTGAAACTGTGACCAGCATCACCAACCAGCCCTCTATAGACAGGGACTGCTTTCCTTTCTCCTACACTTGGTTTGTGCCCTGAAGTTGGCTCTGGTACTGCATTGGCATCTTGAGAAAACCTTTTTGCTGGTTTCTAGCAGGAAAGAGAGGAAGGAGGCCCTGACTCCAGGGATGTGGAGGGACTGAGCTGGATTGTCTAGGGAGATCTGTGTTCCTGGGATCAGGCCCTTGAGCACCCAACAGGCAGAAGGTTGTGAAGTGCCCCAAGGACCATCACATCTACCGAAAAATGGTGAATCTGGGGGACTTGGTTTGATCCAGTGAGCCACCAAGAGCAATACTTCCCCTCAGCCTGTGATGAGGACTCACATAGTGGTTGGATTTTTTAAGGACACATGGTGCAGGGGCAACTCTGTAGTTCAGGGGTCATCAAGTTTGAACTATGAGGGACCACATGGCCAATATTTACATTTTGCAGACCAAGCAAGAAAAGGGAAGATATTACGTAGGAACTTACATAACAAGAGAGAAAAAATTGTCACAATGTTTTTATTGATATAATCCAAAATACGGTAATATTTGAGTACAATTATTTGCAACTCACATCTATTAATGAGAGAAAAGGAATTCTTTTGCGGGGGGGATATTTCTCTTAATTGGAGTTCAAAGGCGGTGTCTGCTATCATCACATAAAGTGCAAATGTTCATGTATGAAAACCATGCTTAGCTCTCTGGTACAAACACAGGGAGCTCTCGCGATCTGGCCCATAGGCTGTAGTTTGCAGACCCTTGCTATAGCTGAACACCAGTCGCCCACACTGGGTTTGCGGTGTTCCGGGGTGGGAAGTCGCTCCGGGCTGCGAAGCACCTCGAGGGATCCCCCCGGCCCGAACTCTCCCTCTGTGCCCAGCTAACCGCGGTTCATTGGCTCTCCCCGCGAGGCAGGTCTGGAAGATCAAGAATGAAGCTCGGAGCTCTCTCGCGGAGCAAGGACACCTTCGGGCTTCAGGACCACCCAGGGCGTCCAAAACTGCTGCCAGGGCTGTGCCCCCGCCCCCCGGCACTTTCCAGCTCCCCCTCCACGCCCGCTCTTCCTCCCTCTCTGCCCCCTCTAGCTCCTCCTCCGGCTCCTCCCCCTCCGCTCCTCCCCTTCCCTACATCTAGCCGCCGCGCTTTCCCGCTCCCGCAGCAGCAGCCTCCCGCGTCGCTGTCGCTGTTGCCTCCGCCACCTCCTCCGCCGCCGCGCGCCCCTCGGAGTTCCGCGCCCCACCATGCCCAACATCGTGCTGTTCAGCGGCAGCTCGCATCAGGACCTGTCCCAGCGCGTGGCCGACCGCCTGGGCCTGGAGCTGGGCAAGGTGGTCACGAAGAAGTTCAGCAACCAGGAGACCAGGTGGGGGCCGCGCCGGCGGCCGGGCTAGGGAGAGCGCTGGGCACGCGGCTGCGGGGCCGGGTTGGGGGCCGGCGCCTGCCCGGGCCACCTCCGCGGACGCCGCGCTCCCCCTTCCGGGGCGGGACGGTGGCAACGCGGCCTCCGCGCCCCCGCGCCCGCGCCTGCGAAGAAACCGAGGCGGGGCGCCGCGCGTCCCGATGCGCGCCTCGGCTGTGCCCCCGGTTGCAGGGCCTCCGGTCCTGGGACCGCGGCGACCCGGCGGTCCCGAGCCGCTCCCGGCCTCCCAGCGGTGCCGCCCGGCCTGGCGTCCCCAGCCCGGAAGGGAGACGTCTGGGCGGTCACAGACCGTCGGGGAGAGAGTGGGCGCAGCGGGCGGGAACCGCATCGGGTCAGCGCGCGGTGGAGAGACGTCCTGGGTTGGCTGGTCCCAGTTTCCGCGTCCCTACAAAGCTGAACCTCAGACCAGTGCGTGCGACTAAAGGTTTCCCCCCGTCCCCAACTCTGGTTGCACGCTGGGTTTACCTGGGGACGGTCCGAACGCTGCTTCCCCCGACCTGCCCCCAAGGGTTTGATCCAACGGGCGGAGGATCAGCGATTTTACAAGCTTCCCTGGCTTCTCCTGAGCAGCCAGGGCGCAGACCACTGCGTTATCCAGAGGGTGCAGTTGTGCCAAGGTTTGAAAGACTGTGAGAACCCCAGGACGCACGTGCTGGGCTCCCCTCTGCTCCCACTACTCTTGCTGCTTTAAAGATGATGGACTTTCAGCTTCCTTCTTGTTCTAGGACTCTGCTGTGTCCAGCAACAACGCCGTGATTCGACTGTAACTTTCACCCATTTCTCAAGTCCAGGAGAGCCTCAGGTGGTGGCCATCCTCGGAAGCTGACCTGGGGGGCTCCTTTGTCTATCTGCCTGAGTCCACACAGCTCCTTGACTCATTTCAAATTGGTCTCATTTTTCCCCCTTCTTCCTCCAATGTCTAGTACCGTTAACTGTCCACAGTTACTGATAATTTTTATATCTTTGGCAAAGGTTCAATTTTACCAACATTTTCTAGAAATGGTGTTGGAACAGTTGGACACCCATATGCCAAAAAATATGAACTTCCATCCATACTTTTCACCATTTGTAAAAATTAACTTTGAAGTGGATCATAGACCTAATTGTAAAATCTAGAACTATAAAATTTCTAGCAGAAAATCTTGACTTGGGGTTAGGCAAAAATTTCTTAAGGAGGAGTTATGTTAATACTGATGGGGAAGATGCTATATTTTGGCAAGTCAGCTTTTTAGGATATGTGAATCTTACGTGACTTCTTCCAGGTGGCAAATTCCAGTTATGGCTCCGATGATAATATAAGCGAAGAAACATTGTGAATGAGTGGCAGGTGGACTTTGGCTAAAGAATTCCACTCTGCAGTGTTTAATGCAGAAGTCTGAGAGGATGGTCTAGGGCTCTGGAGAAGGATAGAGCTAGGTTTGAGTGTTGCAGTATTTTGCCAGTCTTGTTCAAGTTTCAGTCGCTGTAAGAACACGAGAAGAAGAATAGTTTTTGTTCAGAAGGTGTCGTCATATAAGTAAAGGAGAAATTTGTTGATGAAGTAAATTTTGAAAGCAAATATGTTGCCCTTCCAGGTACTCAGTGCAGCATGATCTTTTGCTAAGGAGCATGGTTAATCTAGATCAGTTCACTGCTAAGTCAGTGTTGAGTTTCTCCTAAAAATACCACATGTGCCACTGGGCAAAACTCACTCAGACACTGAAGTATGATTGTTTATACATTTGGTTCAAATATAAAGCAGACTCACTTTTATTTTGTTTTTGGCATTTTATAACCATCACTTGATAATTAGAAATCGTGGGACCTCAAAAACCACTCAGCATGAAGTTTGGGAATTGCCTATATAGCTACATTTTATGTTTTTAATGTATAGAGTATAAAAGGTTCACTGCCTGACTTTTCTCTTTTCCATGAACTGTACAAGTACAGAGCTTAATTTTTATAAACAGCCCTCTCTGGACCAGTTACTGTGCTAGGAATCCAGCTTTTAGCTGTGTAATCGTAGAGAGGAAAAACTGAAGGGCAAAATGAAGACAAAATTGATTCAGTTCATGTAAGGGCCCCTTCTTGAATCTGTCACTGAACTAGGATCAGAAATCTGGTTTGCTGTCTCCTGGCCATCAATCCTCCCATTTTGCGTTTTTTATATGCTACTTTACTGAACATAGAGCCTTCCAATTTTACCTTCTTATCCCTAAATCATTTCAGATATGCAGGGAGAGGTCCGCTCCAGCTTCACTATAGACCATGGAAATTCCATGATGACATCTTAGGACAGCAGGTGTCTAGATGTCTCTGTTGTAACATTTTACTATGGTCAGTTAACCTGCTGGCAGAATCTTTAGCTATACTGTGAGACAAGGTTATGCAAAGTTATACAAGGTTATCGGTTACCATGTAATAAATAAAGAGCTTAATGGCTTAAAACAGTAATTGTTGATTTGGCTTACAAATCTGCAATTTGGGAAGGGCTCAGTGAAGAAAGCTTGTTTTTGCCGCGTATGGTCACAGCTGAGGCTGGTCACAGCTGAGGCGGCTAACTGGGGCTGGAGGGTTCTTGAAGATGGCTCACATGACTGAAGTTGTTACTAGCTTTTGCCTGGGAGCTTGGTTAGGAACCTCAGCTCCTCTTCTTGTAGGCCTCTCCATGGGGCTGCTTGAGCTTCCTTACAGCATGGAAGCTGGGTTCTAAGAGCACATGTTCCAAAAGACAGGACATTGAAGCCACCAGTCCATTAAGGACTGGGCTTGCAAGTTGGTGTATCATAATTTCTGTCATATGCTGTTGGGCAAGTACAGAGCCCTCTCAGATTCAAGGGCGGGAGACTAGACCCTGCTCCTTGATGGGAAATGTGTTAAGAGTCTGTGGCTATCTTTTAGTTACCATGCCCGTTTATTGTTGAGTCAGTGACGCTCTTCAGCGTTTTTATTTGGGGGTCAATAAAGATCCTCTGGCAGAATGGCAAATGGATGCTGCCTTCTAGCCACAATTTTTTAAAGACCTAGAATAAAGGTAGTCATGATCATCTTTTTGAGTAGAAGCAGGACTAGCTTTAGGGGAAAAGTTGCCATGGTGATGATATTCTCTGTCCTCCCCTGGACTGCTAGTCATATGAGAACTGAGGTTCCTGAGTAAAAACAGGCCAAAGAATCTAATCTTGTGGGATAAACGTCATAAGACCAGGAGTTGGCAAAGTTTTTCTGCAAAGGGCCAAATCGTAAATATTTTAGGCAGTGCTAGCACATGTAGTCTCTGTTGCTGCGGTATCTTACAGTTCTGTAAGTTACGGTAATGTCTGTCACAGGTTAGCAGGGCTGTATTCTCTTCTGAGGCTCTAGGGGAGAATCTGTTCCCGTGCCTTTTCCGGTTTCCAGAGGCAGCCCACATTCCTTCACTATTGGCCTCTTCACCTTCAATGTCAGCAACAAAATGTTGCTCTGACCCTGCTTCTGCTGTCTCCCTCTTGCATTTTTAAGGGCCCCATGATTACAATGGGCCAATTTAAATAATCCAGGATAATTTCCCCATGTTAAGGTCAGCTGATGAGCAACCTGAATGCTATCTGCAAATTTACTTCCCCTTTGCCATATAAACTCACATATTCAAAGGATTAGGATGTAGACATCTTTAGGGGGCCATTATTCTGCCTACCACGCCATTCTTAACTCACAGGCCATAGAAAAACAGCCTATGTGCTGTGTTTTGTCAACCTCTCAGCTATATAATACTGTACTTGATTTCTGCTGTAGTTCATTTTGTGCTGCTATAACAGAATACCAGAGACTGGCTAATTTATAAACAATAGAAATTTGTTTCTCACAGGTCTGGAGGCTGGGAAGTCCAATACTGAGGGGCTGGCATCTGGCAAGGGCTTTCTTGCTGCATCATCCCATGGCAGAAGGGTGGAAGGGCAAGAGAGCATATTTGAGAGAGAGCAATAGAGGGCCAAATTTGCTAATATAATAAACCCATTCTCAAGATAATGAGCACACTCTAGCAATGATGACGTTAATCCGTTTGTGAGGACAGAGCCCTTATGACCTAATCACCTCTTAAAGGTCTCACCTGTCAATACTCCTATACTGGGGATTAAGCTTTCAACACATGAACTTTAGGGAACACATTTAAACCATAGCAATTTCCAAATTAAGTTTATGTCATAGTTGATGTAGTGTTCACAAAGCAGTTAGATTTAGCTCCTTAGATCTTCAAATAGGAGGGAGCACATAGAACTCTTTCTATCCCCCTCATCCTGTGAGGTTGGCATATTTTCATCCATAGTAGAAGGCGTGCAAGAAGATGTGTGAATGTTATCAAAACTAATTTTCACAACATGTCAACTTGAAAAACTTTATTTTTATTTTCCTTTTCTTTAAAATTTTTTTTAGAGACGGGGTCTTGCTATGTTGCCCAGGCTGGACTAGAACTCCTGGGCTCAAACAATCCCCTTGCCTCAGTCTCCCAAGTAGCTGGGACTGTGGGCATGAGCCACCATGCCCAGCCTGTTTTTAAATTTTCATTAGGTATAATTGGCTCTTTTTTTTTTTTTTTTTTTTTTTTGAGACAGAGTTTCACTTTTGTTGCCCAGGCTGGAGTGCAATGGTGCGATCCCAGCTCACTGCAAGCTCCGCCTCCCGGGTTCAAGTGATTCTCCTGCCTCAGCCTCCCGAGTAGCTGGGATTACAGGCATGCACCACCACACCTGGCTAATTTTGTATTTTTTAGTAGAGATGGGGTTTCTCCATGTTAGGCTGGTCTAGAACTCCAGACCTCAGGTGATCAGCCCACCTTGGCCTCTCAAAGTGCTGGGATTACAGGCGTGAGCCACCGCGCCCAGCCTTAATTGGCTCTTTTAAGAAAACAATTTCATTGAGTATCTGATAGCAGGAGAAGAGAGAAGGATAATTATTCATGTTCCTTATTTGTAATTTTAAAATATTTCATTTTGGGATGAATAAATTTACAGACAATTCTGCCATAATGTGACATATGTATTCCTAAAAATTACCACGCTATGCAAAATCAGGCAATCCAAAACCACAGGGCTTATGAGAAAAATGGGGTTAGGGACATAACATTCAAAAACTTCCTCAGTGACCCATTAAAAAATCATAGGAATGTTATATAGATTGAGCATCCCTTATCAGAAATGCCTGGGACAACAAGTATTTCAGATTTTTTTTTTTTTTTTTTTTTTTTTTGCATTTTGGAATATTTCTATTGTACTTACTGGTTGGACATTCCAAATCTCCAAAAATCCAAAATCCACAATGCTCCAATGACCATTTCCTTTGAGCATGATGTCGACACTCAGAAAGTTTCGGATTTCAGAATTTCGGATTAGGGTTCCTATCAAAATGGTAAAACACTGACATGTATTACATGCTCAAAAAATACTGGCTGGGTGCAATGGCTCACGTCTGTAATCCCAGCACTTTGGGAGGCTGAGGTGGGCGGATCACTTGAGGTCAGGAGTTCAAAACCAGCCTGGCCAACATGGCAAAACCTCCCTCCACTAAAAATACAACAAATTAGCCAGGCGTGGTGGTGCATGCCTGTAATCCGAGCTACTCGGGAGGCTGAGGCAGGATAATCACTTGAACCTGGGTGGCAGAGGTCGGAGTGAGCTGAGATGTCACCACTGCCCTCCAGCCTGGGCAACAGAGTGAGACTCTGTCTTTAAAAAAAAAAAAAAAATTACATAAATATTATGACAGAGATGGAACTTTCCATTGAAAAATGCCTGAGGTTTAGGGTTCTCTGAAATGACATGAAAAGTTGTGACACCAAATGTGAATGAGTGTGGCTCATTGTCCTCGAGGTGTGTACATGTGTATGTTTGTGTATTTCTAAGTGGCTCCATTCAGCTGGGTACACTGCAGTTTTCTGCAGTCTCGGGATAAGAGGTTGTGCATAAGAAAACATGAAATTCATGCTATGCTCAAATTGTTCCAAATAATATCAATCATTGGAACAAATTTGCCTTTTCAAAACATAGCAGAGCTGACCATCTTCTTGGTTTGGACGCAGAGCTCTGGGAAGGACATGCCTGAGCACACAGCACTATTTTCTGTTTCTTCCCACCAAAGGAATATGCCAGGGATGAGCTGGCTCTCCCTCTCATGTTGGACATCCAGAATTCTGTACCTGGAAATACAGAAACTTCCAGACATGCAATTTTCAAAAACTTAGCTGCTATTTACTCTTTCTCCAGAAGCTACGCAAGGATGCCAACCAGCAAAACAAGGAAGTATACCAAGAAAGAGGATACAGAAAATGGCAAATGGAGTGCAGGAGAGGGGGCAGGGAATCCCCGGATGGCAGCTGTGCACAGGCAGAGAGATAACCCAGGCCTGCCACCCCTGGGAGGGATGCCTGCAAGACGATGAAATGCAGATGGGACTTGAGGCCTCTGATCTTGGGAGATTTTGATTGTTAGTGAAGGGTTTAGGGTGGAATCTGGATTCAGGATTCAGAAAACTTAGCAGATAAAAAGGTAAGAGAATGACCTCCAGGGAAAATAAAAAGAAAAGATGTGCATAAAAAGAAAATACAAGCATTCGTTTAAGTTAATTGCATGGCAGAGCTCTGAGCAGCATTTGCGCAGTTAAAAACGTACAGTCAATCTTTAATGTGAATATTGATCTATATTGGGATGATGGCGAGATGGGAAGTTTACATTGCAAGTGATGGAACTGAATGGAAATGGAGTTCAGTCCTCATCTTCCATAGTGAGAAGTCAATACACTTTGCCTAAAATGAAAAATCAAGACACAGCAATACACACATAGTAGCTAGACTTGAAGGAAAGTATCCAAAAACCCTATCAAGAGTTGAAATTGGTGGCCTCTGGGCACTTTCTCTGTTATACGTCTTACAGAATGGTTTGAATTTTTTAAGCAATATGACTGTATAACTTTAATAAAAAACTAAAACTAAATGTAGTATTTTGCAGAAAAGAGTTAACATTAGCAGGCCTGAGACTTAGGCCTGTTCGCAAGGTTGGCCCTTGGCTGGCCTCTGGGAGCTTACATTTTGCAAGGGTACCCACCATTTCCCAGTAAGGATGGCTCACTGCATAAACTCTTAAACAATTGATAAACAATGTGGTTCATGCTGAATGCCTGTGAGTCTGACATTTTGGTACGTGCTAGGCAGAGGGTGCTTATATGACCAGCCCACAATACAAACCCTGGGACTTGAGTCTCTAAGCAGCTTCCCTGGTAGAGAGCCCTTCACACGTGTTGTCACAGCTCACTACTGGGGCATTAAGCTCTACCTCTGACTCCCCTCAGGGAGGAGTCTTGGAAGCTTGCACCCTGTTTCCCCCAACTTCACCCCATGCACCTTTTTCCCTTTGCTGAGTTTGCTCTGTGTCCTTTCTCTGCAATAAATTACAGCCATGAGTGCAACTATTAGGCTGAGTCCTATAAGTCATCCTGGTGATCATCAAACCTAGGGGTGGTCTCAGGGACGCCCAAGATGCAAATATGCTTCGATATTAACCGATGGCAGTTTTCTTTTCCTAGCGTGGAGATTGGTGAAAGCGTGAGAGGGGAAGATGTCTACATCATCCAGAGCGGCTGCGGGGAAATTAACGACAACCTGATGGAACTCCTCATCATGATCAATGCCTGCAAGATTGCGTCATCATCCAGAGTAACTGCCGTGATCCCGTGTTTCCCATACGCCCGACAAGATAAAAAGGACAAGGTAGGAGAGGTGTGTGCCCTAGAAACCTGCTGTGGGCCACTGTCAATGTTGTTTTTCCTCATTTATCCCCTTGATTAGAATTATCTGGAAAATGTTGGCTTTTTCCTTTGATGATCAAGTAAATATGCTTTCTTATTTTGTTTGTTGAAGATTTGGCTTTGAACCTACCCTGACATTAATATTCAAAGAAACAGGTAATGCATATTTTTGCAGGTATTAAAATACCATTATTGTCCTTGTTATAATGAAATTATTGTATGTCTTTGTGGTGGTGGATAGAACTAAATACACACACATACATGCACAAGAGTACAAGTCAAACTAGAGCACATCTGAATCAGATCACTGGATTGTATCAATTTCAGGGTCCTGGCTGTGATACTGTGTTATAGTTTCACAAGACGTTACCACAGGGAACTAGGTAAAAGGTTCACAGGATCTCTGCGTTGTTTCATACAACTGCATGTCTATCTACAATTCCCCCGAAATAAAAAGTTTAATTAAAAAAAAAACCCATGATCTCTTTTTAACCTTTTAAAAAGAACAGAAATAGTATCATTGAATTATGTTTTTCACAACATTAGCATCAGAGGAGGCTCTGTGAGTCTTTAGAAAAAAATTGAAGAAAATGTGGTTGGTCTTTGCCTTTCAGAGCAACAGAGAAATCGGAGGTTGAGAAGAACTTTGAAGGAGATTGTATTAGTTTTCTAAGCTGTCATAAGAAATTACATAAACCGCGTGGCTTAAAAGAGCAGAAATTTTTCCCTCACAGTTTCGGAGGCCCAGAAGTGTGAAATCAAGGAATGGGCAGGGGCACGCTCCCTCTGAAGGCTGTAAGGGAGGCTGCTTCCTCGCTTCTTCCAACTTCTGGTGTCTCCTTGCATTCCTTGGCTGTGGCTACATCACTCTGGTCCCTGCCTCTCTCTTCACCTGGCCTCTTCCCTGTGTCTCTTCTCTGTTTCTTATAAGGACACTGTCATTGGATTTCAGGCCTAACCTAATCCAGAATGAACTCAACTTAATCTTTACCTTGGTTATATTTGCAAAGACCCTATTTCCAAAATGAGGTCACATGCTGAAGTTGTGGGTGGACATGAGTTTTGGGGGGATATTGTTTGACCTACTACAGTGGTCAACTCCCAGCTGTTGTGTGTTCCGTATCTTATGGATAGATAGATGTTCAGCCAGGCTCAGCGAGAATCCTGCCAGTTTTCAAGACACACTGCTGTTCTGTGATTTGGTAACTCAGTGCAAGAAAGGTTTTCCCCAATATGCTGCTTTTTATCTCCATAATTCATTTCTGAAACAACACAGATTTCTGAAGCAGCACACAAGATCCCCTCATATTTGAAAAAAACCCTTTATAAATTTGAATTCATATACCAAAGTCCCCCTGAATTTTAATCCCAGTCTCCTCAAGACATGGTTTCCATTCCCTGTCTTGAAGATGGCCAGTCAGTTAATTTCTCACCTAAAATCTAATTAGAAGGGTCCACATACTTTATCTGTAAATGGCTATATGGTCTGTGTTGCAACTATTCAACTCTGGTTGTACTTCAAAAAGAGCAATAGACAATATGTAAATGAATGGGTATGGCTGTGTTCCAATAAAACTTTATTTATGGACACTGAAATGTGAATTTCATATTATTTTCACATGCCTTGAAATACTATTTTGAATTTTTTTCAACCATTTAAACATGTGAAAGCCATTATTAGCTCACAAGCAGTACCAAAACAAGTGGCTGGTGGCTGGTGGCTAGCTGGATTTGGCCTATAGGCTACAGTTTGCCAACCCCTGTATTAGACCATTGATAGATTGCGTGCGCACGTGTGTGTGTGTGTGTGTGTGTGTGTGTGTGTATGTGTGTGTGTGTTTATGATCTAAACTTGACCTTGGGCAGCCAAAACCTTAGGTCACATACACTGCTGTGAAGCTGTATCCTCCCACTAGCTATTTATACAGACAGCTCCTTTTATTTTAAACTTGATTTAAACTGTATTTTTAGCTGTTAAATTTCAATTTTCTAATTTTGTCCCATTGGTATAATCTGTTGTCTTAGCTATTCTTCCCATCTGTGTGTTTCCACAGGATTGTTTAGCATCTTTCTCCTTGTCATATCACATCCATGTCATAGAAGAGCTAATTTTCTGCCATTATTTCTTCCTTCCTTGTGGTTTAGTAAATTCTCACATTGTAGCTGGTTTTTTGTTGTTTGTTTGTTTGTTTGTTTTTGAGACGGAGTCTCACTCTGTCACCCAGGCTGAAGTGCAGTGGCACGATCTCAGCTCACTGCAACCTCCGCCTCCCAGGCTCAAGCAATCCTCCTACCTCAGCCTCCCGAGTAGCTGGGACTACAGGTGTGCACCACCACGCCTGGCTAATTTTTGTATTTTTGGTAGAGACGAGGTTTCACCATGCTGGCCAGGCTGGTCTCGAACTCCTGACCTCAAGTGATCTGCCCGCCTTGGCCTCCCAAAGTGCTGGGATTACAGGCATGAGCTACCGCACCTGGCCTGTAGCTGTATTTTTAATCAAGCTCTTTCACTCACAATAGATTTTATATTTTGTATTTGGCCCTAAGATATTGAATATATTGTAACTTCTTTAGAAAATTACTCCTTTTATCATTGCACATGCCCTCCTCCACTATTACCCGATTTGTAACCCCATTTTGTTCATTAAGTGATAAAATATCAGAAGCTCTACATTTTTGTTAGCACATATCTGATTTGCGGTGACCTCTTTTTACAAAGTTGTATTTTCAAAATGTTTTCTTATTTGAGTTGGAGAAACTAGCACTGTTTTTTCCCAATCCTTCTATTGTAGGAGGTGTGATGCAGTCCAGCCTCCATCCCCTAGTTGCCAGTAGTGCTCCCAGCCACCACTAACAAGAGCCCTATGGATTTCTGGAACTCCAGTGGCTATAACTTGTGTTTTGTTTTGTTTTGTTTTGTTTTGTTTTGTTTGAGATGGAGTTTCGCTCTTGTTGCCCAAGCTGGAGTGCAGTGGTGCCGTCTCAGCTCACTGCAACCTCTGCCTCCCAGGTTTAAGGATTCTCCTGCCTCAGCCTCTCAAGTAGCTGGGAAGCATGCGCCACGACGCCTGGCTAATTTTTTGTATTTTTAGTAGAGACAGGGTTTCACCGTGTGGGCCAGGCTGGTCTCGAACTCCTGGCCTCAAGTGATCTGCCCGCCTCAGCCTCCCAAAGTACTGGGATTACAGGCATGAGCCATCGCGCCCAGCCGGCTTTAACTGTTTTGTGGAACTGTGTTGTCTAACTAGCTAGTAGCAGCTTTCCTGATGTTAGACAGATGTGTTTTCCATTTTGACCCATTGTGAAAACATATTTCTTTTCTTTCTTCTACCCTTTCTTTAATCACTTTGCTGTAAGTGTGTTTCTTGGTAATAACATTGTAGCTGCTTTTAATTTTTTATCCCAGTCAGACAATTCCATGACTTTCTGAGCTTAACTGCTGATAGAAGAGAGGTCTTTCATCATCAACCACGCAGAGGCAGGGCGGTTGGTAACATTTGAGAGACAGTGTGTGTAGTGGCTTAGGAAGTCATGTGGTTTCTCGTTAGAGAACACAGCTAGGAAAGAAGGAATCACGGTGGGGTGTATTCGTTTCCTAGCACTGTTATAACAAATTACCACAAACTGGGTGACTTAAAACAACAGAAATATGTTCTCTTAAGTGCTAGAGGCCAGAAGTCCAACATCAAGGTGTTGGCAGAGGAATATTCCTTTTGGAGGCTGCAGGGGAGGCTCCTCCTTCCTTGCCTCTTCTAGCTCCTGGTGACTGCCAGCCTTGAGGCCACATCACTCTAATCTCTGCTGGAATCTTCGCATGGCCTCCTCTTTGTCTCCATCAGATCTCTCGCTCACTCTCTCATTTTTAATTTTCTTTTTAGAGACAGGGTCTCGCTTCGTCACCCAGGCTGAAGTGCGGTGGCACAATCTTAGCTCACTGCAGCCTCAAACTTCTGGGCTCAAGTGATCCTCCCACCTCAGCCTCCCAGGTAGCTGGGACTACAGGTGCACACCACCACGCCTGGCTAATATTTTTTGCTTTTTGTAGAGGCAGTGTCTCACTATGTTGCCCAGGCTGGTCTTGAATAGGAATTCTCCTGGGCTCAAGAGATCCTCCTGCCTTGGCCTTCCAAAGTGTTAGGATTAAAAGCATTACCACCACACCTGGCATCTCTCTTTAAAGGATACATGAGGTAGCATCTAGTGTTCACCTGAATAATCCAGGATAATCTCCCCATCTCAGGATCCTCAATGTCATCACATCTGCAGAAACCTTTCCAAATAAGGTAACATTTACAGGTTCCAAGGATTGGGCTCTGATATTTTTGGGGCCACCATTCAGCTCACTTCAGGAGGCCTTAAAGGAAGTCACTGATGTGTTAAGAGACGAATATTTTAAGGACACTTTGAGCTTTGAGATAGTACATATCATTTATCATCTAGGCCAGGATGCTTTCAAGATTGAAAGGGAGCTCTATGGATAACTGTGTTGGGAAACAGGTGTCTGCCTAGACTGTCCTGGGCAAGTGACATAGGGCCACCCTCTCTATAGCCTCTGGAGGTGGCCAAGACACATAAGCTGTTCTGACACCATTATTTCTGACATGTCTGTGTAGTCAGTGTGACTCATTATAGTGAGGAGACAATTTTGTTCTTTCCCCAAACTTCTGAAAGGGGAATTCTTAATTCTTAATTTTATCTAGTATTTGAGGTGTGCCTTTGCTTTATTTTTTTAAGACAGAGTCTCGCTCTGTCACCCAGGCTGGAGTACAGTGGCACAATCTTGGCTCACTGCAACCTCTGCCTCCGGGGTTCAAGCAATTCTCCTGCCTCAGCCTCCCAAGTAGCTAGGATTATAGGTTTGCGCCACCACACCTGGCTAATTTTAGTATTTTTAGTAGAGACAGGGTTTTGCTATGTTGGCCAGGCTGGTCTCGAACTCCTGACTTCAAATGATCTGCTCACCTCGGCCTCCCAAAGTGCTGGGATTACAGGTGTGAACCACCGCGCCTGGCCCACCTTTGCATTTTTTAAATGGCTGATAATACTTTTCCTAACTATTCCTTCCTTACCTTGGATCACGTGGCTTGGCTTTGTACTGAGAAACTGTACTTTGGTGAGGGGAACTGGGATTTAGTAAGCACCTAAGAGAGATGGCCAGAGCCTGTCAGCATACTTCATCTCTTAGAATCTCTTAGACAAGTGCTACTGTTTACCAGTACAGGTGAATGATGAGGAGACCAAGCATGATTGGGGTGGGGGGTGAGGGTTAGGGGAAATGCACTTCTACCTTTTTGCTTCATTTAGGAAGGTATAAAGCCATGTGGCGTTAGATTGTGATGAGAAGCTGTGACCTACACTTGATCTCTCATCCCAGAAAGAAAATGCTCCTGCACAGCCGCAGGAGGAGCTCTGGGCAGCCCTCCAAGACTTTCTGTTGTGCTGTTTCCTTCCCTTAGGGCTGTATTACCTATGACATCTAATGACAATGAAATTCTGTGTAATTGCTCTTCTTGGAATGCCTTGCAAAGAAGCCCAGAAAAAAAAAATCTGGAAGCTTTTAACCAGATTCAAAGCTGGTTTTGTTTTTTTCTGTAAACCTTGCTGCTGCTTTTTAAGCAAGCCCTGCACATATGTAACATTTTATTTGGGGTTTTCTTTGTATGTACAAGACACCAGGGACAGATTCTGATGGTGAAGGAATGGTTTCATAAATTAGGACACATCCATACAATGTAATGTTAACATAGAAAAATAATGATGATGTAATATTAATTGTAAAAGACATGGTGCCAAGTGGTCTGAGCTCTGGCACTGAGAATCAAGTAGGCTCAGATTTGAATTCCAGCCCATTATTTACTCAGTTTATCCTTTGTAAAAGTTACTTAAACTGTCTGTATCTTTAGTTTCCTTATCTGTAAATTAAGTACGACACTAGCTACTATTTATGAAGTACCTACCATATTATGATACATGAGTGGGCAAACTTTTTCTGAAAAGAGCTGGATGTCAAACATTTTGGGCTTTGTGGGCCGTTGGGTATCTATTGCAGCAGCTCCACTCTGCCATTTTAGTGTGAAAGCAGCCATTAGTCAATGTGTACATGAAGGGGTGCGGCTGTGTTCCAGTAAAACTTTATGTGCACTGAAATATGAACCTCATATAATCTTCAGATGTCACAAAATATTGTTCTTCTTTTGATTGTTTTTCAACCGTTTAAAGACGTAAAAACCATTGTTAACTCACAGGTTATGCAAAAACAGGCTGTGGGCTAAGTTTGGCCCATGGATTCTAATTTGCCGGTCCCTGCTATAGAAGACACTCAATAACTGCTGGTTCCCTTCCCTGGTAAAAACAGTAGGTTGGGCCGGGCATGGTGGCTCACACATGTAATCCCAGCACTTTGGGAGGCCAAGGCGGGCGGATCACCTGAGGTCAGGAGTTCGAGAAGAGCCTGGCCAACATGGTGAAACCCCATCTCTACTAAAAATACAAAAATTAGCCAGGCCTGGTGGCGTGTGCCTGTAATCCCAGCTACTCAGGGGGCTGGGGCAGGAGAATTGCTTGAACCCAGGAGGCAGAGGTTGTAGTGCAGTGAGCTGAGATCTCACCACTGCACTCCAGCCTGGGTGACAGAGCGGGACTCCGTCTCAAAAGGAAAAAAAAAAAAAAAGGTAGATTGTGGGCAAGACTGGGAATAATTACTTCTGAGGCGGGTAAAGGACTTGTAGTTTGGGGATTTCTTTTTTCTTTTTTCAAAATCATTTTCAAGATCATGTTCTGTTTTCAATAAGATTTTCTTTTTTTCCTTTTTTGTAGCAGAGAAATTGAGAACAGTTTTTCCTGATGTGAATTTCTACAGTCTTGTAATTTTTTTAAAAGCCTGTCAATTTTACACTTTTCAAAAGGTGATATTTGATGCCTTGAATAACATCTGGAATAGCCTGGGACTCTGTCATGATTGGGCTGACTTGCAAAACATTTGACTTTTATGCGTTTTTCACTAAGGGAGCTGAATGTTTTATTTTTGGCTACTGTACCTTGACACTACCTTTGTTTCAGTGCTGTACTTACTTTTCTTTGTATAGGCTAGCAAGTCAGTTAACTAGTAAATCATTTTTCCTGCAAGATTCAGTTGGGTATGAGCCAAACTCTGAGACACAGAACAGAAACCAAATTTGTAAACAAGGTGTGAAGAAGAAAATCAGAAAGCGTGAATTTAGGAATTACCCTGTGGTTTGGATCCTAGAAGTTAAGAAACACTGGATGCCACTGAGGAGAGATGAGAAGGGAGGATTCTTTTTGCTGGCATCTTAGTCTGTGCTACTGTAACAAAATACCACACACTGGGTAATTTATAAAGAACAGAAATATTCTTTGGTGCTGGGCACGGTGGCTCACGCCTGTAATTCCAGCACTTTGGGAGGCTGAGGTGGGCGGATCACCTGAGGTCGGGAGTTCGAGACCAGTCTGACCAACATGGAGAAACCCCTTCTCTACTAAAAATACAAAATTAGCCGGTTGTGGTGGCGCATGCCTGTAATCCCAGCCACTCGGGAGGTGGAGGTTGCGGTGAGCCGAGATCACACCATTGCACTCCAGCCAGGGCAACAAGAGCGAAACTCCATCTCAAAAAAAAAGAAATATTCTTTGAACGTGTGTCCTGGGAGGGGGGAAAAAAAGGACAAAAATATATTTTCTCATAGTCCTGGAGACTGGAAGACCAAGACCAAGCACTAGCATTTGGTGTCTGGTACGGGCTGCGTCCTCCAGAGGGAAGAATGCTGTGTCCTTACATGATATAAGACAGAAGGGCAAGTTTGCAAAATGCTGCCTGAAGCCTCCTTTAGAAGGACCTTAATCCCGCTCTCAAGGGAGCAGCCCTCATGGCCTAATCACCTTTTAAAGGCCCCACTTCTTAATCCTATCACATTGGCAACACCTGAATTTTGGAGGTGACCTTTCAACCCGTAGTAACTGATTCGACAATTGTAGGAAAAGCACAAAATTGATTAGTATTGCAAATCAGGTTCTATTACAAAGCAGTTGTAGCAACTGATTTGCTCTTTTTATTATCCTGGAACTTTGTTACACTAAATAATTCTCACAATTAGTGAGGCTAATGAGTAAGCCTTGGACATTTAGTGTTAATAGAGATTCTGTTAGTAAATATTTATTGAAGAACTACTGAATGCAGAGTGTGGAGCTGTGTTCTGCTGCGAAAATTCGATTTTATCCCAAAGGCAACATGGAATATAGTACGGGGGAGTTAAATGATGAAAACATGAGTTATGATCTATAATTAGTGGAGAAGATTGAAAAAATAAAAAAACAAGAAAAATATATTTTCCTATAATCTCACATTCCAGAAACATCTGTTAACTTTTTAGAGTGTTTTCCTCTCATTCTTTTCTTTCTGTTTTGAACATACATGCATACCTTTTTTTTTTTTTTTTTTTTGAGATGGAGTCTCGCTCTGTCGCCCAGGCTGGAGTGCAGTAGTGCCATCTCGGCTCACTGCAACCTCTGTCTCCAGGGTTCAAGCAATTCTCCTGCCTCAGCCTCCTAAGTAGTTGGGACTACAGGCGCCCGCCACCACGCCTGGCTAATTTTTTGTGTTTTTAGTAGAGACAGCGTTTCACCATGTTAGCCAGGATGGTCTGGATCTTCTGATCTCGTGATCCGCCCACCTCGGCCTCCCAAAGTGCTGAGATTACAGGCGTGAGCCACCGCGCCCCATATATACCTATTTTTGATAAAATATATATTTCTTTTTAAAAAGTGGTATATTAGGGAAAACACAAATAATCTGTTAACATTTTCAATGTAATTCCTTCCTGCATGTGTTTTTACATGAATATACTGTGTGTGTGTGTGTGTGTGTGTGTGTAACAAGGATCATTTGTTACTATTTTGAATGAAATCTTTTTTTAAGCTTTTATTTTCTTTTTTGTGGCTGATATATAGAAATACTGTTGTTTACAACAAAATGCTGAACGCCACCTAGGTCTAATCATGTGTCTATATAATTTCTTGGATTTCTTTGATGTGGGCAGTTGTATTGTCCATAATTTATGATGTGGAAACCAAAGCTATAGAAAAGTTAGGTAATTTTACAAAGAACATAATATCAGTAAATGACACTAAGTATGAAATTAAATAGTAACTATTATCAATCCCCTTACAGTATTCATTCTTTGACCTTGTTTTTTTCCATTTGTAATAGTGTTAGCGTCCAACTGTCAGCTCATGTCCAAATGTCGGCTCATGAATTCCTCTTTAATAGCTGGACTTCTTTTAGCCTCTGGCTGTGTGAGGGTCTCTTGACCTCAGTGATCTCACATGTGCCACTCTGTCCTTCTAGAACACTATTCTCCTCGCCTTTGCTAAACTTGCCTTAAAAGTGATTTCCTCAGAGGGACCGCTAATAATGATCTTGTTTAAACTTTATGCCCTTCCTACTACTATCATCTCTCTCTCTCGGTACCTTTTATTTCTACACACTTACCATGATTTCAGTTACACAGATTGTGACATTACATGTACATATGTTTAACTGTTTGCTTCTTTCATATTTGTTCTCTATACCCAGCGTCAAGCACTTAGTTTTGCAGTAGTATATGTAAATAGTAAATATTTGCTGAATAAGATGGAATGAATATATCTTTTGCTGTCACAACATGTATAATTTTCTTTTTGATGCTTCGTTGATTGCATCTATGATTTATCCTTCTCATGTACGTCTTAGTGGGAGGAATCTAACAGTATCCATCTTTTCCTGTTATAAAATTAATGTTCTTACTTGTAGAGTCGTGCCCCAATTTCTGCAAAACTTGTGGCCAATATGCTGTCGGTGGCTGGGGCGGATCACATCATCACCATGGACCTGCATGCTTCTCAGATACAGGTATCCGTGTTTTCCTTCTGCAAATGGTTAAATCAAGTCTGTTAAATTAAATAATCTTAGGTAACATTACTTGTGTTTGAGTTTATATATGGCTACTCTCTTGGATTTTTGTCTTTACTAAACTTGAAAATATAATTTGATATTAGTACTTCCAGTCTCTATCACCACCTTGCCCCCCAGTCAATTTTGGAGGAGTGGGGATGGCTTTTTGGTAGTAAGCTCTATATAGTTCCATCTCAGCTTATGGAAAATAATTAGAACGGCAGTCATAATGTACACTTTTTAACTTCTTCATAACTTATTTTCTTTGTCTCTAAAACAGGCCAAATTATACTGTGCCACTTTGTGTTATATAATGAACGTGAAGTATTTGATTTATAATAACTACTTAAGAGACAACAAACCTTTTCCCTCACCGTCCTGCATAGCCATTCTATTCCTCAGAATATAGGCCATCATAAGACAATGGAATATGTCCCAAGAGACAGATTGGACTGAAATATGCCCCTATAACATATCTGTCTTTTGATTTAATTCTGTTTAAAATTAACAAAAGGGAGTCTGTTATAAAAGCTTCTTTTGAACAAAAAATGCAAATGTTATTTAATGAAAGCGATTATCGTTTAAAAAAACAAAAGAAAACAAAACAAAACAAAACCCTGCAACATGACACTCACTTCTCCCTTTAGGGATTCTTTGATATTCCTGTGGATAATTTGTATGCGGAGCCCGCAGTCCTGCAGTGGATTCGGGAAAACATTGCCGAGTGGAAGAACTGTATCATTGTTTCACCTGACGCAGGGGGAGCCAAAAGGTATCATGCAGGCTACACCTTGCAGATTTCTCCATCTGCTGATTGGTTTTTCCTTTTCCGATGTATTAGATAAGGAAGCATGCTGTAAATTACTTAAAGCTTTATTTTGCTAATGAGCAAGTAAGTAGACCGCAGGCTTCACTTCCAGAGCAGAAACCCATCATCTTTGTTAATATTTCGTCATTCAGGAAAGAAGAAAATACAGAGACACACATACACAATAGGTATATATTGGTTTATTTGTTTTCAGCAAAGGGTAGATGTGTTTGAGGTTTTTTTAAGTTATCGTTTTCTGATTATAAAAGTAATGAGCCTAATTGGAAAATAAGTCTTTTAATTAACAGCACTTGGAAATGGTAGCCAAAATAGAACAATTTTTTTTTAAAAGAAATCTCTGTACATAGAATACCAAGAAGGAAATATCTGAGACCAAGAAATAAAGCAGAGGCGGAAAGCCATGTCCAGGTGGCTTGGGGGATGGGCATCAGATCCAGCAAGAGCCTGGTGGCTTGGGTTTTAATACTCACCTGGAAACCCCCATAAAGAAGGGAGTTAAAGCCAGGCACGGTGATGTATGCCTGTAATCCTAGCACCTTGGGAAGCCGAGGCGGGAGAATCACTTGAGCCCAGGTGCTCCAGGCTGCAGAGAGCTATGATCACACCACTGCACTCCAGCCTGGGTAACAGAGTGAGACCCTGACTCTAAAAAAAAAAAAAAGAAGAAGAAGAAGAAGAGAAGAGGGCTGAAGGCCAGATTTCTAGCCAAAAGCCAGGGGGAAAGCCCATCTTTACCTCGGCCTTTGGTTTAGGGGAGGAAATAGTCACCTATGAGAAGTCAAACCACGAGCCTGTGCCACATTCAGATGTGGAGTGGAATGCACACGAAAATGTGCTCCAGGCTGCAGAGCCCCTGCAGAGGGAGAATTTCACAATCCTAGCTGCTCGGTGAGTGCTCCCTGCTCAACCTGACCCGATGCCTGATCCAAAGTTAGAAAACCAAGAGAACACAGTCCACGCAGGCCCAGCATGTGCAGACAACAGGGCAGCAGGCAGCCAATACTTGGGGATAAGATAATAATTACTGGACTATCAAATAAGTAAGTTTAAAAGGAAACTGAGGTGAAGGAGAGTTAACAACAACCTGGTCGTAACAGTACGGCAGTGATGAGGCACCCAGTGGTGTGAGAACGTGGTACTAAGTAGCACCTCTGAAGGGCTTCACAGAGATACTCGAGGCGTTAACAAGCAATCAGGGTACAGGGTGTTCAGAATCAAGGATGAGCACAATAAGAGAATGCTGCAAGCTGAGGCTTGGTGACCCAATGACCTTGTAGAGCTTTGCAGATGCTATCTGGGAAGAAAAAAAGCTGGGAAGGGAGTTTTATTGTGTAGGTAGAGACCTCCATAAGGGAGAAGTAGGAGAGACTTCTACCCCCCAGTCCAGTGAGGAAGCAAGGAAGCTCTAAATGTGCACTAATAGAGGAGTGATGAGAGTGACAAGTGATCAGCCTTTGGAATGTCTGACATCAAAAGCCTGTCCCTCATTTGGCACCCTCATCTGCCTGCAGCCCAGCTGAGGACCTAGGATCTAACACAAAAGCTTAGAAGTAGCCCAGAAAGTTGTCTTAACACTCTTGCAGGGAAACACAGGCCCTGATTCTTAGAAGAGCCTTGTTCATTCTGCTCAAAGCTGCCTTCCAACGGCTGCTGGGGTTCCCAGCACAGAAGAGAAGGAACGGACCATGCAGCTGGAGATCGGCCTCTGCCAGCAGCAGGAAGTGGCTGTGGCCAGGGAGGAGACACAAATATATAAAAGACGGGAGCAGAAAGTTAACTTGCAAAGACCCTAGGTGGGCAGTCACGGGGTGGAGGGCAGCGCTGTGTCACGTAGCCTATTACTGTACGGTGTGTAATGTTCACAAAAATGCCCTTGGCCAAGAATCAAGGTTGAATGACGCTGAGAGTCCTCTGCAAAAGATTGTGAGCAACATTTTGGAGTCATATCTACTAGAAATGCTTGCAGTTGACTTGGAAACTTCTGCAAGTCACATGGAATCTGCATTCAAATGAGGCAAATGCACTGGCCCAGTGGAAGGTTAGAGGCAAAGAATCCAGCCAAAGGGGTACAGGAGCGAGCGTCAGATGTAACTGGGTTATAATAACAGCTTTGTTACAATGTAATTCAAATACGTACAATTGGCCGGGTGTGGTGACTCACACTTGTAACCCCAGCACTTTGGGAGGCCAAGGCAGGTGGATCGCTTGAGGTCAGGAGTTCGAGACCAACCTGGCCAACAGGGTGAAACCCCGTCTCTGCTGAAAATACAAAAATTAGCTGGGCTTGGTGGTGCACGCCTGTAATTCCAGCTATTCAGGAAGCTGAGGCAGGAGAATCACTTGAACCTGGGAGGTGGAGGTTGCAGTGAGCCGAGATCACGCCACTGCACTCCAGCGTGGGTGACAGGGCGAGAGTCCGTCTCAAAAAAGAAAAAGAAAATACCAAAAAACTCCAAATACGTACAGTTTACCCATTTAAAGTGTACAGTTCAGCAGTGTTTTGCATATTCAGAGATTTGTGCAACCATCACTATCTAATTCCAGAGCATTTTTATCACCCCAAAAAGAAACCCTGTACCCATTAGCAGTCACTCCCCATTTACTTCCCCCCACCTTATCCCTGGCAGCCAGGAATCTACTTTCTATCTTTATGGGGTTATCTTTTGGAGACTTTGTATATCAATTGGTAGTATAGAACATGGCCTTTGTGTCTGGCAGATACCTTTGTAAACCAGAAAATGTTATTTTGGCAGCTACTCAGCCCAAAGAATAGTAGATTCCACAAATTTGTATGACCATCTTTCTTTCCTCCCCCAACCTTGTTTTTATATACATAGTCTAAGAATATCATACATGCTCTTAGCAGAAATTCAGACAGTACAAAAGTGTCCCATCCCTGTTCTTTAAATGCCACCGTTATTTCCAGTGTCAGAATTGTGTTATTTAAGCGTATATCTGCCTATTTATTTCACGCAAATGGCAATGCGATGTACACAGTTCTTCACTGTGCTTTTCTGAAAAACTCACTTGCTGTATCTTAACAATGATTCCATAGTCGTGTTGTGCAGCTGTGCAATATTCCCTTGTGTGCATGTACCACAGCTCCTGTGACCAGTCAGGCCCCCTCTTCCCCATTTGTAGGTGCCGTTGTTTGCACTCTTAAATGCAGTTGTGAAGCAATATCGTTGCTTTGACATTTTGTACACGTGTGCTAGTAGGATACGTTCCTAGAAGTGGAATTGCCGAGTCAAAAGGCATGAGCCATTTTAGGTTTGATGGGCAGTGCCAAAATATGGTCTTTTCCAAAAAATATACCAGTTGACATTCCATCATGTATGGATGCCAGTGACTTTCTACACAGCCTTGCTCACACAGTGGGTTATCAGGCAGTTTACTTCCAGATCAGGTAGGTGATCTATGGCATCCTCTTCCTGTGAGCTCTGGTTGCTGTGGGTGAGGGTAGTGCCCTCACCAGGGTATGTTGATTTTCCATGAGATGGGTCTCTATTCAAATCTTTTGCCTATTGTTCTCTTGGCTGGGACGTTTCTTGTGGATTGTCTACAGTTTTGCATAGACGAGATCACAGCTGTTTCTCATGTGTGTTGCAAATATTTCTCCAAGTTTTTTCATTTCTTCTCCTATTTTGTATTTTTATTCTCTGCAGGACTTTAAAAACCTTCTTACGTAGTCAGGTTTATTTTTTCTTCACATTATGGCTTCTGAGTTTATGTAGGAGTCATCCTTCTCTTAAAATTTGTCTTCTCCCATGATTCTGTATATTTTTTTCTTTTTTAATGTCCCAAGTTTACTTCCATCTGAAATTTATTTTGGAATAAAGAATGAAATAAGAATCCAGCCCCCCCACCCCCGACTCTACTGTCTAGTTTTTCCAAAACTATTTATTAAATAATCCACCTCTATTGATTTGAAATGGCATCTTTCATCATATACAGAGTTCCCCATTTCAAATAGATAGCTATTTGCCAACTCCTACTTTTAAAAAAATGCAGAATAAAGTAAACAGAATAAATGGCTGGGGTTGAGATGCTGTTTTGTTTTGTTGAGACCTCCTTTCAAGCAGTCTGCACTCAATCACCCCTGCTCCCTCTGCCAGGAAAATCAAGCTTTTTAGGGAAGTACATTTCAGAATTTTTGTCACCTCCTTTCTCTTTTCCAAGTGTTTCTGCTACACATTATTGTCATCCTCATATTCTAGCCCCCAACTGACAGTCTCCTCAGAACAGCCTTGCGGGTAATACATGACATATGCAGTTGACATTATCTGTGACTTCTTTGCTTGATGCAAAAGGTCATAGTTAGCAAAATAAAATACTGTAAATTTCTGTCTGACCAATTGGAGCTTGTTGCTTTAGAAAAAGCTTTGAAGCTTGACTCGTTCCGGGTAAAACTGAATGTTGCCACAGGAGGTCACTCTTGGGTAGGCTTTGTAGCTTGGTTGGGTTGACCACGGAAAGAAAATTAAACCTAAGAAACCTACCTACCACTGCTGAGATAGCAAGTGTCAACCTAAAAGTGGTATGGGAAGAGGGTAAAACTAGATAACTCAGATTTAACTTTTTTTCTGATTACATAATCTTTGAAGATGCTCTATAGGAAATTTGGAAAGTAGAAAGAAGAAAATCTTAACACTTTATATCTCAACCAGTGATGCCACTATGAATAATTTGGTGTACTATGTATCTGTCTCTCCTGGGGGAGCTGATATGGCACATGCACCCACAGAGAAAAGATTGTAAATATGTGCCCAGAAGAAATCCAAAACTGTATGTATATAATTTTCGTTCTGCCTTTTTCTGCCTAAGATTTCAGTGTGGTATGTTGTGTCAACATCATTTGTTAGGAGTATGTATTAGGTCTCCATGATATACAAGGAAAAGAAGAGTTACCTATAGCTTTTTCAGGAAATCATAGCGTTCTAACAACCCAGGAAGCTGTTTGCAGGGGTATTTTCTCTTATCTTCTTCTTCTGACATTACCATTGGATACCTTTTAGTGGCTAGGGCTCCCCACTCAAGTGAGATGTCTGTGTCCCCCACTGCCAAGAACCACAGAGCTCACCTTCTTTCCCAGTCCCACTTCCATGCCTACCCTGCTGTCTGCTTGTGAGCAGGCTCGTGAGAACAGGCGCCACCTGGCAGAGAGATGAAAACAGGTTCTGCTTTAACTTCTCCGGTATAGAACTTCCACCACAAAGGGCAGTGCTTCCCAGTGCTGGGCTGTGGATTGGTATCCTGTCATGCCCAAATCTGCCTAGTCGTTACCAAATAAGCAGACGGTAATGTATGTGGACATTTTGTGCGAGGTGTTCATGTGTCTTGGGAAAACCTGTCTCATGTTCCCAGAAAGTAGCTTTCCTTACCTGGAGTTTGAGTGGCTTTTATGACATTGGCATGTAGATAATAGAACTGTACGTGTTTTTTTGTTTGTTTGTTTTTTGAGATGGAGTCTCGCTCAGTCGCCCAGGCTGGAGTGCAATGGCGTGATCTTGGCTCACTGCAACCTCCACCTCCCGGGATCAAGCGATTCTCCCGCCTCAGCCTCCCAAGTAGCTGGGGTTACAGGCAGCCACCATCATGCCCGGCTACTTTTTGTATTTTTGTAGAGATGGAGTTTCACCATGTTGGCCAGGCTCATCTTGAACTCCTAACCTCAGGTGATCCACCCACCTCGGCCTCCCAAAGTGCTGGGATTACAGCTGTGAGCCACCGTGCCTGGCTGAACTGTAGGTGTTTTAAGGTGATGATGGAGCAAAATTTTTGTTGGCCTTTAAATTAATTTTTTTAATTAAATCTTTAAGTAAGGAAACTGTTGACAGCTAGACAAGTTTACAAACAAAGGGTATCTGCTAGGGCTACTGTGGTTTTGGTTGCATCCTGAAGAATGAGTGTTTTAAGGGTAGGATGAGTGTTCTAAGGGTAGGAGAAACATGGACCTCAATATAGTAATGATTCCCTTTGCTTCAAGGACGTTGATGTCTTATTCTCTTATCTCACAGTCTCTGTGTTTAACTGGAAAGTTTGGTCCCTTTTCTTTTATGATAATTGACATAGTTGGATTTATGACCACCACCTTACTATGTGGTTTTTTTGTTTTTGAGACAGAGTCTTGCTCTGTTGCCCAGGCTGGAGTGTAGTGGCGCGATCACAGCTCACTGCAGCCCCCGATCTCCCAGGCTCAAGTAATCCTGCCACCTTAGCCTCCCAAGTAGCTGGAACTAAAGGCGCATGCCACCATGCCTGGCTAATTTTTGTATTTTTTGTAGAGATGGGGTTTTACTATGTTGCCCAGGCTGGTCTCCAATTCCTGGGCTCAAGTGATCTGCCTGCCTCGGCCTCCCAAAATGCTGGGATTATAGGTGTGAGCCACCATGCTTAGCTACTATATGCTTTAGTTTTTCCTTCTCCACAAAGTAGACATTATTATTATTTTGGTTTTGTACAATCAACATTTGTTTAGATTTGTCCACATATTGATCAATATCTTTGCTTACCTTTCTCTGCCCCTGCCCCTCACCACATCTCAATGTATCTGTGGTGATTTTCCTTTTGCTTAAGTTGCATTCTTTAAGTGGTTATATGTTAGAAATAAATTCTCAGGTTGTATAGTTTGGCTGAAACTATCTTTATTTTGCTCTCCTTCTGGAAAGGCAGTTTTGCTGAGTATAGACTCCTAGCCTGAGAGTTATTTTCTCATATCACATTGAAGATATGACTCCATAACTTCTGGCTTCCATTGGGGAAGTTGAGGACTTGGCCATCCTTACTAGGTGACTTGTCTTTATTCTTTGTCTCTTTTAAGCTTTCTTGGTCTTCTATAGTTTTGTTAAGATTGTTTGGGAATTCATTTGTTGGGTTTATTGGATCCGAGGATCCTCAGATCCAATAAACCCAACAAATCATCAGGAAACAGTTGTCAGAAGACATCATTGGTCCTGTGTTTCCTACGGAAATAAAAAACAATAAATATTGCACTGAATGTTTGTGGTTTGGTGTCCCTGAATAATAAAGAAGGAACATATTTGCAAAAAGTTGCATAGGGTTTTTTTATGCAGAATTTTGTCAGAAGACAGTGGTGCTGCCATGTTTTTCTTTGAGTGCAAATGTACATTGCTAAGATTTTTTTAAGATGGCATGTGCTTTGAAAAGAGGATATTGCATTTTTAAGAGTTTAAAAATCTTATGAGTGAGAAATATTAAAAAATCTTATTTTCCCCTCTTTACAAGAAATAAAAGATGTTCCTCATAAAAAAAAAAAAAAAAAAAAAGGAAATATTAGCCGAATAGGTTATACAGAGTTACCATATGACCCAGCAATTCCACTCTGAGGTATATTCCCCAAAGACTTGAAGACAGGGACTCAAACAGATACTTATACACCAGTGTTCATAGCGGCAGTATTCAGTATAGCCAAAAGGTGGAACCAACCTGAGTGGCCATGAACAGATGAATGGATGAACGCAATGCGCTGTATCCACCCAATGGAATGTTATTCAGACTTAAAGAGAGATGAAGTACTCATCTATGCAGCCGTGTGGATGGACTATGAACAGTTTATGCTAATTGAAAGAGGCCAGACACAAAAATGCACGTATTTTATGATTCCATTTATACAAAAAGTTCAGAATAGAGACAGAAAATAGATTCATGCTTGGCAGGGCCTGGGGGGAGGGGAGAATAGGGAGTGCCTGCTTAAGGGGTGTGGGGTTTCCTTTTGATATCATGAAATGTTCTGGAACTAGACAGAGATAATAGTTGTGCAATGTTGTGAATGTACTTGATGCCATTGAATTAATACACTTTAAAATGGCTCCAAGGATAAATTCTGTGTTATGTATATTTTACCACAATTGAAAAGAAACACTGGCTGGGCACAGTGGCTCATGTCCGTAATCCCAGCACTTTGGGAAGCTGAGGTGGGCGGATCACCTGAGGTCAGGAGTTCGAGACCAGCCTGGCCAACATGGAGAAACCCTGTCTCTACTAAAAATACAAAATTAGCCAGGAGTGGTGGTGCATGCCTATCACCCCAGCTACTCAGGAGGCCGAGGCAGGAGAATCACTTGAACCCAGGAGGCAGAGGTTGCAGTGAGCCGAGATTGTGCCATTGCACTCCAGCCTGGTCAACAAGAGTGAAACTGTCTCAAAAAAAAAAAAAAAAAAGAAAAGAAAAGAAACACTGGTTGTGTTGTGAAAATCCTCAGAAATAGGGAGGGGAGCCTGGAGCACCTAACTGCCCTTCCCACTGCCTTCTCAGCCCCAGAGAGTGTCCCCTCTGTCCTTCATCAGAGCACGCGAGGAGCTCCATTCCTGGTCGTCATCTGAGGATGACACAATGAGTAGGACTAGGACTTTAAAACTAGTGTGTGGAGGTTATATCCTCCATGTACTGCGTCTTAAGTTGGGCCATGTGTGTATTGGTCCCCAAAGCATTTTTTCAGCTAAATTGCATAATGACTGTTATTTTAAAAACTGGAAAAGGAAAATCTTAATGTTACATTATACCTGTGGCATTGTCTTGAAATAAGTTTCACCATTTAAATCCACTCTTCACAGGAAAATCTGAAATGCCCCAGGCTCACCAGCAAGCGAGGCCTGCCCACTTTCTCTTCCTGTTGGCAGCTCAGCTCCTCCTGAGCTAGTGATTTTTTTTTTTAAAGAGATGGGATCTTGCTATGTTGTCCAGGCTGTATTCGAACTCAGACGCAAGCCATCCTTCTACCTGCGACTCCTGAGTAGCTGGGCCTACAGGCACGATGCCATGCCTGGCACCATTGATGTCTGAGCATTTGCCTTAGATGAGCAGAGGAGCTGGACTCACAGTTTAAAGTCTCCTTAGACCTTGAATGCAATGAAGCCCATCCTGACTAGCCTACATATTAGATGGCTGTATTAACCAGGACTTTTGTCCCCACTATCTGTGCCACAAACTGGGCAAATAGTAGTTCCTAAATAACTTACTTTAAGTTGTACCTGTCATGGTTTTAAAATGCTACCCACAAATACTAACAAACTGAATATCAAATTCTTACCCAGTAGTTCTATCCAGTGGCCAGGGTGCCCTGACGGTCATTCCTAGCTGCCCCAATTGCAAGGTCCGCCATTAGCACATTTCTCCCTGTGGATTGCTAAGTGCCTGCCCCAGACCATGCCTGGGCTGATCAAGAGAGGCCTGATTCTTGCATCATCTCTCGGGTGTGGTTGCCTGCTACATTCCCAAAATACAACTTTAAAGGCGAGATCTCTAGTTGACTGTATGAACATGTTCATTTGTGCCTTTGCCAGGGTTACATCAATTGCAGACAGGTTGAATGTGGAATTTGCTTTGATCCACAAAGAGAGGAAGAAGGCGAATGAAGTGGACCGGATGGTCCTGGTGGGCGACGTGAAGGACCGTGTGGCCATCCTCGTGGATGACATGGCTGACACTTGCGGCACCATCTGCCATGCTGCGGACAAGTACGCAGGGCGGTGGGGAAAGCGTTAGGACTTCTCACTAGGAAAGGGAAACACATCAGCTTTTAGAAATTGGGCTCTTTTTTCCTGATTATTGCCGGTCTTGGCAGTGGAGTTTTAGACCAAAGGAGATTCTAGGCCCTTTTATCTTTATACTTCTTTCTCTGGTAGAAAAGAAAGCACGGGCCTTTTCGTTTTCCAGGGTGAGCTTGTAGTGTACCTGGAAAAAGGTCAAAGAAGGTGCTTCCCTTTGCACTGAGCACGACAGGAAAGATGGTTTTTCGGGCTTCTTCAGGCCCTAGCTTCCTTCCATTTGGCTTTCGTGCCAGCCTTCTCAGCCACATGGGTGTCTGGAGGATTTGTAGAGCTGCTGCCCAGTATGGAAGCCCCCACCCAGCCACACGTGGCCGTGGAGCTCTTGGAATATGGCCAGTCTGACTTGAGATGTGCTGAGAGTATAAAAAGGCCACTAGGTTTTGGAGACTTAATATGAAACAATGAATATATATCTCATTTACATATATGTTTTTATGTTGATTACACATCAAAACAATGATGTTTGGCTATATTGGTTTAAACAGGTGGTTCTCAACCAGGAGTGATTTTGCTCCCTGGGAGACATGTGGCAATGTCTAGAGACATTTTTTGTTGTCACGGCTGAGGGGTGGGTTGTCGTTAGTGGGTAGAGGCCAGGGATGCTGTTGAATTTTCCCATAATGCGTAGGACAGCCCCCGTGACAAAGAATTATCCTGGCTCAAGTGCCAAGGTTGATAGTCCCCGATTTAATGGAATACAAAGTGTTTTGCTCATGCTTGAGTGATCCTATCTTAGGTTAATAAATGTGAGTGAAATTTGTTGCATTTTTCTTTTACGGAGCACACTTTGTGCTTTTACCATTCATACTAGGGGAGAGTATTCCAAGAATATTTGCATACCCTTAATTTTTATCTTCTGCTGTTCTACAGGCTGCTGTCAGCTGGAGCCACCAAAGTGTATGCTATCCTTACCCATGGGATCTTCTCTGGACCAGCTATTTCCAGAATAAATAATGCCGCCTTTGAGGCTGTTGTCGTCACAAACACAATTCCGCAAGAGGACAAAATGAAACACTGCACCAAGATTCAGGTACTGTCTATACACCAAAGGCAGCCAAGCAGCCAGGCACCTACTTTAGATCCTTAAAAATAGCATCATGTCTTGTGTGTGTGTGGCTCCTTGCTAAGGCACATGCTTGGCAGAGGCGGCAGCTTCTCATGACGGCAGGATATAAATCATATTAGATCCCTGAAAAAGGCCAGGACCAGCAGAGGTCAACGTTCGCTATTTAGAAATAGAGAGTGAAGAAAATCACAATGGAAAAACAGTCAGAAACGGGTTGTGCTAAAGCTAAACTTAGAATTATCATATGATCCAATAATTCCACCCCTAGGTATATGCCCCCCAAATTTGGAAACATATTCAAACAGAAACTTGTACAGACATGTTCATAGCAGCACTATTCACAATAACCAAAAGGTAGAACCACCCAATGGCCATCAACGGACAAACAGATGGCCAAAGTGTGCTCTGTCGCTACGATGGAATACTATTCAGCCTTTAAAGGGAAAGAAATCCTGACACATGCTACAGCATGGATGAACCTTGAAAACATCGTGCTAAGTGAAAAAAGCCAGATGCAAAAGGAGGAATATTGTGTTTCCGCTTCTAGGAGGTACCTGAGATTGGAAAATTCATAGAGACAAAGTAGAATGGTGCCTATCAGGGTCTGGGGGTGGGGGGGGCAGTGGGGCGTTATCTATCATTTAATGACTATATAGTTTTTGTTTGGGATGATGAAAACAGTTTGGAAATAAACAATGGTGATAGTTTCACACATTAGGAATGTAATTAATGCCAATAAATTGTATACTTAAAAATGGTTAAAATGGCAAATTTGATGTTATATATGTAAATTTTCAACTGATAAGAACAGACACTATACTTGATCTTAGCCAGATAGATAAATAGATAGATACATAGATAGATACATACACACTCACACAGTGAAAAAATGGGGGTGGGAGCAGCAGGCTGAGCTGAGGATCTTCAGAGCTTTGCTCCTTCCCGTCCCTGCTGATTGGATGCCGACGGGCCAGCAGAGAGCTGGTAATCATATAGATAGCAATTGGCCTGAAATAAGTCAAAAGGGTTTGAGGCCCATTTTGCCTCTATGTCGCTGTGAACCTTGGCAAGTCATTTCATTGCTCCAAAGCCTCGGCTCCCATCAGCGTAGCATGAAGGTGCATCACAGTGATCTGCTTCATGATTTCTGATTCCTCAGAGAGAAAAGCAATTTGCTTGACACAAAGCAGTAAGTCTGGAAATGGTCAGGATAGCGATGTCATATATTTTCATGCCTGATTAGCAGTAGTTTAGGATGGGAGTTGGCACACTATGGCTCGCAAGTGAAATCCAGCCTGTCATCTGTTTCTGCAAATTTTTATCAGAGCACAGCCACGTCCATTCATATATGTATTGCCCGTGGCTGCTTTCACGCTACAATGGGCAAGTTGAGTATTTGTGACAGAGACCCTCTGGCTTCCAAGGTCAAATATGTTAACTATTTGGTCCTCTATAGTTTGCTGACCCCTGAGTTAGATGATCACAGTTGTGCTCTTAAATGACGCAGTCACCGCCTTTTCAGAAACAGAAAGAAAAACCTTCCGTATAATGATTAAACTTAATTTAAAACAACAAATGCCCCTGGAAAAGGATGTCTCTGGTTAACAGTATCCCTGAAAAGCCTTCTGTCTCTGCATTGAAAATCTCCCTTCCAGGATCCCATATGGGTCTGGTTCAACGGGTTGTAATTTGAAGACATACCCCAAAGCTGTCTGTCCTCTCAAAAGTGTCGGAAGTTTTGATAGCAACACATCATGTATGCTGCAGAAATTGTTTCTCAGCTTTCCAGCTTTTCAATGTTTAAAGAACTCTAACTAAGATGTCCTGCTTCCCTTCTCCCTTTGTTTTTCTCATTGGCATTTAGGTCATTGACATTTCCATGATCTTGGCCGAAGCAATCCGAAGGACACACAATGGGGAATCCGTGTCCTACCTGTTCAGCCATGTCCCGCTATAAATCCAGAATGGGAAGTGTCCAGCAAGCCTACTCTGACTTCTGACTTGTTTTTGTTTTCTGGATTTTTAGCTGTAGGTATTCAGCAATGATAGGTTAATCACTGGCAAAAGCATCAGATCTTTGTATATGCTAAGATTTATTGTTTCCCCTTCTAAAGCTCAAGATCATTTCTTTCCAGTTTTTGGGGAAATGGTGGTGGTTATTTGGTCTTTAAGTGAACTGTCTTAAATGAGAAACGTTTTTGTCATTTTGACTTTTAACAGGTACAGGTGATCTCTTCCTTTGTTCTTTCAGTACTTTGAGGCGACAACTTTCAAGTATATAATTTCATTGTGGAAGTCATAGTTTATATATTTCGAGGTTGCCAAAGGTGACTTCAGATTAAAGCCTTCTGTGTAAATATATACTGATAATGCCTATGGACATTTGGGTAAAACCCTGTATAGAATTAATTATCCTTTTACTTTGGAGTGAACCTTGGAAAATTTATAATTATAATACCATGGATTTTGAATTTTCCTTTTTTTTTTTTTTTTGGATAACTCAGTTTCAGATAAACCATCTTGGTTACTGTGCTTAATTTGGACCAAATTTTATTTAGCTTAATATGGACACTGACACATTTTGGGGGGTATACATTAGACATATCAGAGCAGTGTATTTCTGGATCATTTTTTAAATGACCTCTTCTAAAACATAACTGTCACTTACCTGAAATGCTGCATCCTAAAATTCCAAAATTATATTGAGCAATCGCCAAGGCCTAAAGCCAACTGACTTAAAGGTAATCATTTCAGCTAAGATTAAATTTAAAGCCTAAGAATGTATAGAGCTAGTTTTAAAATAATGATCTCAGATTTTTAAAAAGGATATAGGAACCTGCATTGTCATTCTCTGAATTAAGAACTGATGGTTTCTATCATTATTTAGCCCCACCTTTGTATTTTAAAATCCTTCAGAATACATTTATGAACCAATGCGACTGGACTTAGCCACACACAATGGAAATTCAGACCTTGACTATTTGGTGTTTCCAGTTCACAAAGGTGATGAAGACTGTCTTGGGAGCAGCTTAATCCCAAAATTTGTACATTTCTTGCTGCTCCTGGCGTGGAAACTTAAGTGAGACCACCAAATACATTGGTCCTGTCCAATTCTACTGAATGGGGGTGGACCTGGCATTTATCTGGCCAAAAACAGGAGCCAGAGAAATATGAATATACCAAAGTTGTTTGTTTAGCCTCCAACTTAAATTACATTAGTCAACTTATAGATACTCATATGATCACTTTTCTTTTTAGATACTACATCAACTAGATTCAGGAGTATATCATTTGCAGTGCTTGTATTGGTTTAAAATGTAAGATTTTAAGATCCTCTAACACTGTACTAAAACATTTCAATAAAATCATTCTGACTGCGTTCATAGTTTGTATGTATCATTGTGGAGTAATATGTTTTGACGGAGTGATGTGTTGCAGTACCTGAAAATGTTTGCTACTTTACGATTATAGGCCAGCATACAAAATTACAGAAAAGCCAGAAGTTAATTGATGTCAGCTGTTTTCCATTTTGAAGGTGTTTCTTCCTGAAGAACTTACCAGCAATCGCCTTTCCTCAAAGCGTAACAGCTGTGCCACATAAGGTGTCCACGTTGTTAATTCCACATGTTTCCTATAAAATTAAAGATGGTACAGTGTGTTCACGCATCAGAGTAGTGATGTTCAATATCCATCTATTGGAGCAAACCAAACTTAAATGTAGGCTGCATAAAACTTGTTCATATTCATTGATTTCAGAAGCACCGAGGAGGATTCCTGTCCCCATAGAACAGCCTGTTCAGTGATACTTCAAACTACTCTCGTGAGCGCAAAGTCAAGTCATAATTACGTTCCCCTGGTGAAGCTCAGCTGTAAAGTATGTGTAACACTAAGAATGGCAACATGGTGTCTTGAAGTCACAGTGAAATATGAAGAATTACATCCAGGTCCATCTGAGAAAAAAGGTGATCACAGTGTGAGAGAACATGATAGAATGTACTAGAAAGGAGGGAAGTGAAGGAGAAGTGAAAGCCAAAGACACTTCATCAGCTTTACAATTGCACTTAATAATGCTGCCACACCTCTTCAGAGACGTTTCATTTCCTATGGCATGTCCTATCTAATCCCCTAGCTGAACTACAGGGGACAGGGAAGTAGTGAAGGGAAAGATGGAGTACTAAGGCGTGCAGAGGTTGGAATCACGCTGGGGATACCAGGAAGGGCTCGGTGATCACCATTAGACGGTTCACGTCGGAATTTTCCAGAACCCTATGGTGTGTTCCAGTGTGGACTGACGCAGGACAGCAGAGGGCGTTTGGTACATGATGTGTTTGAGCAAGGATGTGCCAGGGAAGATGGGAGTTAGGGGCTGAAACATACTCAGCTATCCTGTATCTAAATTGCGTGAAATCAACAGGGCTCCTCCTTCTCATTACCAATATTTATCTTCCTGATTTATCTCCCTGTGCCCCAGGAACACATCCCTCCACCTTTTTTCTGCCCCTGCTTTCCAAGATCACATCCTGGGTGGTTTCCTTTATTGCAGTCTTTGAGCTCTGTTTCCTATTCTGAAAGCATAATGCCCAGGAACACAGACTTCACCACTTACCGGAGTTTAAAAACCAACAGCAACAACGACCTTGGGCTGGTTGCTTAACCCCTATGCCTCAGTTTCCTTACATGTGAGATGGGGATAATAAATGAGACGTTATGTGTAAAGTGTTTAGAATTGCTTGGTTTGTACATTAACTTCAGTTTTTAGAGTGAGCCTCCTGAAACTCCCCTAGAAAGAATGTAAGGTATGAAGAGGCAAGATTTTCATGCATTTTCTAGGTGTTCATCCTAGAGGGGAACAGACTGCCCTCCTGCCATTTTAGAAGGGCTACATTGTCTTGGCATGTGACTGCCTCAGTGAAGGGTAGCATTTAGGTGACAAATAGTTGCATGTTAAAAAAAAAAAAAAAAAAAAAACTTGATTATGCTGAAAGTAGTGGTTCTACCAGCATGTCCCGTGGTTCCAGCGCTGGTTTTGCCCACCACATTAACATTTTTTTCGCCCGAGGGCCAGCACTACCAAGTAGAATATGCATATGCTTTTAAGGCTATTAACCTGGGTGGCCTTCCATCAGTATTTGTCAGAGGAAAAGACTGCTGTAATTATCATACAGAAGAAATGCTTGACAAATTATCGGATTCCAGCACAGTGACTCACTTACTCAAAATAACTGAAAACATTGGCTGTCACTGTGATGACCGGAATGACAGAGGTACAGAGGGCACGCTATGGGGCAGCTAACTGGAAATACAAGTACGGCTATGAGATTCCTGTGGACATTCTGTGTGGAATTGCTGATACTACTCAGAATGCTACAATGAGGTCTCTTGGTTGTATGATTTTCATTGGTATAGATGAAGAACAAGGCCCTCAGGTGTGAAAGTATGATCCTGCAGGTTACTGCTGTGATTTAAAGCCACTGCAGCAGGAGTTAAACAAACTGAGTTAACCAGCTTCCTTGAAAAAAAAAAGTGGGCCGGGTGCGGTGGCTCACGCCTGTAATCCCAGCACTTTGGGAGGCCGAGGCGGGTGGATCACCAGGTCAGGAGATCGAGACCATCCTGGCTAACACGGTGAAACCCAGTCTCTACTAAAAGTACAAAAAATTAGCCGGGCGAGGTGGCGGGCGCCTGTAGTCCCAACTACTCTGGAGGCTGAGGCAGGAGAATGGCGTGAGCCCGGGGGGCGGAGCCTGCAGTGAGCCGAGATCGCGCCACTGCACTCCAGCCTGGGCGACAGAGCGAGACTCCGTCTCAGAAAAAAAAAAAAAAAAAAAAGTGCAAAAGAAATTTGATTGGACATTTGAACAGACAGTGGAAACTGCAATTACATGCCTGTCTACTGTTCTATCAATTGATTTCAAACCTTCAGAAATAGAAGTTGGAGTAGTGACAGTTGAAAATCCTAAAGTCGGGATTCTTACAGAAGCAGAGATTGATGCACTCACATTGTTGTTAGTTTACCAAATCCATGATGCCACTTACCTGTGTGTTTGGTAACAAAAAAAACAACATTATGGAGGTCCCTGGATTGAAAAAGGAGCCTCTCCCACTCCTCCTACTACTGAATTGATTAGGACTCTATAAATAAAAGCAATGCTTTTGGTATCTCAGCATTTTAGGAGGCCAAGGCAGGTGCATCACCTGAGATCAGGAGTTTGAGACCAGCCTGGCCAACATAGTGAAACCCCATCTCTACTAAAAAATACAAAAATTAGTCAGGCATGGTGGCGCATGCCTGTAATCCCAGCCACTTGGAGGCTGAGGCATGAGAATCACTTGAACCTGGGAGGCAGAGGTTGCAGTGAGCCATGATCACACCACTGCACTCCAGCCTGGGCAACAGAGCAAGACTGTCTCAAACAACAACAACAGCAACAACTTTCAGCTGAGTGCCGTGGTGCATTCTTGTAATCCCAGCTACACAGAAGGCTGAGGCAGTAGGATTGCTTGAGCCCAGGAATTTGAGACTGGCCTGGGCAACATAGAGAAACCCCGTCTCTTAAAAACAACAACAATACTTCCAGTGGGCTGTAGAAACAACAGGTAGGAATGAATGTCATGTGATTATAGAGATGGTAATCAATTGAGGTCATTTACAACAACCTGATTTCATTGTAGCCCTCATTCACCATCCATCCCATCATAAATACAACCAAAAGTGGTGCCCAATATAAATGGGAAGAACAGTCTTCACTATCCTAACAGCCGAGTTCTGTGGCCAAAAGAAAACCTGGCTGAATGAATTTTACATTTTAAGAGAGTGATAAAAAAAGAGAATAGGAAAGTGAAAAACATAATGCAGTGGAAAATGCCCTAAATTGGAAGTGTGGCGATCTAGATTCTGGTTCCTGATATGCTGCTAGCAAGCTGGGTGACCTTGGGAAAAATGTGTACACCACTCTGGGTATGAGCATCTTTCTGCAAAAATTAGAGGAAAGATGATTGCAGAAGTCCCCAGCAGTTTTAATAGGCAATGCCATTTATGCTAGATGTAGTTGGAATAGTTCTAACTGAAGGCACAGATGGTTGCTCTCAATAGGGTGACCAACTTGTCTTGGTTTGCGTGGGACTTTTCTCGATTTAGCCCTGAAAGACCTATATCTTAGGAAACCCCTCAGTCCTGGGCAAACCAGGACGTTTGGTCTCCCGTTCCCTCTTCTAAGGTGGATAGTTCTGCATCCCCGGCACTACCTTGGTAAGGAATCCCACGAGCATGGCTTTGATCTTGTGCTGGTTGCAAAAACAAGCAGGCTATATGATGAGCCCAACAATGTGCAGGGCACCTGTGGTATCACAGGTCTTTTAAAATCTGTTCAACTAACTATAGAAGCTCAAGAGCTGTAGTCACAAAATCAGAGAGAAAAAGCAGGGGCACCTTTAGAAAACACCTTCAAGCCTGGCTTGATTGCCAGTCCTTTGGCACAGCTACCTTTAACACCATAAGTGGTCTTCAGAGACCCCAGGGAACAGTCCAGGCAGAAGGCAGAGTGCTCTGAAGGTTACCTGATGTACGTTGTCCTTCCGCACATTGAGAGATTCTTAACATTTGTGAGGGCATGGCCATCTGTGTCTGAGGACGTATGATGCTCTGATTTTCCCTACACAAGGAGTGCTAAATCTAGTATTTTCTTGCATGGAAGCTAAGACTGACCATGAATTATGGACATATTTTAAGAACTAAAACTGAACACGTCACTCTTTAAAATCATCCTAATGATTATTTCTGGGCATATTTTGATGTACATTTACCATAGGATAAGCTCAGTATGTGCCATTGACATTTACTCACCCAAGGAACCAAGGAGCGACCCTAAATTTCTTTTCTTTTTCTTCCTTTCCTTCCTTCCTTCCTTCCTTCCTTCCTTCCTTCCTTCCTCTCTCTCTCTCTTTCTTTGTCTCTCTCTTTCCTGTTTTTTTTGAGACAGAAGGTCTCACTATATTGCTCAGGCTGGTCTTGAACTCATAGTATCAAGCAATCCTCCTGCCTCAGCCTCCAAGTAGCTGGAACTACAGGTGTGCACCACCATGCCTGGTGCAACCCTAAATTCCTTTAAGTCTCAGAAAACCTTGTATTTAGGACCAAGGCTATGGAACAGAAGAATCAAAAGAAAGATAGGCAGAGATCCCTCTCCACAGCAATGGTGATCTGACCTCGCATTAATTTCTGCACCTGGATGCATTCATAGCATTCAAAGAGCAATTCTTTCTTGAACACCGACCAAGACTCATTCCTTGTCCTAACAACAGTCAGGCTCCTCTGAATCCTCTCCTTGACCAGACCTGTCTTGGGCTTCCCTCTCTGTCATTGTGGAATTTAGTTTGAGCAAGAATCCTGTGAAGTCAGTTTATCAAAAAAACTCCTGCCCTTGGTATCTGACCACCCTCGATATCTTATCACCCAGGCTTGCCTTTAGCAAGAATTCTATTTGAGTTGATCTAGCAAGAATCCCTCCTACCCCTGATGTTTCCTTAGTGGTTTTCCATCCACGGCCCCCAACCCTGCTCGTTGCTTACAAATCCCCACTTGTCCTTGTTGGAGTCAGAGCTGAGATTAATCTCTCTCCCCCACTATAAGACCCCATTGCAGTCTGTGGTCCCTAAACCTATCACAAAGACCCCCTTGAATGAAGTCTTCCTTAGTGTCTTCAATGAATGTGATGAATAACTTTTTTTTTTAACAATACAAAATTCACAGAAAAAGTCCTATGAATTAAAAAGCACTCTGGGGAAAACCAGTTGGCGCGAGAGTTATTTTGGAAGAATCAATAATCCTCCACTGATGTGCATTGGTACAGCCATAAACACACTTTCAACCCTTGCGTTTTGGAGAGGTTTTATTACATGTACATAAATTAGGAACTTTAATACATCGGAGAAATACCACTTGCTTCTCTGTATTTTGACTCATGTGAACATCTTGGCTTAGACATATGTCAAACGGAAAATTCATATTTTTAGTCCTTCCACAGGCAAAATGAAGGAGTTGGTCTTGTTTCATTCATTCATTCATTCATTCATTCATTCATACACTCAGCAATCCCTTATGAAGCACCTATTAGTATACCATAGTGTTAGGATGCGGCTGTCATATAAGTATGAGATAAATAAAATACATGAATAAGGCTTATGTAAATCTAGCCTTCAGAGTTGACACAGGTCGTTTTTTGTTTGTTTGGTTGGTTGGTGTTTTTTTGAGATGGAGTTTCACTCTTGTTGCCCAGGCTGGAGTGCAGTGGCATGATCTCAGCTCACCGCAACCTCTGCCTCCCGGGTTCAAGCAAGTCTGCTGCCTTAGCCTCCCGAGTAGCTGGGATTACAGGCATGTGCCACCACGCCCGGCTAATTTTGTATTTTTAGTAGAGATGGGGTTTCTCCATGTTGGTCAGGCTGGTCTGGAACTCCCAACCTCAGGTGACCCGCCTGCCTCAGCCTCCCAAAGTGCTGGGATTACAGGCATGAGCCACCGCGCCCAGTGACACAGGTAGTTTTATGCACAATCATTTGATGTCAGCAACACAGAAGTATGATGGCACCATGCTGTAGGCAGGATAATTTATTTGGGGTGTGTGAAACAGTGGGGTGACCAGGAAAAGGCTAGGAATGTGGCCTGCTGGGTTCAATTCTCAGCAGTGATTCCAACACTTTATCCCCCTCCCCAGATTTTCTGGTATATCAGGCTTTGTTCTTTTAGTATTTGTGTTGGTGTGTTCCTATTCTTTTGGTATTTAAAAAAATTGGAAATCGGAATCATTTATATTGTGAGCCTACAAAGACAGCTATATTCAGCATTAAAATGCAAAAAGAACAAAGGTGCACTTGTTTAAAAAGTATGTGACCCCATCTCTTCCAGATCCTCCTACGAGATACTCCATTGTTTGCAAAGCCAATTCTGGTATACTTCTGCTGTTGAGCTTTTTTTTTCCCACATTTATTAGTTTCTTATGTTTCTCTTGTATTTTCCTGAGAGCCAATTTTATCCGCAATAAAATTCCCAAAGTCCTCGATGGAGGCATTTCAGAATCGGGGCAGGGGAGGCAGAAGGTGAGACAGATGTGAAGAACTGGAGGAGGGTGTTGGGGGTGGAGAAACGGGAGGGAGGTTGGACAAACTAGCCCAAGCACCAGCATTTCCCCGGGGCCAGACACTCCCCAGGGACAGATTCCCTGCTTTCACCTCCCAGCATGTTTCAAGGTTGTTCAGCCTCAACACTCTTGCCATTTGGGGCTGGCTCATTCTTTCCTGGGGGAGCAGCATCCCTAGCCTCCACCCACTAAATGCCGATAGCAACCCCCATCCCACATTTGTGACAACCAAAAGATGTCTCCAGACCTTGCCAATGTTCCTTGGGGGCAAAATCACCCCTGCTTGACAACCTGATTTATTTTAACCAAGACTTTCTTCCTCAATCTTCTTTCCTGAAGACTCAGGTCAGAGTTACAGAGGAGATTCATCCTGGCCCCTGGCCCAATCACAACTAAAAAAGCATTTTAGCACAAAGTGGATAAGACAACGGCAATCATACCTCACTTTAAAAAATTCAATGCTAGCGTTTTGGTACAAAATGAGGTTTACACCAAAATAATCACATTATCCTTGTTTTGTTGTTTTGTTTTGTTGTTTTGTTGTTGTTGTTGTTGTTGTTGTTTTTTCAGAGACAAATGTCTTGCTCTGTTGCCCAGGCTTGAGTGCAATGGTGTGTGTGGCACCATGCTTGGCTAACCTTTAAATATTTTTGTAGAGACAGAGTCTCGCTATGTTGCCTAGGTTGGTCTTGAACTCCTGGCCTCAAGTGATCCTCCTGCCTTAGTCTCCCAAAGCACTTGGGATTACAGGTGTGAGGCATGGCACCCAGCCACATTATCCTTTTGATGCAGGGCTACAAGCACTGGTTCCTATATCTGCCATGACCTGGACACAAGATTTTGAATCCTTCACTAAATTATTCCCTCAATTTTCTCTAAGAACAATTCAGCCTTAGAATAAGTCACAAGGATTTTGGTTTTTTAATCAAGAAATTAATATACTAGGCCTGGTGTGATGGCTCATACCTGTAATCCCAGCACTTTGGGAGGCCGAGGCAGGAGGATTGCTTGAGCTCAGGAGTTTGAGACCAGCCTGGCTAACGTGGCGAAACCCTGTCTCTACAAAAAATACAAAAACTAGCCAGGAGGCCGGGTGCAGTGGCTGATGCCTGTAATCACAGCAGTTTGGGAGGCCGAGGCAGGCAGATCACAAGGTCAGGAGATCAAGACCATCCTGCTAACACGGTGAAACCCCGTCTCTACTAAAAATACAAAAAATTAGCCTGGCGCGGTGGCGTGCGCCTGTAGTCCCAGCTACTCGGGAGGCTGAGGCAGGAGAATGGCGTGAACCCAGGAGGCAGAGATTGCAGTGAGCCGAGACTGCGCCACTGCACTCCAGCATGGGCGACAGAGTGAGACTCTGTCTCAAAAAAAAAAAAAAAAAAAAAAGCCAGGCATGGTGGTGCAGGCCTGTGGTCCCAGCTACTTGGGGGGTTTGGGGGTAGCATCGCTTGAGCCCAGGAGGTGGAGGTTGCAGTGAGCCAAGATCGCGCCACTGCACTCCAGCCTGGATGACAGAGTGAGACTCTGTCTCCAATAAAAAAAAAAAAAAAAAAGGAAGAAATTAATATACTAACAGTAACCTTGATGGAGATGATTGAAGTTTAGTCTGATTTTAACAGTGACCTCAAGAGAGCACTTTTTTTTTTTTTTTTTAGATGGAGTCTCGCTCTTGTCACCCAGGCTGGAGTGCAGTGGCACAATCTGGCTCACTGCAACCTCTGCTTCCCGGGTTCAGGTGATTCTCCTGTCTTAGCCTCCAGAGTAGCTGGGATTACAGGTGCCTACCACCACACCCAGGTAATTTTTTTTGTATTTTTGTAGAGATGGGGTTTCACCATATTGGCCAGGTCAGTGTCAAACTCCTGACCACAGATGATCTGCTGTCTTGGCCTCCCAAAATGCTGGGATTACGGATGTGAGCCACCTCACCCAGTCAAGAGAGCAGATCTTTTGATGAGCCATGCAGGTCTTGGGTTACCTGGCCCTTCAGTTATTTTTCATACTGCTGTGAGAAGCCAGAATGAAGAGGAATCAATATATCCAAGGTAATTTAACTCATATATATATATATACTTTAAGTTCTGGGACACATGTGCAGAACGTGCAGGTTTGTTACATAGGTATACACCTGCCATGGTGGTTTGCTGCACCCATCAACCTGTCATCTACATTAGGTATTTCTCCTAATGCTATCCCTCCTCTAGCCCCTCACACCCCGACAGGCCCCGGTGTGCGATGCTCCCCTCCCTGTGTCCATGTTTTCTCACTGTTCAGCTCCCACTTATGAGTGAGAACATGCGGTGTTTGGTTTTCTGTTCCTGTGTTAGTTTGCTGAGAATGATGGTTTCCAGTGTCATCCATGTCCCTGCAAAGGACATGAACTCATCCTTTTCTGTGGCTACATAGTATTCCATGGTGTATATGTGCCACATTTTCTTTATCCAGTCTATCATTGATGGGCATTTGGATTGTTTCCAAGTCTTTGCTATTGTGAATAGCACTGCAATAAACATATGTGTGTATATGTCTTTATAGTAGAATGATTTATAATCCTTTGGGTATATACCCAGTAATGGGATGGCTGGGTCAAATGGTATTTCAGGTTCTAGATCCTTGAGGAATTGCCACGCTGTCTTCCTCAATGGTTGAACTAATTTACACTCCCACCAACAGTGTAAAAGCTTTCCTATTTCTCCACATCCTCTCCAGCATCTGTTGTTTCCTGATTTTTTAATGATCACCATTCTAACTGGTGTGAAATGGTATCTCATTGTGGTTTTGATTTGCATTTCTCTAATGACCAGTGATGATGAGCTTTCTATGTTTCTTGGCCACATAAATGTCTTCTTTTGAGAAGTCTCTGTTCATATCCTTCACTCACTTTTTGATGGCGTTGTTTGTTTTTTTCTTGTAAATTTCTTTAAGTTCCTTGTAGATTCTGGAAAATAGCCCTTTGTCAGATGGACAGATTGCAAAAATTTTCTCCCATTCTGTAGGTTGCCTGTTCACTCTGATGGTAGTTTCTTTTGTTGTGCAGAAGCTCTTTAGTTTAATTAGATCATTTGTCAATTTTGGCTTCTGTTGCCATTGCTTTTGGTGTTTTAGTCATGAAGTCTTTGCCCGTGCCTGTGGCCTGAATGGTATTGCCTAGGTTTTCTTCTAGGATTTTTGTGGTTTTAGGTCTTACAGTTAAGTCTTTAATCCATCCTGAGTTCATTTTTGTATAAGTTGTAGGGAAGGGGTCCAGTTTCAGTTTTCTGCATATGGCTAGCCAGTTTTCCCAACACCATTTATTATATACAGAATCCTTTCCCCATTGCTTGTTTTTGTCAGGTTTGTCAAAGATCAGATGGTTGTAGATGTGTGGCATTATTTCTGAGGCCTCTGTTCTGTTCCATTGGTCTTTATATCTGTTTTGGTACCAGTACCATACTGTTTTGGTTACTGTAGCCTTGTAATATAGTTTGAAGTCAGTTAGCGTGATGCCTCCAGCTTTGTTCTTTTTGCTTAGGATTGACTTGGCTATATGGTATGTATTTTTGGTTCTATATGAAATTTAAAGTAGTTTTTTTTTCTAATTCTGAGAAGAAAGTCAATGGTAGCTTGATGGGTATGCATTGAATCCATAAATTACTTTGGGAAATACGGCCATTTTCAGGATATTGTTTTTTCCTATCCATGAGCATGGAATGTTCTTCCATTTGTTTGTGTCCTCTCTTATTTCCTTGCGCAGTGGTTTGTAGTTCTCCTTAAAGAGGTCCTTCACATCCCTTGTAAGTTGTATTCCCAGGTATTTTATTCTCTTTGTAGCAATTGTGAATGGGAGTTCACTCATGATTTGGCTCTCTGTTTGTCCATTATTGGTGTATAGGAATGCTTGTGATTTTTGCACATTGATTTTGTATCCTGAGACTTTGCTGAAGTTGCTTATCAGTTTAAGGAGATTGTGGGCTGAGATGATGCGGTCTTCTAAATATACAATCATGTCATCTGCAAACAGAGACAATTTGACTTCCTCTTTTCCTATTTGGATACCTTCTATTTCTTTCTCTTGCCTGATTGCCCTGGCCAGAACTTCCAATACTGTGTTGAATAGGAGTGGAGCGAGAGGGCATCCTTGTCTTGTGCCAGTTTTCAAAGGGAGTGCTTCCAGCTTTTGCCCATTCAGTATGATATTGGCTGTGGGTTTGTCATAAATAGCTCTTATTATTTTGAGATATGTTCCATCAATACCTAGTTTATTGAGAGTTTTTAGTATGAAAGGGTGTTGAATTTTATTGAAGGCCTTTTCTGCATCTATTGAGATAATCATGTGGTTTTTGTCATTGGTTCTGTTTATGTGATAGATTATGTTTATTGATTTGCATATGTTGAACCAGCCTTGCAGCCCAGAGATAAAGCCGACTTGATTGTGGTGGATAAGCTTTTTGATGTGCTGCTGGATTTGGTTTGCCAATATTTTATTAAGGATTTTCTCATTGATGTTCATCAGGGATATTGGCCTGAAATTTTCTTTCTTCATTGTGCCTCTGCCAGGTTTTGATATCAGGATGATGCTGGCCTCATAAAATGAGTTAGGAAGAAGTTCCTCTTTTTTTATTGCTTAGAATAGTTTCAGAAGGAATGGTACCAGCTCCTCTTTGTACCTCTGGTAGAATTCAGCTGTGAATACGTCTGGTCCTGTGCTTGTTTTGGTTGGTAGGCTATTAATTACTGCCTCCATTTCAGAACTTGTTATTGATCTATTCAGGGATTTGACTTTTTCCTGATTTAGTCTTGGGAGGGTGTATGTGTCCAGGAATTTATCCATTTCTTGTAGATTTTCTAGTTTATTTGAGTAGAGGTGATTTTAGTATTCTCTGATAATAGTTTGTATTTCTGTGGGATCAGTGGTAATAACCCCTTTATCATTTTGTATTGTGTCTATTTGATTCTTCTCTCTTTTCTCCTTTATTAGTCTGGCTAGTGGTCTATCTATTTTGTTAATGTTTTCAAAAAACCAGCTCCTGGATTCACTGATTTTTTGAAGGGTTTTTCATGCCTCTATCTTCTTTAGTTCTGCTCTGATTTTAGTTATTTCTTGTCTTCTGCTAGCTTTTGAATGTTTGCTCTCGCTTCTCTAGTTCTTTTTATTGTGATGTTAGGGGGTCGATTTTAGATCTGTCCCTGCTTTCTTTTGTGGGCATTTAGTGCTATAACTTTCCCTCTAAACACTGCGTTTGCTGTGTCCCAGAGATTCTGGTATGTTGTGTCTTTGTTCTCATTGGTTTCAAATAACTTATTTATTTCTGCCTTAATTTTGTTATTTATCCAGTAGTCATTCAGGAGCAGGTTGTTCAGTTTCCATGTAGTTGTGCAGTTTTGAGTGAGTTTTTAATCCTGAATTTTAATATGATTGCACTGTGGTCTGATAGACTGTTATGGTTTCCATTGTTTTGCATTTGCTGAGGAGTGTTTTACTTCCAATTATGTGGTCAATTTTAGAATAACTGTGATGTGGTGCTGAGAAGAATGTATATTCTGTTATTTGAGGTGGAGAGTTCTGTAGATGTCTATTAGTTGTGCTTGGTCCAGAGCTGAGTTCAAGTCCTGAATATCCTTGTTAATTTTCTGTCTCATTGATCTGTCTAATATTGACAGTGGGGTGTTAAAATCTCCCACTATTATTGTGTGGGAGTCTAAGTCTCCTTCTAGGTCTCTAAGAACTTGCTTTATGAATCTAGGTGCTCCTGTATTGGGTGCACATATATTTAGGATAATTAGCTCTTCTTGTTACATTGATCCCTTTACCATTATATAGTACCCCTCTTTGTCTTTTTTTAATCTTTCTTGGCTTAAAATCTGTTTTATCACAGACTAGGATTGCAACCCCTGCTGGGTTTTTTTTCTTTTTTTTTTTTTCTTTTTTTTTTAGATGGCGTTTTGCTCTTGTTGCCCAGGCTAGAGTGCAGTGGCATGATCTTGGCTCACCACAACCCCCACCTCCCAGGAGCAAGCAATTCTCCTGCCTCAGCCTCCCGAGTAGCTGGGATTACAGGCATGTGCCACCACGCCTTGCTAATTTTGTATTTTTAGTGGAGATGTGGTTTCTCCATGTTGGTCAGGCTAGTCTTGAACTCCCGACCTCAGGTGATCCCGCTGCCTCAGCCTCCCAAAGTACTGGGATTACAGGTGTGAGCCACCTCGCCTGACCAACACCTGTTTTTTTTTTTTTTTGCTTTCCATTTGCTTGGTAAATATTCCTCCATCCCTTCATTTTGAGCCTATGTGTGTCTTTGTACATGAGATGCATCTCCTGAATACAGCACACTGATGGGTCTTGACTCTTTATCCAATTTGCCAGTCTGTGTCTTTTAATTGGGGCATTTAGCCCATTTACATTTAAGGTGAATACTGTTATGTGTGAATTTGATCCTGTCATTATGATGCTTGCTGGTTATTTTGCCCATTAGTTGATGCAGTTTCTTCATAGTGTCGACGGTCTTTACAATTTGGTACGTTTTGCAGTGGCTGGTACCAGTTTTTCCTTTTGATATTTAGTTCTTCCTTCAGGAGCTCTTGTAAGGCAGGCCTGGTGGTGACAAAATGTCTCTCAGCTTTGTTTTTCTGTAAAGGATTTTATTTCTCCTTCGCTTATGAAGCTTAGTTTGGCTGGATATGAAATTCTGGGTTGAAAATTCCTTTTTTAAGAATGTTGAATATTGGCCTCTCTTCTGGCTTGTAGGGTTTCTGCGGAGAGATCTGCTGTTAGTCTGATGAGCTTCCCTTTGTGGGTAACCCGACCTTTTTCTTTGGCTGCCTTTGACATTTTTTCCTTCATTTCAACCTTGGTGAATCTGATGATTATGTGTCTTGGGGTTGCTCTTCTCGAGGAGTATCTTTGTGGTATTCTCTGTATTTCCTGAATTTCAATGTTGGCCCGTCTTGCTAGGTTGGGGAAGTTCTCCTGGATAATATCCTGAAGAGTGTTTTCCAACTTGGTTCCATTCTCCCCATCACTTCCAGATACACCAATGAAACATAGGTTTGGTCTTTTCACATAGTCCCATATTTCTTGGAGGCTTTATTTGTTCCTTTCATTCTTTTTTCTCTAATCTTGTCTTCACGTTTTATTTCATTAAGTTGATCTTCAATATCTGATATCCTTTCTTCCACTTGATCAATTCGGCTATTAATATTTGTGTATGCTTCACAAAGTTCTCGTGCTGTGTTTCTCAGCTCCATCAGATCATTTATGTTCTTCTCTAAACTGGTTATTCTAGTTAGCAATTCCTCTAACCTTTTTTCAAGGTTCTTAGCTTCCTTGCATTGAGTTAGAACATGCTCCTTTAGCTCTGAGGAGTTTGTTATTACCCACCTTTTGAAGCCTACTTCTGTCAATTGGTCAAACTCATTCTCCATTCAGTTTTGTTTCCTTGCTGGCGAGAAGTTGTGATCCTTTGGAGGAGAAGAGGCATTCTGGTTTTTGGAATTTTCAGCCTTTTTGCACTGGTTTTTCCTCATCTTTGTGGATTTATCTACCTTTGGTCTTTGATGTTGGTGACCTGCAGATGGGGTTTTTGTGTGGGCATCCTTTTTGTTGATGTTGATGTTATTGCTTTCTGTTTGTTAATTTTTCTTCTAACAGTCAGGCCTCTCTGCTTCAGGTCTGCTGGAGTTTGCCGAAGTCCACTCCAGACCCTGTTTGCCTGGGTATCCCCAGCGAAGGCTGTAGAATAGCAAAGATTACTGCCTGTTCCTGCCTCTGGAAGCTTCATCCCAGAGGGGCACTCACTGGATGCCAGCTGGAGCTCTCCTGTATGAGATGTCTGTCAACCCCTGCTGGGAGGTGTCTCCTAGTCAGGAGGCACGAGGGTCAGGGACCCACTTGAGTTGGCAGTCTGTCCCTTAGCAGAGCTCGAGCACTGTGCTGGGAGATCCACTGCTCTCTTCAGAGCTGGCAGGCAGGAACATTAAAATATGCTGAAGCTGTGCCCACAGCCGCCCCTTCCCCCAGGTGCTCTGTCCCAGGGAGATAGGAGTTTTATCTATAAGTCCCTGACTGGGGCTGCTGCCTTTCTTTCAGATGTGCCCTGCCCAGAGAGGAGGAATCCAGAGAGGCATTCTGGCTACAGTGGCTTTGCCAAGCTGCAGTGGGCTATGCCTAGTTCGAACCTCCTGGCAGCTTTGTTTACACTGTGAGGGGAAAACCACCTACTCAAGCCTCAGTAATGGCATACACTTCTTCCCCCACCAAGCTTGAGCATCCCAGGTCAACTTCAGACTGCTGCGCTGGCAGCAAGAATTTCAAGCCAGTGGATCTTAGCTTGCTGGGCTCTGTAGGGGTGGGATCCGCTGAGCTAGACCACTTGGCTCCCTGACTGCAGCCCCCTTTTCAGGGGAGTGAACAGTTCTGTCTCGCTGGTGTTCCAGGCGCCACTGGGGTATGAAAAAAAAAAACTCCTGCAGTTAGCTCAGTGTCTGCCCAAATGGCCAACCAGTTTTGTGCTTGAAACCCAGGGCCCTGGTCACATAGGCACCCAAAGGAATCTCCTGGTCTGTGGGTTGCAAAGACTGTGGGAAAAGTATAGTATCTGGGCTGGAATGCACTGTTCTTCATGGCACAGTCCCTCATGGCTTCCCTTGGCTAGGGGAGGGAGTTCCCCGACCCCTTGCACTTCCCAGGTGAGATGACACCCCACCCTGCTTCTGCTCACCCTCCGTGGGCTGCACCTACTATCTAACCAGTCCCAAAGAGATGAGCTGGGTACCTCTGTTGGAAATGCAGAAATCCCCCACCTTCTGCATTGATCTTGCTGGGAGCTGCAGACCGGAGCTGTTCCTATTTGGCCATCTTCCCAGCCACCTGGTAATTTAACTCTTATGGGCCAAAATGGCAAAAGTCATCTGTGGTCAAATCACAGAGCCCATTACGTCTGTCAAAGGTCATGGAATTGATAAGATTTTGGAGTTAGATGGAACATTCATGACTGAATGATTCCCATCTTATTTTACAGATGAGGAAACTAAGGCTCAAAGAGACTAAGTAACTGGCTTAGTAAGGTTACACAGTTCCCTAGAGGAAAAGCTGGGGGTAGAAAATGGGGCTTTTCGGCCAGGCGTGGTGGCTCCCGACTATAATCCCAGCACTTTGGGAGGTTGAGGTGGGTGGATCACTTGAGGTCAGGAGTTTGAGACCAGCCTGGCCAACATGGTAAAACCCCGTCTCTACTAAAAATACAAAAATTAGCCGGGCATGGTGGCACACACATGTAATTCCAGCTACTCCAGAGGCTGAGGCAGGAGAATCATTTGAACCAGGGAGGCAGAGATTGCAGTGTGCTGAGATTGAGCCAGTGCACTCTAGCCTGGGTGACAGAGAGAGACTCTGTCTCAAAATAAACAAACAAATGAACAACAACAACAACAACAAAAAGAAAATGGGGGCTTTTCTGTTCTTTAAGCAGAGATGTTTGCATTAACCCAGGCAACTTCAATGATTCTAATCACTAGTGCATAACAGTGAAGGAGCTTATTAAACCTCAGGGCAGTGAGGAAAAGCAAAAAATACGGTACGGTAACTTCCATCAGAACCTGAAATACTTGCATCCACTGATTTGGTTGTCCTTTGCCTTCCTCCAAAAACAAGGTCTTCATTTCACTCACTGTGTTTGCGTGGTCCTTTTTCAGGTCGTTATGCTAACATGAGAACCAAAATAACAACACTGGGTAATGGAGATTTTTTAAATAATGGTGATCTGTAAGGCAGTGGTTCTCAAAGTGAGGCCCTGGACTAGCAGCATCTGCATCACCAAAAACCTCAGGAGAAAGTTGAAAACCACCCTGATAGTTAAGTCCATGCTAGTTGCTAATGTAATGGTCCCTGTCTGTTGCGTAAGGAAGGATCATTTCCTTCTCTGATAAAAATGGCTCTGGCTCTGGTAAGTTATACTCAAATTTAATTATATTTCATGGTAAATCTTGTCAGCTGAAAAGTTATGCCAACTTGGTGGACAATGGCAGAGAATACAAGTTTCTGACTTACCTCAAGGTTTGAATGTACCTAGAGCAGAAGTTTCTGATATTTGTACTCACTTAACCAACAACTATAATTGCCGGGCACTGTTGTGGTTGCTTGGGATATTTCAGTTGTTACTAATGCTTTGGTTTTATGGAAAGACAAAGACAATGCTGGTCTTCTAGCAGCACAAAGTATAAGGTAATGTTCCTATATTATTCATAGTCCATTGGCAAAAATGCAGTTATTATCAAAAAACATTAAAATTAAAAGTATTTAAGTCATTTGTAATAAGGGATTCAACAAACACTCAATATCTAAGTAATTTCCAATGATTTCAGTAATATGAGTATTGGCTTTAAAAAGTAATGTTTTAGAGCCAAGTGCAGTGGCTCACGCCTGTAATTCCAGCACTTTGGGAGTCAGAGGCAGGAGGATCGCTTGAGTCTTAGAGTTCAAGACCTGCCTAGGCAACATGGCGAGACCCTGTCTCTACAAAAAATTTAAAAATTAGCTGGGCATGGTGGTGCATGCCTGTGGTCCCAGCTACTCAGGAGGCTGAGATGAGAGGATTGCTTGAGCCTGGAATATCAAGGCTGCAGTGAGCCATGATCACACCACTGCAATCCAGCCTGGGTGACAGAGTGAGACTTTGTCTCAAAAAAAACAAAACAAAAAAACAAATAGAGAATAAAAGGTTTAGAAACAGATACAACTGGCTCTAGGAAAACAACTCAACTGTTGAGAGCAATAAGTCATATGTACTGACAGCCTATCAAATTGAGATGTTAATAAGAAATCGGCCAACTTTTTTTTTTTTTTTTTTTTTTTAACAGAAGGTAAGGAGAATGCAGGTTAACCAGTGGAATTTCAGGTCAGTTCAGTCAAGAGAGTTTTGACTATGCCTGTTGGTCTCAAACTTGGTTATCAATTGGAATCACATGAGCAGCCTTGAAAATTCCAAATACCCAGACTACACCCAAGAGTAGTTAAATCAGAAGCTTTGGTGTCAACATAGTAATCAGGAACTTTGTAATGATCCCATTCCGGTGTGCAGCCGAAATTGAGAAGCTCCAGTTTAAGGTCATGGGCCATGAAGCTTTCAAGTTCTGCCACCTCCTCTCAACATTAATGTGTATCAGCTTTGGGAAACTACATGTAGAAGGTATGAAGAATGGCAGAAAGTATATAAAGGGACAAATCACCACCATTAATTCCACAAATCAGTACAGGTCAGTAGCTACAGTTTGGAGAATTTAAAACATTTTCCTCTTTAGTAAGAATTCCTACAAAGAAATGCCCATTTAAAATCCTGATCTATTTCAATTGCTTGCCAGAAATGTTGTACCAATTTGCACTCTCACCCAAAGTCCCTAAATCCTGACAAACACTGTGAATTGATCATCTTTTTCCTGTTTTCCAATCTGATAATTTAACAGTACTGGGGTATTGTTTTATTTGCATTTCTGTAAGAACTTTATTTTATTGACTACAAATATTTTACTTTCCAGGATCTATAAAGCAATATAGCAATATAAATAATATTATATAAGCATACTCAAACCTTGTTAACCTATCACCGATTATTGCAATACTATTTTTAGATTTTTTCTTCAATTGCAAAAATACTTTATTACTGATTAAAAATAGTATATATGCACTGATAAAATTTTGATAAATGCAAAGACAAGTAATGAAAATCATCAGCAATAACAATGGCTAAAAGTGGAGTATACATACAAACAAATACTTGTTTTGAAACTTTTTTTGGTTTACTCTTAGCATAGTATCTTTTTCCATGTCATGTAGTATTCTAATGTGTGACTTTTGGAGGCTGCATAGTATTCTAAAGTAATATGTTTTGAATCCAATATTCTTCAAAAAAATATGGAACAACAGATCTTGGCTTAAATATGAATTTTTTTACATTTCTGTTGTATATACTACAAGTGGTGGATTGCTACTTTGGTGGTTCCCGATGAACCATAACTCCTGGTATTCACACTTCTGTGGTGTATCCTTCCATATTAACCTCGGGCTCGGCCAATAAATAGGACATTAGCAAGAATGATGTAAGCAAATGCTTGATAAGTGCTGGCACACTGGAGCTTATGTCTCTTGAAATGCTCACTCTCAGGATCAAACCACCATGAAAAGAAACCCAAGCTAGCCACATGGGGAAGAAAAGAGGAAAAGATCACTCCCTCTCAACCTTCCCCACTGGGGAACTAGACATGTGAACAAAGCCATCTGATTACAACCTCACAGGAGACCCCAACTGAAACCAACCAAAGAACAGCCCAGCAGAGCCCCAGCCAACCAAAGAATCATGAACAAATAAAGTGGTTACTGTTTTAAGCAGATATGTTTTGGGTTGGTTTGTTACACAGCAAGAGATAAGCAAAATGTGACAGCATCTAATATGAATACCTGCTTTAGATATGAAAAAGAAACCCTTAGATATGAAAAAGAAACCCTTAGGATCATAAACTCAAGAAGAATTTTTTGTTTTTATCTAGTCAGATTGCTGAGGTCCTGGCTGTTTAGATGACTTACAGAAAGAACTTGGGTAGTAGAGTCAAGATATGAATAGTAACCCAGTTTTATTACTAGAGATTTGACTTCGTTGAGCATCAGCTTTCTTGTGGGCGAGTTAGGTTTTAACAATAGCTGCCTTGCAGGTGTTTTATTTTTAAGCATTATGAATGATGGTGCCTCCAGTTCCATAACAAGATGAAGGCATATGCAGATGTGAGTTAACATTTTCATTGGCTGGCCATGTATGTTGAATCCCAAACAAGTGGTCTTCACTACACCTCACCACTCACAAATCTACTTATGAGTCTCAGATGGTGAGCTAGATGGTCAGTAATACCCACCTCAGGAAAACTGCTTCTGAGTTTACAAGACAGCAGGCGGAACAGCTCAAAGACCAATGCATGCATAAATAGTCTTTCCTTTTTTTCACCAGGTCAACTACTCGATTATTTGCACTGGGGGCCTTTTTTCAAAGCATCTGACCTTTTGGACTCGTCTGGTGAAATCTAGTATGTACTTAGGACCAGCCTTCAACACAAAGGAAGGTTTTTGTTACATTCGTTTGCATATCCTGTCAAGGATATCTTCAGAACACTTTCATTTCACAGTAAAATGAAACTTACGGAAGAACTAAGCAGTGAAGTGCTTCATACTTTCATTTAAAAGGGGAATGAGAAACAAAAGACAAGGTTAATTATGACACCGGGGCTTTACAATGCTAAAAATATCCTATATACAAAGGGATATGTAGGCTGTGTTCTTTTTCCATGTCATTACAAAGAACAGGCTCAAGGTATCTGCAAATTTCTAATAAAAATATTATTACTTGAAAAATGTCCATGGTTGTATCTAACTGAAGGGATTAAAACTTTTAGACTTGTTATACAAATACCATGATACTTGTCATCAAAGTCCTCCTTTTCATCAAGCAGACCCTGACTTACAGCATCTGAGAGTGGAAAAAACTAGCATGAACCGTAAGGCAGTGGGATTCATACCTACCTCTCACTCACACGTTCATCCAAACCAAGCAAGTTGCATAAAGCAACCTGAGACTTTATACTTCCACATGCTGGCAACACAGCATTAACTAGACTCGGGCAACTTGTTTAAGGGGTTTATTTAGGTTCCTATCAGTAAAGAGGTGTTTTTCCAGCTTTGGGAGAATATGTATGATGCCAAGTTTTTTTTTTTTTAAGTTTAAATACTTTTATAAGTTTAATGTTGGCATTGGATGTTTACATATTAACTGGTACAATTTACATCGGTTTTATACTTACCTATTTTTGCAAAGATGTCATGTACACAAAGATACATATTCAATAACTGAGAAACAAGTGAAACTTCTGATCTATACTTTCAGGTTTGTTTCATAAAGATATTTCTGATAAGGATTATCAGCATACAAGTTTCACCTCTTCCAGAAGGACACTGTCATTTTATCTAAGAGTTTACTCTGGGTTTTATTGCAGAACACAAATTCCCTCAATTGCTTTTTTCTTGCAGGTGTCTTTTTCCAGAATTTTTTCTTATAACCAGCCTTTCTCCTCACCCAAAGGCCAGAATGAAGTCGAAAAAACCTATAGATAACAGCTTTCACAGTTGTTCTCTTGCCTTTTTGTGTACTGACGTATATTACAGTTCTGACTGGCAGCTTCAGGACACTTGGAAGCAAGGGGGCCACTCTGTTGGGGATCACTGCAGTATGCCCACATGTCAGGTTTCTGACAGATGTGATCAGCCTGGGAGTGGAGGAAACAAATGGTGTCTGAATATGACTAAAACGTCCAGTAGACAATGCAGAAATAAGAGAGGCATTCCTGGCACAGTTTCGGTGGGCTGGAGATGCAAAAATATTCAGGAGCCATAGATTCCTGAAGCTGCTCTCATCGCACCAGCAAAGGCAGAGGCAGCCATCTTGCCAGCCTGCTATGATGCCAAGTTTCTTTCTTTTTTTTTTTTTTTTTTTTGAGATGAAGTCTCGCTCTTGTCCCCCAGGCTGGAGTGCAATGGTGTGATCTCGGCTCATGGCAACATCCACCTCCCGGGTTCAAGCAATTCTCCTGCCTCAGCCTCCCGAGTAGCTGTGATTACAGGTGCCTGCCAACACACCCAGCTAATTTTCGTATTTTTAGTAGAGACGGGGTTTCACCATGTTGTACAGGCTGGTCTCGAACTCCTGACCTTAGGTGATCCGCCCGCCTTGGCCTCCCAAAGTGCTGGGATTACAGGCGTGAGCCACCACGCCCAGCCAATGCCAAGTTTCTATTGAACCACTTTGATGTCTATGTCTGAGTCAAATGGCAGAGCCGGGACTCAAATCTAGGTCTTCTGTCCACGACCATATCTTTGTTCAATCACCACTCTGGATGCTGATCAAGTCTGACCTTCCTTTTCATTTCAGAGCATTCACCCCAGGAATCCTTCAATGTTTAAATCTCTAGATTAAAATATGGTACTGCTGGGCATGGTGGCTCACTCCTATAATCTAAAAAAATTGGGAGGCTAAGGTGGGAGGATTGCTTGAGACCAGGAGATCAAGGCCAGTGTGGAAAACATAGTGAGACCCTGTTTCTAAAAATAAATAAGTAAAATAGAATAAAATATGGCACTAAACTAGGGTGGCCAGATAAAATACAGGACACCCAATTAAATTTGAATTTCAGATAATAAATAATTTTTTAGTAGAAGCATGTCCCGATTTGCTAAATTTGGCAACCCTACACTAAACCTTACCTACCCACCAAGGGCTGTTCCCAGTCCTCCTCATTTCCACCTAAAAAGAAAGGAGAAATACAACAAGACCTAGAAAACAAAGTGTGAGTTGCCCCAGCCAGTGAGAGGCCAGTTCTCAAAAGATAAAGAGAAGAACTGTATCCTCTCCATCCAGTGATCTCTCTTGAGCTAATTTACAGATGGGGGACTAGACCAATAACGTAGGATCTTCTGTGCCATCACTCAGACTGGGGTAGTTCACTGGAGCCACAGCTAACTCTTCAGAAGAAGATCTTTCGGAGGCCCAAGGCTATTTATCGCACTAGTGCTTGCAATACCAAAGATCAGAAACCACCCAAACGTCCGTTAGAGAAATGGTTAAGTAAATTGTGAAACTTCTAGAAAATGGGATGTTTTCCAGCTATGAGAAAAAAAAAATGCAGATGCTCCTGAGATAAAGGTATAGAAGGAACTGCAAATGAAAAAAACAAGAGAGTAAGAGAGTATATGCTAACGAAGTATGACAAAGGCAGGGCCAGAAGAATATGTTTTTATTTGCTAGTATGCCTAAAGAAACTCTGGAAAGATAAGCAAGGAACTAATAAGAATGGTTTCTTGTGGGGATGGGTGTGGGATTGGGTGGATGGTCTACAAGAAGAGCAGAAAAGTTTTTACTATGTATCTACCTATGTATTTATGTATGTATGTATATATGTATGTATATGCATGGATGTATGTATAGATACATTTATCTGTACAGAAAAGAGTTAACATGGTAGCCAGTTGCCATGGCTCAAGCCTATAATTCCAGCACTTTGAGAGGCCAAGGGTGGATCGCCTGAGGTCAGGAGTTCGAGACCAGCCTGGACAACATGATGAAACCCCATCTCTACTAAAAATACAAAAAATTAACCAGGCATGGTGGGGGGCGCCTGTAATCCCAGCTACTCGGGAGGCTGAGGTAGGAGAATCACTTGAACCCAGGAGGCGGAGGTTGCAATGAGCCGAGATTGCGCCATTGCACTCCAGCCTGGGCAACAACAGTGAAACTCGATCTCAAAAACAAAAAACCAAGAAACATGGCAGGCCTGAGACTGCTCTCCTTAGAAAGGCCTGCTTGTAAGGTTGGCCTTTGGCTCATGTCTGGGAACTTGGATTTCAGGGTGGTTCCCACCATTCCCAGAACTAAGAAGAGTGGCTCACTGCTCTTACACTGTTTGTACAAATAATATGGTTTTTGCTGCACACCTGCTTTCCTATTGGGAGGCTGGAATTTTGGTATGTGCTGGGCAGAGTGTGCCTACATGACCAGCCCCGAGTAAACACCCTGGGCACTGAATCTCTAACGAGCCTCCCTGGTAGACAGCAGTTGGCATGTGTTTTCTCAATTTGTTGCAGAAGGAATCAAGTACATCCATGTGACTAAAGTCGGAGGGGATGCTTGGAAGGTTGGGCCTGGTTTCTTCTGGGCATCACCTCATGCACCATTGTCCTTTGCTGCTTTTGGTTCGTATCTTTTCACTGCAATAAATCATAGCTGTGACCATACTTTATTGAGTTCTGCGACTCCTAGTGGATCACGAAGCCTGGGGTGGCGGAGTCTTGGGGACCTCCGACACAGTACACAGTCTCTGTCTCTCTCTCTCTCTCTCTGTCCCACACACCCCATATCTTTCTATTCAGCTCTATGTAAGAATTCTGTACCACACAAATATGTATTAAAATGAAATAAAAAATAAAAAAGGCCTTTGCTTTATATTTGCCTAACCAAAAGCTCCATTCAATCTGCTTTTCTTTCCTTCTTTGTTTCCTTCCTTCTTTTCTTCTTTCTTTTCTCCTGTCCTTCATTCTTTCCTTTCCTTCCTTTCTGCCGGCCTGCCTTGTCTCCCTCCCTCCCCACCCTTTCTTTCCTTCTCTCTTTCTTTCCTTCACTCTCTCCCTTTCTTCCTTTGTTTCTCTGTCTCTAGTTTTCCATTTACTACGTAGAAGTTCTTACCATATGACTATGTATTTTCCAGCAAAATTGAAGAAAAAGTTAAAAAGCTATTGCCCTATATTTGCCAACTAAAAGCCCCATTCAAAATGTCTCAAGGGGAGAGAGAGAAGAAAAGCAAAAGAAACAAAGAATACAACTAACTTCACTGCCTCACTCTCTATTAAGGAGACAGAAAATTCTCATAGCTTTTAAACAACAGTGTCAGGTTTGGTGTGTTTTTCTGTTGTTCAGCTTTAACACAGCACTGTTTCAAAACCTTAAGGCTTTGTCCTAGAAGAAAATGTTCCTGTTTGAACATATAAAACAATCCAGCATATAACTAGAAATACAGGTCTGCCAATCATGGTAACACTTTTGTGACAAAACTTAAAGTTATCTTTGGCGGTGATATACATTTTTAAGAAGTTATTACATATGCAAAGATTGTAGAGAAATTACAGAGACACAATCAAACTCACTATGTAAACACTGAGTAGTTCTTGAATCAGAAAGAAAATAAAGCTATAAAAGATATTTTGGGGACAAATTGAAAAAATGTGAATACAGAATCTATATGAGATATTACAAATTATTAGTTTTTAAATGTTACTTTAAGTTCTGGGATACATGTGCAGAATGTGCAGGTTTGTTACATGGGTATACATGTGCCATCGTGGTTTACCGCACCTATCAACCCGACATCTAGGTTTTAAGCCCCACATGTATTAGGTATTTGTCCTAATGTTGTCTCTCCCCTTGCTCCCCACCCCCTGATAGGCCCGAGTGTGTGATGTTCCCCTCCCTGTGTCCATGTGTTCTTATTGTTCAACTCGCACTTATGAGTGAGAACATGCGGTGTTTGGTTTTCTGTTCCTGTGTTAGTTTGCTGAGAATGATGGTTTCCGGCTTCATCCATGTCCCTACAAAGGACATGAACTCATTCTTTTTTAAGGCTGCATAGTATTCCATGGTGTATATGTGCCACATTTTCTTTATCCAGTCTATTATTGATGGGCTTTTGGATTGGTTCCAAGTCTTTGCATTTGTGAATAGTGCTGCAATAAACATACGTGTGCATGTGTCTTTATAGTAGAATGATTTATAATCCTTTGGGTATATACCAGTAATGGGATGGCTGGGTCAAATGGTATTTCTGGTTCTAGATCCTTGAGGAATTGCCACGCTGTCTTCCTCAATGGTTGAACTAGCTTACACGCCCGCCAATAGTGTAAAAGTATTCCTATTTCTCCACATCCTTTCCAGCATCTATTGTTTCCTGACTTTTTAATGATTGCCATTCTAAATGGCGTGAGATGGTATCTCATTGTGGTTTTGATTTGCAATTCTCTAATGACCAGTGATGATGAGCTTTTTTTTCATGTTTCTTTGTTGCATAAATGTCTTCTTTTGAGAAGTGTCTGTTCATATCTTTCACTCACTTTCTGATGGGGTTGTTTGTTTTTTTCTTATAAGTTTCTTTGAGTTCTTTGTAGATTCTGGATATTAGCCGTTTGTCAGATGAGTAGATTGCAAAAATTTTCTCCCATTCTGTAGGTTGCCTGTTCACTCTGATGATAGTTTCTTTTGTTGTGCAGAAGCTCTTTAGTTTAATTAGATCCCATTTGTCAATTTTGGCTTTTGTTGCCATTGCTTTTGGTGTTTTAGTCATGAAGTCTTTGCCCACGCCTATGTCCAGAATGGTATTGCCTAAGTTTTCTTCTAGGGTTTTTATGGTTTTAGGTTTTATATTTAAGTCTTTAATCCATCTTTAGTTAATTTTTGAATAAGGTGTAAGGAAAGGGTCCAGTTTCCATTTTCTGCATACAGCTAGCCAGTTTTCCCAGCACCATTTATTAAATAGGGAATCCTTTCCCCATTGCTTGTTTTTGTCAGGTTTGTCAAAGATCAGATGGTTGTAGATGTGTCGTGTTATCTCTGAGGGCTCTGTTCTGTTCCATTGGTCTATATCTCTGTTTTGGTACCAGTATCATGCTGTTTTGGTTACTGCAGCCTTGTAGTATCGTTTGAAGTCAGGTAGTGTGTAATGCCTCCAGCTTTGCTCTTTTTGCTTAGGATTGTCTTGGCTATATGGGCTCATTTTTTATTCCATATGAAATTTAAAGTAGCTTTTTCTAATTCTGAGAAGAAAGTCAATGGTATCTTGATGGGGATGGCATTGAATCTATAAATTACTTTTGGCAGTATGTCCATTTTCACGACATTGGTTGTTCCTATCCATGAGCATGGAATGTTCTTCCATTTGTTTGTGTCCTCTCTTATTTCCTTGAGCAGTTGTTTGTAGTTCTCCTTGAAGAGGTCCTTCACGTCCCTTGTAAGTTGGATTCCTAGGTATTTTGTTCTCTTTGTAGCAATTGTGAACGGGAGTTCACTAGATTTGGCTCTCTGTTTGTCTGTTATTGGTGTATAGGAATGCTTGTGATTTTTGCACATTGATTTTGTATTCTGAGAATTTGCTGAAGTTGGTTATCAGCTTAAGGAGTTTTTGGGCTGAGATGATGGGGTTTTCTAAGTATACAATCATGTCATCTGCAAACAGAGACAATTTGACTTCCTCTCTTCCTATTTGAATATGCTTTATTTCTTTCTCTTGCCTGATTACCCTGGCCGGAACTTCCAATACTATGTTGAACCTTGTCTTGTGCCGGTTTCCAAAGGGAATGCTTCCAGCTTTTTCCCATTCCGTATGATATTGGCTATGGGTCTGCCATAAATAGCTCTTATTATTTTGAGATATGTTCCATCAATACCTAGTTTATTGAGAGTTTTTAGCATGAAGGGATGTTGAATTTTATTGAAGGCCTTTTCTGCATCTATTGAGATAATCATGTGGTTTTTGTCATTGGTTTTGTTTATGTGATGGATTACGTTTATTGATTTGCATTTGTTGAACAAGCCTTGCATCCCAAGGATGAAGCTGACTTGATTATGGTGGATAAGCTTTTTGATGTGCTGCTGGATTCAGTTTGCCAGTATTTTACTGAGGATTTTTGCATTGATGTTCATCAGGGATATTGGCCTGAAATTTTCTTTTTTTGTTGTGTCACTGCCAGGTTTTGGTATCAGGACAATGGTGGCCTCATAAAATGAGTTAGGGAGGAGTCTCTCTTTTTCTATTGTTTGGAATAGTTTCAGAAGGAATGGTACCAGCTCCTCTTTGTACCTCTGGTAGAATTCGGCTGTGAATACATCTGGTCCTGTGCTTTTTTTGGTTGGTAGGCTATTAATTACTGCCTCAACTTCAGAACTTGTTATTGATCTATTCAGGGATTTGACTTCTTCCTGGTTTAGTCTTGGGAGAGTTTGTGTGTCCATTAATTTTTCCATTTCTTCTAGATTTTCCAGTTTATTTCTGTAGAGGTATTGATTGTAGTCTCTGATGGTAGTTTGTATTTCTGTGGGATCAGTGGTGATATCCCTTTTATCATTTTTTATTGTGTCTATTTGATTCTTCTCTCTTTTCTTCTTTATTAGTCTAGCTAGTGGTCTATCTATTTTGTTAATCTTTTCAAAAATCCAGCTCCTGGATTCATTGATTTTTTGAAGGGATTTTTGTGTCTCTATCTCCTTCAGTTCTGCTCTGATCTTATTTCTTGTCTTCTGCTAGCTTTTGAATTTGTTTGCTCTTGCTTCTCTAGCTAATTGTGATGTTAGGGTGTCGATATCAGATCTTTTTAACTTTCTGATATGGGAATTTAGTGCTATAAATTTCCCTCTTAATACTGCTTTAGCTGTGTCCCAGGGATTCTGGTACATTGTATCTTTGTTCTCCTTGGTTTCAAAGAACTTATTTATTTCTGCTTTAATTTCATTATTTACCCAGTAGTCATTCAGGAGCAGGTTGTTCAGTTTCCATGTAGTTGTGCGGTGTTCAGTGAGTTTCTTAATCCTGAGTTCTAATTTGATTGCACTGTGGTCTGAGAGACTGTTTGTTGTGATTTCCATTATTTTGCATTTGCTGAGGAGTGTTTTACGTCCAATTATGTGGTCATTTTTAGAATAACTGCGATGTGCTCCTGAGAAGAATGTATATTCTGTTGATTTGGGGTGGAGAGTTCTGTAGATGTCTATTAGGTTCGCTTGGTCGAGAGCTGAATTCAAGTCCTGGATATTCTTGTTAATTTTCTGTCTCGTTGATCTGTCTAATATTGACAGTGGGGTGTTAAAGTCTCTCACTATTATTGTGTGGGAGTCTAAGTCTCTTTGTAGGTCTCTAAGAACTTGTTTTATGAATCTGTGTGCTCCTGTATTGGGTGCATATATATTTAGGACAGTTAGCTCTTCTTGTTTTATTGATCCCTTTACCATTATGTAATACCCTTCTTCGTCTATTTTCATCTTTGTTGGTTTAAAGTCTGTTTTATCAGAGACTAGGATTGCAACCCCCCCCCCTTTTTTTTCTTTCCATTTGCTTGGTAAATATTCCTCCATCACTTTCTTTTGAGCCTATGTGTGTTTTTGCACGTGAGATGGGTCTCCTGAATACAGCATACCAATAATGGGTCTTGACTCTATCCAATTTGCCTGTCCATGTCTTTTAATTGGGGCATTTAGCCTATTTACATTTAAGGTTAATATTATGTGTGAATCTGATCCTGTCATTATGATGATAGCTGGTTATTTTGCACATTAATTGATTCAGTTTCTTCATAGTGTCATTGGTCTTCATATTTTGGTGTGTTTTTGCAGTGGCTGGTACTGGTTTTTCTTTACCTATTTAGTGCTTCCTTTGGGAGCTCCTGTAAGGCAGGTCTGGTGGTGACAAAACACCTCAGCATTTGCTTTTCTGGAAAGGATTTTATTTCTTTTTTGCTTATGAAGCTTCATTTGGCTGGATATGAAATTCTGGGTTGGAAATTCTTTTCTTTATGAATGTTGAATATTAGCCCCCACTCTCTTCTGGCTTGTAGGGTTTCTGCAGAGAGATCCACTGTTAGTCTGATGGGCTTCCCTTTGTAGGTAACCTGACCTTTCTCTCTGGCTGCCCTTAATATTTTTTCTTTCTTTTCAACCTTGGAGAATCTGATGATCATGTGTCTTGGGGTTGCTCTTCTCGAGGAGTATCTTAGTGATGTTCTCTGTTTTTCCTTAATTTGAATGTTGGCCTGTCTTGCTAGGTTGGGGAAGTTCTGCTGGATAATATCCTGAAGTGTGTTTTCCAACTTGTTTCCATTATCCCTGTCACTTTTAGCTACACCAATCAATCGTAGGTTTGGTCTTTTCACATAGTCCCATATTTCTTGGAGGCTTTGATCCTTCCTTTTCATTCTTTTTCTCTAATCTTGTCTTCACGCCCTATATTTGTAAGTTGATCTTCAATCTCTGATATCCTTTCTTCTGCTTGATTGATTCACCTATTGATACTTGCGTATGCTTCACGACATTCTCGTGCTGTGTTTTTCAGCTCCATCGGGTCATTTATGTTCTTCTCTAAACTGGTTATTCTAGTTAGCAGTTCCTGTAACCTTTTATCAAGGTTCTTATCTTCCTTGCATTGGGTAGAACATGTTCCTTTAGCTCAGAGGAGTTTATTATTACCCACCTTCTGAAGCCTACTTCTGTCAATTTGTCAATCTCATTCTCCGTCCAGTTTTGTGTCCTTGCTGGAGAGGAGTTGTGATCATTTGGAAGAGAAAAGGCACTCTGCTTTTTGGAATTTTCAGCATTTTTGCACTTGTTTTTTCTCATCTTCATGGATTTATCTGCCTTTGATCTTTGATGCTGATCACCTTTGGATGGGGTTTTTGTGTGGAGGTCCTTTATGTTGATGTTGATGTTATTGCTTTCTGTTAGTTTTTCTAATAGGTCCCTCTTCTGCAGGTCTGCTGCAGTTTGCTGGAGGTCTACTCCAGACCCTGTTTGCCTGGGTATCACCAGTGGAGGCCTGCTCCTTCTCCTGGAAGCTTTGTCCCAGAGGGGCACTGGCCCGATGCCAGCTGGAGCTCTCCTGTATGAGGTGTCTGTTGACCTCTGTTGGGAGGTCTCTCCCAGTCAGGAGGCACAGGAGTCAGGGACCCACTTGAGGAGGCAGTCTGTCCCTTAGCAGAGTTCAAGTGCTGTGCTGGGGGGAATCCTCCACGTCAGGATCAGCTGCTCTTTTCAGAGCTGGCAGGCAGGAAAGTTTAAGTCTGCTGAACTACACCCACAGCTGCCTTTTCCCCCAGGTGCCCTGTCCCAGGGAGATGGAAGTTTTATCTGTAATTCCCTGACTGGGGCTGCTGCCTTTCTTTCAGAGATGCCCTGCCCAGTGAGGAGGAATCTAGAGAAGCAGTCAGGCCACAGCCGCTTTGCCATGCTGTGGTGAATTCTGCCCAGTCTGAACCTCCCAGCCTCCTTAGCACTGTCAGGGGAAAACTGCCTACTAAAGCCTTAGTAATGGTGGATGCCCCTCCCCCCACCAAGCTCGATTGTCCCAGGTCCATTTCAGACTGCTGTGCCGGCAGTGAGAATTTCAAGCCAGTGGCTCTTTGCCTGCTGGGCTCTGTAGGAGTGGGACCCACTGAGCCCGACCACTTGGCTCCCTGGCTTCAGCCCCCTCCAGGAGAGTGAAAGGTTCTGTCTTGCTGGGGTTCCAGGTGCCACTGGGGTACAAAAAATAACTCCTGCAGCTAGCTCTGTGTCTGCCCAAACAGCCACCCAGTTTTGTGCTTGAAACCCAGGGCCCTGGTGGTGTAGGCACACAAGGGAATCTCCTGATCCGCGACTGCAAAAACGATGGGAAAAACGCAGTAGCTGGGCTGGGTAGCACAGTCCCTCATGGCTTCCCTTGGCTGGGGGAGGGAGATCCCTTGGCTCCTTGTACTTTCCAGGTGAGGTGATGACCCACCTTGCTTCTGCTCACCCTCTGTGGGCTGCACCCACTGCCTAACCAGTCCCAGTGAGATGAACTTGGTACCTCAGTTGGAAATGCAGAAATCACCTGCCTTCTCCGTTGGTCTCCCTGGGAGCTGGAGACCGGAGCTGTTCCTATTCAGCCACCTTGCCAGATTGGCCAATATTACAAATTATGAATTCTCTTAGGTGTCATCCTTATTTCAGGAGATACAGGATTAAGTGTTTAGGGTTAAAATGTCGTGTTGTCTGCAACATTTTAATGATTAGGGAAATAAATACATTATATACACATACAAAAAAGTAAAACCAATGTGGCTCACTATCAACAATTGTTGAATTCAGACAGCTATATGGGCTGCATTGTGCAATTGTTTCAATTTTTCAATATATCTGAAAATTTTTTAAGTAAAAAGTTGGGAAGAAAAAAGATTTTCTTTTAAAAACTAGTATATTAATATAAATGAATTCAAGTAGAATGATATAATCAGTTATTAGAAAATCAATTACCACTCAGCTATTGAATCCACCATACTGAGTTAAGAAGAACTTAGTATCTTTTGAATAAGAAAACATAGGCTTTATTGATGCTTGACTACTAGACAAGTTGCAACTCCTAGTAAATTCAACCAGCTAGTGACTGTAATTAGATGACTGATCACGTCAATCAATTAATCTGCCTAATGATCGACCTCTGAAAATTGGCCTAATTAATTGTTCTTATTTTCATGATCACTTTCATTTTCATCATCATAAAGAGTGATCTCTTAAGTACCTAGAATGGATCCTGAGGACAACACATTCTTAACTCAAGGGGTCTGCAATATCAGTGTGGGAACTAGGAGATATGAATGAAACATAAATAACCAGGCTGAGTGTGGTGGCTTGTGTCTATAATCCCAGCACTTTGGGAGGCTGAGGTGGGTGGATCACCTGGGGTCAGGAGTTTGAGAACAGCCTAGCCAACATAGTGAAACCCCATCTCTAGTAAAAATACAAAAATAAGCTAGGTGTGGTGGTGTGCACCTGTAGTCCCAGATACTCAGGAGGCTGAGGCACGAGAATTGCTTGAATCTGGGAGGTGGAGGTTGCAGCAAGCCAAGATGACACCACTACACTCCAGTCTGGGGACAGAGCGAGACTCTGGCCCCAAACAAACAAACAAACAAACAACCATAAATAACCACGCAAGAAAGCATAATATATATGCTAAATTCATAATTTCATAATCTCTTGGGATCTTAGCATATAAAACCTGGGTGTGTCTTTATTGATCATACAGCCTCATCCCTCACTTTAAAGATAAATGGTTTATTTTTATGTAGTCAAATTTTTCAGTGTTTTCTTTAAGACTCTGGGATTGTTGCTGTTGGTTCCTTTTCCTTGTTTGTTTGGTGTTATCGTCATACTTAGCACTACTTTTCTACTTCAAGATTAGAAAAAATATTGACCTATAGTTTCTTTCATATATATATATATATATATATATAATTATACTTTAAGTTCTAGGGTACATGTGCACAACATGCAGGTTTGTTACATATGTATAGATGTGCCATGTTGGTGTGCTGCAACTCCAAAAGAGTCATGCCCATTTGAATTAATTTTGGAAATGTCTGTTTTTCTTTTTGTACTTGGTTCATAGCAACTGCCCTAGGGCACCAACCATCCAGGGAAACTTTGATGCATCTTACACTTTGGTCCTGATGAGAGGGAGGCATAAATGAGAAAAGCTCTTATTCTGCAGTTAATACAGAGCAAGCGGCTGAGTTTGAAGCAGCCATGGAGAACATTCTAGAACAGGGTTGTCTAGTCGTTTGGCTCCCTTGGGTCACATTGGAAGAAGAATTGTCTTGGGGCCACACATAAAATACACTAACAATCGCTGATGAGCTTAAAAAAAAATCTCATAATATTTAAAGAATGTTTACAAATTTGTGTTGGGCCGCATTCAAAGCTGTCCTGGGCTGCATGTGGCCCATGGGTGGTGGGTTGGACAAGTTTCCTCTAGAATCAACAAAATTCTGCAATTCCGTGTGCTAACAGAAGAGCCTTACCAGTTGTGGTGACAGGCTAGACAGCCAGGTAGAGAATTCAATAGGAGCGGAAATAACTGTCCACGAACAGCGTAGGGCCTGACAATCTGAAAGAAGCAATATTCTACCTAGTTCGAAGATCTTAAGCTTACACAGAAAGGGCGCTTACACTGATACAGAAACAAAACTATGCAGAATCCAATCAAATGATTAACTTAGGTGGGGTTTGCAGTCTTTTTGTAGAAGAAGAAAGGATTGGCCGGGCGCGGTGGCTCACGCCTGTAATCCCAGCACTTTGGGAGGCCGAGGCGGGCGGATCACGAGGTCAGGAGATCGAGACCAACCCCGCTAAAACGGTGAAACCCCGTCTCTACTAAAAATACAAAAAATTAGCCGGGCGTAGTGGCGGGCGCCTGTAGTCCCAGCTACTTGGGAGGCTGAGGCAGGAGAATGGCGTGAACCCGGGAGGCGGAGCTTGCAGTGAGCCGAGATCCCGCCACTGCACTCCAGCCTGGGCGACAGAGCAAGACTCCGTCTCAAAAAAAAAAAAAAAAAAAAAAAAAAAAAAGAAGAAGAAAGGATTGGGTATTGTATATAATTCACCTCCAAAGACCTGGGCAGCATGATTGCACCCCTGTAAAGCTATGGGTTTACCAGTAGCAGCTAGGTACATAGGTTTAGAGTAACCCATTCAGGTTCCTCAGAAGGACCTGATGAGCTCTTGGCTGAAATCACTGATTGTTCAAAACCTGCAGGATACTGAGAAGGCAAACCCCAAATTTCATGGGATAAAATGACAGTTTGTACGAGAAAAATCACCTTAGATGTCTACCTTTCCAAGTCTCAGCACCCAGTTAAAATCTCTAATTAAAAGTCATCTCAGTAACTGAGGTTGCCTTTCACTTCCCGAATGCCCAAACATTTTTCAACTCTGGGAACCTTTAAAAATGAGAACAGAAATAACCAAGACACTTAAAAACATTGTATCGATGTTTCCTGGTTAAGGCATCTGCACAAACTTGGGGTTGTATATGCTTGAATAGTTAAGAGAAATATAGCCTATTAAGACAATAGCTTGTGACTCCCAGATAAAGTATATAATTGAGTGATTGATCTTTTCAAGTTGAAATCTAAATAATTTATGTGGACACTTAGAAATTTAATAAAACAAAACTAGTTTTGTTTCACCATACTTCTTTTTCCTCTCTCAAAAAAAAATTTTTTTATACTTTAACTTCTAGGGTACATGTGCACAACGTGCAGGTTTGTTACATATGTATACATGTGCCATGTTGGTGTGCTGTACCCATTAACTCGTCATTTAACATTAGGTATATCTCCTAATGCTATCCCTCCCCCCTCCCTCCACCCCACAACAGGCCCCGGTGTGTGATGTTCCCCTTCCTGTGTCCAAGTGTTCTCATTGTTCAATTCCCACCTATGAGTGAGAACATGTGATGTTTGGTTTTTTGGCCCTGCGATAGTTTGCTGAGAATGATGGTTTCCAGCTTCATCCATGTCCCCATAAAGGACATCAACTCATCCTTTTTTATGGCTGCATAGTATTCCATGGTGTATATGTGCCACATTTTCTTAATCCAGTCTATCATTGATGGACATTTGGGTTGGTTCCAAGTCTTTGCTATTGTGAATAGTGCTGCAATAAACATACGTGTGCATATGTCTTTATAGCAGCATGATTTATAATCCTTTGGGAATATACCCAGTAATGGGATTGCTGGGTCAAATGGTATTTCTAGTTCTAGATCCTTGAGGACTCGCCACACTGTCTTCCACAATGGTTGAACTAGTTTACAGTCCCACCAACAGTGTAAAAGTGTGCCTATTTCTCCACATCCTCTCCAGCACCTGTTGTTTCCTGACTTTTTAATGATTGCCATTCTAACTGGTGTGAGATGGTATCTCATTGTGGTTTTGATTTGCATTTCTCTGATGGCCAGTGATGATGAGCATTTTTTTCATGTGTCTGTTGGCTGCATAAATGTCTTCTTTTGAGAAGTGTCTGTTCATATCCTTTGCCCACTTTCTGATGGGGTTGTTTGTTTTTTTCTTGTAAGTTTCTTTGAGTTCTTTGTAGATTCTGGATATTAGCCATTTGTCAGATGAGTAGATTGCAAAAATGTTCTCCCATTCTTTAGGTTGCCTGTTCACTCTGATGGTAGTTTCTTTTGCTGTGCAGAAGCTCTTTAGTTTAATTAGATCCCATTTGTCAATTTTGGCTTTTGTTGCCATTGCTTTTGGTGTTTTAGACATGAAGTCCTTGCCCATGCCTATGTCCTGAATGGTATTGCCTAGGTTTTCTTCTAGGGTTTTTATGGTTTTAGGTCTTACGTTTAAGTCTTTAATCCATCTTGAATTAATTTTTGTATAAGGTGTAAGGAAGGGATCCAGTTTCAGCTTTCTACATATGTCTAGCCAGCTTTCCCAGCACCATTTATTAAATAGGGAATGCTTTCCCCATTTCTTGTTTTTGTCAGGTTTGTCAAAGATCAGATGGTTGTAGATGTGTGGTATTATTTCTGAGGGCTCTGTTCTGTTCCATTGGTTTATATCTCTGTGTTGATACCAGTACCATGCTGTTTTGGTTAGTGTAGCCTTGTAGTATAGTTTGAAGTCAGGTAGCGTGATGCCTCCAGCTTTGTTCTTTTGGCTTAGGATTGACTTGGTGATGCGGGCTCTTTTTTGGTTCCATATGAACTTTAAAGTAGCTTTTTTCCAATTCTGTGAAGAAAGTCATTGGTAGCTTGATGGGGATGGCACTGAATCTATAAATTACCTTGGGCACTATGGCCATTTTCACGATATTGATTCTTCCTGTCCATGAGCATGGAATGTTCTTCCATTTGTTTGTGTCCTCTTTTATTTCGTTGAGCAGTGGTTTGTAGTTCTCCTTGAAGAGGTCCTTCACATCCCTTGTAAGTTGGATTCCTAGGTATTTTATTCTCTTTGAAGCAATTGTCAATGGGAGTTCACTCATGATTTGGCTCTTTGTCTGTTATTGGTGTGTAACAATGCTTGGGATTTTTGCACATTGATTTTGTATCCTGAGACTTTGCTGAAGTTGCTTATCAGCTTAAGGAGATTTTCGGCTGAGACAATGGGGTTTTCTAGATATAAAATCATGTCATCTGCAAACAGGGACAATTTGACTTCCTCTTTTCCTAATTGAATACCCTTTATTTCTTTCTGCTGCCTGATTGCCCTGGCCAGAACTTCCAACACTATGTTGAATAGGAGTGGTGAGAGAGGGCATCCCTGTCTTGTGCCGGTTTTCAAAGGGAATGCTTCCAGTTTTTGCCCATTCAGTATGATACTGGCTGTGGGTTTGTCATAGTAGCTCTTATTATTTTGAGATACGTCCCATCAATACCTAATTTATTGAGAGTTTTTAGCATGAAGGGCTGTTGAATTTTGTCAAAGGCCTTTTCTGCATCTATTGAGATAATCATGTGGTTTTTGTCTTTGGTTCTGTTTATATGTTGGATTACGTTTACTGATTTGCGTACGTTGAACCAGTCTTGCATCCCAGGGATGGAGCCCACTTGATCATGGTGGATAAGCTTTTTGATGTGCTGCTGGATTCGGTTTGCCAGTATTTTATTGAGGATTTTTGCATCGACGTTCATCAGGGATATTGGTCTACAATTCTCTTTTTTTCTTGTGTCTCTGCCAGGCTTTGGTATCAGGATGATGCTGGCCTCATAAAATGAGTTAGGGAGGATTCCCTCTTTTTCTATTGATTGGAATAGTTTCAGAAGGAATGGTGCCAGCTCCTCCTTGTACCTCTGGTAGAATTCGGCTGTGAATCCGTCTCGTCCTGGGCTTTTTTTGGTTGGTAAGCTATTATTGCCTCAATTTCAGAGCCTGTTATTGGTCTATTCAGAGATTCAACTTCTTCCTGGTTTAGTCTTGGGAGGGTGTATGTGTCGAGGAATTTATCCATTTCTTCTAGATTTTCTAGTTTATTTGCGTAGAGGTGTTGATAGTATTCTCTGATGGTAGTTTGTATTTCTGTGGGATCGGTGGTGATATCCCCTTTATCATTTCTTATTGCGTCTATTTGATTCTTCTCTCTTTTCTTCTTTATTAGTCTTGCTAGTGGTCTATCAATTTTGTTGATCTTTCCAAAAAACCAGCTCCTAGATTCACTGATTTTTTGAAGGGTTTTTTGCGTCTCTATCTCCTTCAGTTCTGCTCTGATCTTAGTTATTTCTTGCCTTCTGCTAGCTTTTGAATGTGTTTGCTCTTGCTTCTCTAGTTCATTTAATTGTGATGTTAGGGTGTCAATTTTAGATCTTTCCTGCTTTCGCTTGTGGGCATTTAGTGCTATAAATTTCCCTCTACACACTGCTTTAAATGTGTCCCGGAGATTCTGGTACGTTGTGTCTTTGTTCTCGTTGGTTTCAAAGAACATCTTTATTTCTGCCTTCATTTCGTTATGTACCCAGTAGTCATTCAGGAGCAGGTTGTTCAGTTTCCATGTAGTTGAGCAGTTTTGAGTGAGTTTCTTAATCCTGAGTTCTAGTTTGATTGCACTGTGGTCTGAGAGACAGTTTGTTATAATTTCTGTTCTTTTACATTTGCCGAGGAGTGCTTTACTTCCAACTATGTGGTCAATTTTGGAATAGGTGCTGTGTGGTGCTGAGAAGAATGTATATTCTGTTGATTTGGGGTGGAGAGTTCTGTAGATGTCTATCAGGTCCGCTTGGTGCAGAGCTGAGTTCAATTCCTGGATATCCTTGTTAACTTTCTGTCCTGTTGATCTGTCTAATGTTGACAGTGGGGTGTTAAAGTCTCCCATTATTATTGTGTGGGAGTCTAAGTCTGTTTGTAGGTCTCTAAGGACTTGCTTTATGAATCTGTGTGCTCCTGTATTGGGTGCATATATATTTAGGATAGTTAGCTCTTCTTGTTGAATTGATCCCTTTATCATTATGTAATGGCCTTCTTTGTCTCTTTTGATCTTTGTTGGTTTAAAGTCTGTTTTATCCGAGACTAGGATTGCAACCCCTGCCTTTTTTTGCTTTCCATTTTCTTGGTAGATCTTCCTCCACTCTTTTATTTTGAGCCTATGCATGTCTCTGCATGTGAGATGGGTTTCCTGAATACAACACACTGATGGGTCTTGACTCTTTATCCAATTTGCCAGTCTGTGTCTTTTAATTGGGGCATTTAGCCCATTTACATTTAAGGTTAATATTGTTATGTGTGAATTTGATCCTGTCATTAGGATGTTAGCTGGTTATTTTGCTCGTTAGTTGATGCAGTTTCTTCCTGGCGTCAATGGTCTTTACAATTTGGTATGTTTTTGCAGTGGCTTGTACCGGCTGTTCCTTTCCATGTTTAGTGCTTCCTTCAGGAGCTCTTGTAGGGCAGGCCTGGTGGTGACAAAATCTCTCAGCATTTGCTTGTCTGTAAAGGATTTTATTTCTTCTTCACTTATGAATGTTAGTTTGGCTGGATATGAAATTCTGGGTTGAAAATTCTTTTCTTTAAGAATGTTGAATATTGGCCCCCACTCTCTTCTGGCTTATAGAGTTTCTGCCGAGTGATCAGCTGTCAGTCTGATGGGCTTCCCTTGTGGGTAACCCAACCTTTCTCTCTGGCTGCCCTTAACATTTTTTCCTTCATTTCAACTTTGGTGAATCTGACAATTATGTGTCTTGGAGTTGCTCTTCTCGAGGAGTATCTTTGTGGCGTTCTCTGTATTTCCTGAATATGAATGTTGGCCTGCCTTGCTAGGTTGGGGAAGTTGTCCTGGATAATATCCAGAAGAGTGTTTTCCAACTTGGTTCCATTCTCCCCGTCACTTTCAGGTACACCAATCAGATGCAGATTTGGTCTTTTCACATAGTCCCATATTTCTTGGAGGCTTTGTTTCTTTCTTTTTATTCTTTTTTCTCTAAACTTCTCTTCTCGCTTCATTTCATTCATTTGATCGTCAATCACTGATACTCTTTCTTCCAGTTGATCGAATCAGCTACTGAAGCTTGTGCATTCATCACATAGTTCTCGTGCCATGGTTTTCAGCTCCATCGGGTCCTTTAAGGACTTCTCTGCATTGGTTATTCTAGTTAGCCATTCGTCTAATTTTTTTTCAAGGTTTTTAACTTCTTTGTGATGAGTTTGAACTTCCTCCTTTAGCTCGGAGAAGTTTGATCGTCTGAAGCCTTCTTCTCTCAACTCGTCAAAGTCATTCTCCATCCAGCTTTGTTCCGTTGCTGGTGAGGGGCTGCATTCCTTTGGAGGAGGAGAAGCACTCTGATTTTTAGAATTTTCAGTTTTTCTGTTCTGTTTTTTCCCCATCTTTGTGGTTTTATCTACCTTTGGTCTTTGATGATGGTGACATATAGATGGGGTTTTGGTGTGGATGTCCTTTCTGTTTGTTAGTTTTCCTTTTAACACTCCGGACCCTCAGCTGCAGGTCTGTTGCAGTTTGCTGGAGGTACACTCCAGATCCTGTTTGCCTGGGTATCAGCAGCGGAGGCTGCAGAACAGCGAATATTGCTGAACAGCAAATGTTGCTGTCTGATTGTTCCTCTGGAGGTTTCTTCTCAGAGGGGTACCCGGCCATGTGAGGTGGCAGTCTGCCCCTACTGGGGGATACCTCCCAGATAGGCTACTCGGGGGTCAGGGACCCACTTGAGGAGGCAATCTGTCCATTCTCAGATCTCCAGCTGTGTGCTGGGAGAACCACTACTCTCTTCAAAGCTGTCAGACAGGGACATTTAAGTCTGCAGAGGTTTCTGCTGCCTTTTGTTCAGCTATGCCCTGCCCCCAGAGGTGGAGTCTACAGAGGCAGGCAGCCCTCCTTGAGCTGTGGTGGGCTGCACCCAGTTCAAGCTTCCTGGCCACTTTGTTTACCTACTCAAGCCTCAGCAATGACAGGCGCCCATTCCCCAGCCTCGCTGCTGCCTTGCAGTTCAATCTCAGATTGCTGTTCTAGCAATAAGTGAGGCTCCATGGGCGTGGGACCCTCCGAGCCAGGCGCGGGATATAATCTCCTGGTGTGCCATTTGCTAAGACCATTGGAAAAGCACAGTATTAGGGTGGGAGTGACCCGATTTTCCAGGTGCTGTGTGTCACAGCTTTGCTTGGCTATGAAAGGGAATTCCCTGACCCCTTGTGCTTCCCAGGTGAGGCAATGCCTCGCCCTGCTTTGGCTCATGCTCGGTGTGCTGCACCCACTGTCCTGCGCCCACTGTCTGACAAGCCCCAGTGAGATGAACCCAGTACCTCAGTTGGAAATGCAGAAATCACCCATCTTCTGCATTGCTCACGCTGGGAGCTGTAGACTGGAGCTGTTCCTATTCAGCCATCTTGGAACCACCCTACAGTTTCTTTCAATACTTTTCATGTTCAATGTCTTACACTTAAATTTTTCAACTACATGAAATTTATTTTGATATAAGAAATGAGGTTGGGCCAGGCGCAGTGGCTCACACCTGTTATCCCAAAACTTTGGGAGGCTGAAGTGGGCGAATCATGAGATCAGGAGTTCAAAACCAGCCTGGCCAATATAGTGAAACCCCACCTCTACAGAAAATACAAAAAATTAGCCGAGCGTGGTGGCGGGTGCCTGTAATCCCAGCTACTCGGGAGGCTGAGGCAGGAGAATCGCTTGAACCTGGGAGGTGGAGGTTGCAGTGAGCAGAGATTGCGCCACTGCACTCCAGCCTGGGTGACAGAGTGAGACTACATCTCAAAAAATAAATAAAAAGACAAATGAGGTTGGACAATAGCTTGATTTTTTAAAAACTCCAAGCCAGTTGCCCAATAATCCATTTTGCCATTGATGTGACTTGAAACTAAACACCCATATGTGCTTTTACTTAATTCTGCTCACTTCTCAGTTTCACTGATGCACTGGTACTATGCCATTGGAGGCAATACAGCATTCTAATGCATTTACAGATATGGAAGAGAAATCCTCCCCTTTTATTTTCATTCAGAAATTGCCTGGCTATTCTCACATGTGGTCTTACCCCAGTCAGACCCAACACCTCACTTTTATAACAAATATTTGGTAATGCACCCTTTGTTATATGAAAGGAGATATTTGTGGATAATGTAACCCCAGTCTTCATGATAAACAAAAAGGCCCAGCTGATTTCCAAAATGCACCCCAGTTTAGAATCAGTCTGGCAAGTATCACATGAAATCCTATTGGTATTTGATTGGGATCACACAGCATTTGCAAATCAATTTAAGCAACATTTCTATTTTTACAATATTGTGGCCTCTAGCCCCAATAACAATTATTTCTCTTCATTTACTTATATCTTTGTGTCTGGGCAGGGTCCTGCCAGGAAACAGACGGCATGTTAAAGTGAGAAACTGATGAGTTCAGCAAAGTGACTATTTATATATTTGGACAGGATTTAAGGAAGTAAGAAAGGATGATGCAACACTTCAGAGGGGAGTCTTTCCGACCTCAGGCTGAAGGAGAAGGAACGATTACTGGAATTCAGGGAGGAGAGCATCACCAAACAAGAGCTTCATTAGAGGACTGCAGCCAACGCAGGGCCAGGCGGAGGGAGCCAGAGGGAGGCAGGCTCTGCTCTCCCTCTTCCTGCCCTTCAGTTTCCAACCACGGCCTCCTATTGGCCAAACCCAACCAGAAGCCAGCGAGCAAGGGGCTACTGATGAAGCACATATAGCTCAGCCTCCAGAGACACAGAACAGGATAAAAGGCTGAGACAGTGGGTCTGGTGGGGCAAAGAGAAAGCTTGCACCTGCCAGGTAAAGCATTATAGTCCCCATCCTCCCCCCACCACCTTAGTTCTTGTGCATTTCCCATCAGTTTTCTTCCAAAGCATTTCAGATCTCACTGATTTGAATGGGACCTCTTCTTCTATTACCAATTTGGATCAGTAATTATTTATGTATGAGAAAACTATTGATTTTTACATATCGTTGCATAGCAGAGTGGTTTAATAAGGAGACATTTGGTTTTTACTGCCTGTGTGGGTATCACTTGCTATGTGACTTGAGGCAAATCCAATATTTCTTCTGTTATAAATTCCAGTATTTGTAAAAAATGGGTAATAAGATCTCTATTTTATATAGTTTTAGTATTTAATGAGATAATACATATAAAGTCATTAAAACAGTGTCTGGCTCATAAAAAACCCTCAATAAATGTCACTTATTACTGTATCTGGTTTTTGAGCTGCTCTATTGCACCATTGAGTTTTCAGCCCAGTATATGTTAACCCTGATCATTATCTGCAGAAGTCCCCGTGCCACACTCTACATCATCCAAATTCTCTCCAGGTGGACTAAGTAGATTAAAGAACTTTAAACATAACTACCATATTTTGGCTCTATCTACAAAATGTCCAATAATCAGTTAAGAAAGGAACAATTCTCTTGGGGCCCACACTTTGAGAAGCAAATGCAGCTGAACTTTTTTAGAGGAAAGTGAGTGAACCAACTGGTAGCTTTGCCACTGCTTAAAAACCAGCATCCTTTCCAGCTGGGTCTAAGACAGAATAAGGTAAATTTAGATATGTCTCTAATATATCTATAGAACAGTGGTTCTCAACCCGGGGTGTTTTTGCCCCTTAGGGGATAATTTGCAATGTCTGGAGACATCTGTGATTGTCATAACTGGAAGGGGGCAGTGCTATTGGCATCTAGTGGGTATAGAGCAAGGGTGCTACCAAATATCCTATGGTGCAACAGAGAATTATCTGGTCAAAAATGTAAATAGTGCTGAGGGTGAGAAACCCTGCTATAAAAACGAAAGAAATTTGGTCTACAGAGTTGTTTGGATTTAGACAAGACGTTGCCCCAATAGTGGTGATAGAAATAAGAGGAACCCCGTGCTTTTGCAAAGCCCATATCTGGGGTGGCTTAAATAATCATGCTCCTCCCCATCCCCCGACCTGATCTTTGTAGTTGGAAACTCCAGGGCTGGCTGCCTGTAGTCTTTGTGACTACACTTCCTGCCTCCCATCACTTCATCTCAGAAGACTCCAGATATAGGATCACTCCATGCCATCAAGAAAGGTATTTTAAACATTGGAACACATATAGATAATTTAAGTAGGTAGATGTATGTGCTGTTATAAGGAAGTGGGGAGGAGAGAAGAGGGAACCGAAATCATATGCACAAAAATTTTTTTTAGAATATAAATAAAAAATGTGGTAGTCTAAAATGTCAATTCTTCAAAGATAAAGTTAGGCTTTCAGTAACGTTAGAAATGGTTTTCTGGAATATGTCTCCAGTCTACCTAACTTTGAGGAAGTAAATACTGTAAATAGATGTTTCAAACGCATTTTAAAGCAATGATCCTAGCATGTCTTTAAGCTACAGTATTGTGCTGTCTTTGAAATGTAAACTTTGATGTCTTCTCTTTCTCTTAGTTGATGCTATTGGGCCCATCTCAAGCTGATCTTGGCACCTCTCATGCTCTGCTCTCTTCAACCAGACCTCTACATTCCATTTTGGAAGAAGACTAAAAATGGTAAGAACAGCTCAGAGAACCTTAAAAAGTGTTATCTGTAATCTTTGTGGAAACAACTGAAACCAGCTGGCAAGAGCAATATTGAAGAATCTGTACTTAGGTTATTTGCTGGGGGAAAGTGCTTCCTGATATTTCACAATTGGCATTAATGAAGGGGGCATGTCACAATTTCAGATTAATCAACGCTTGCTCTGTTCAACTTCCTACAAGAATTAAATATGTGCTGTGGGGAGGAGGAGCAGATGTTTGAATTGGGGACATAGCTTCTATGTATCTCATTTCTTCAGCCTACAATTTTGGCTTTAAAGCCATAACAAATCACTGAATTACTGAAGTTACTTTGTGCTTTTTCCAGCATATGGTGTTGTCTTAATGACTGTGTGGATGAAAGTGTGTGGGCAGGCTCATAGCAATAAAATACGGGAAATCCCCGGGCTTGAGTGCTGTCAAAGAAAACTAAATTTGGACAGTAGATAAAGATACTATCAGGACTATTGCAATCGGCAGAAAGAGACCTCAGTATAGAAAGGGGCTCAATTCCAAATACAGCCAAAGACCAGTAAAGATTTCTGGCCAAGGAGTAGAGTGGGGGTCAGTGGATGGAAAATTACTAAGAGGAAACATCAAGGGTAAAAGGATTCTGGCTAAACCGACCTGACAGGATTCTTGCTGAAGACAGGCCAGGGTGATCAGACCTCACCTGTGGATGGTGGGAGATGAGGAATTTGATCAGATATTGAGGGTGATCACATACCAAGAGGAGTGGATTATCAATAAAATGACTTAGCAGGATTCCTGCTTGAACTGGGCAATGCAAAGATGGACATGAAGCCAAAGGCCGAAGCCTAGGGGTGTAGTAGAGCCTGATTAAGTTGAATTAAGGAGAGTCTTTGTCAGCGCTGGCTCTCCCAGTCACTAGTTGGGGGGGCCTTGTGCCTGTCATCAAAGTCCTCTGAAACTCAATTTCTCTGACTATGAAATAGGCATTAGAATCCCTCCCCTGTTGCCTTCCAGGGCCACTGTGAGGCTCAAATAATAGACTATTTTTCAAGTCCTTTGCAAGTGGTATGATGCAAGTGTGAGTTATTAGGTATGCCAAAACTTAGTCGGAAAAAGACGTCAAGGGCCTTTTTCTGAAATTATTTTGTCACTTAAATCAGACACATTCTAGATCCGAATGTTAGCTCCTAGGCTCATTTTGTGTCAAAGTTCTAATGAAGCATTAACCATGGGGCTATTGTTACAAAGGAAACAACTGCTTACGGTTTCATTTCCTAGAAACCCAGATGTCTATTTTAATGCAAACCTATGCCCACATCTGTCTTTGCCCCTTGATGGGTGGCATAATGGGAATGATAGTAATACAGAGAGCTCACATTTCTTGACCACTCAACTATCATGCTGAGGGCTAGATAGACATGATTCTATTTTGGCCTCAAAGTAGCCCTATAAGGTAGAGATAACGAAACTGGGGCTTTGAGAGGTTAAGGAGCTTGGGTGGCTCTGAAAGCTGTGCTGAAGACTCTTCTGTTCTTCCTAGACCAAGCCCAGCACACACGCAATAAAGATGAGGTTGGATATGATGGCTTCCTACTCAAGTACAAAGGGGAAATAGTATATCTTTTCTAAGAAAAGACGTGAAAATAATTTTCAATATAAGAAATTCAAAAGGCAAAAAAGCACAGGGAAAATATTCAACTGTATTGAGTCATATGGCAGATCCTTTGATCTAGAGATTACACTTTTAGAAACTCTTCTTAAAGAAGTGACCATGAGACTGGATAAAAAAATGTGGCACATATACACCATGGAATACTATGCAGCCATAAAAAGGAATGAGATCATGTCCTTTGCAGGGACATTGATGAAGCTGGAAGCCATTATCCTCAGCAAACTAACACAGGAACAAAAAACCAAACACCGCATGTTCTCACTTATAAGTGGGAGCTGAACAGTGAGAACACATGGACACAGGGAGGGGAACAACACTCACTGAGGCCTGTAGGAGGAGGGTGGGGCAGGAGAGAGCATTAGGGTAAAAAGCTAATGCATGCTGGGCTTAATACCTAGGTGATGGGTTGATCTGTGCAGCAAACCACCATGGCACGTTTAACTATGTAACAAACCTGCACATCCTGCACATGTACCCCAGAACTTAAAAAAACAAGCAATAAAATAATTTTAAAAAAACAAAAGAAGTGATCGTGGACATGGAAAACTATTTACCAAGATGGTCAGTGCAGCCAGGCAAAAAAAAAAAAAAAAAAAAAATCATGTCCCATGTTGGGAAGGGGTGAATTAATTGTAGTAGACTCATTAAATGGAATATTATGTAATCATCAAATCATGTTTTTTAAAATAATACTGAATGACCTAAGAAAGCACTCATGGTATAATGTTAAATGAAAAAAGCAAGCTAGAAATGGATAAGTACCGTGTATTCCTCATGTTTTTACTGCACCTGCTAGGCAAATACTAGATGCTCACTAAATGTTGGATAATCTGTGATGATGGTTTACATAAACACATGTGTTGCATATTCTAATTTCATTCAACATCCCTACTTTATAACCATTTTACAGTTGGCAAATCAGAGGCTCATGAGGTCAAGTGATTTATGAAAGTCAGAGAGCTCTTACATGACAGAACAAGGACTTAAAACCAAATTTTTGTACTGACAAAGCCTTGGCTGTTACTAGAATGCTTCTCACCATGTGAAATAGATGCAGGGATGGGAAATTACTATTAGAAGGGACCATCTCCCAAAATGTCAATAGTGGTTCAGCAAATTTAAAAGTAAAAATATTATTCTGCTCTTAACCTATAGGAAATTTCTTTATGGCTAAAAAAAGGTTATTAAGTAATCAATTTATTAAATTAATACAATCTGATTATTTAAAAATTTGGAACGCTGTACTAAAATTAAAAATCATCATTACAGATTAACCAGCCAGTACCTCTGCACCCCAAGAATAAATAATGTATATCCCCGAAACTCACCGAAGTTTAGGGCTGGGGTTGGCAAACTATGGCCCATGGGCTATATCCCACCTGCTGTACAGCTCATGAGCTAAGGGGTTTTTTTTTAATTGTTGTTTTTAAAAGACTGAAAAATATCAGAGCAAAATTACTATTTTGTGACATATAAAAGTTACATTCAAGTTTCAGTGTTTACAAATGGTTTTATTGTTTGAGTATTTGTTTACTTATTGTTGATAAGTGCTTTTGCACTACGATGGCAAACTATTCAAGGAGTTGGGTAGTGTGACAGAGAACCTGATGGCCTGCAAAGATTAAACCATTTACTAACTGGCCCTTTACAGAAAAAGTACGTCAGGCCGGGGCTTATAGAAAACAAAGGGATAAGGTATAAGGTCAAATAGGTTTGAGAGCCCTATGGTCTTTGGTGACTGTTGTGATGCATAATAGCTGTTGAGTTCCTAATTTATGTAAGACAACTTTATATCCTTTTATTCTTTTAGTTTGAAAACTAAGTCTGTTGGGCTAAAATGATAGGAAGTAAATGATAACTCTCTCCTTTTTTTAAAAAAAAGCAAGTGGTTTACAACCTTGTACTTAAACGTTTTGGTGACATAATGAAACTGATATTCATGGTATTTGTACTTTACAGAGATTAAACTAAAATTAAAAATATTTCAAAATTCACAAATAGGGGATATTTGTTAATAAATCTATTTGGGAAATTCCTAGCAGAGGCTCAGTCTATAAAATGAATAGCATTTCAGCAACTTCCCTTATTCACAGTGCTTGGTTATTCTCTAGGGAGACATACACAACACATCTCTAGTTACCAAACAATTCAGTGTGATATAAACATGGCAAAAAGTCAATGAATTTGAGGGCAAGGTTTCCAGCAATCGCCCCGGCCATTGCTTACTTCTTCCATGCCCTTTCTAAGTTTTCTTCAGCCAGGCAGCCATCCCCTCTGGTTTCTCCCAGACCCCCGCTGCAGGCTCCCCGCCATCACAGAAAGCCCCTCGCTCACACGTCTTGGCTCAAGCAACTCTTTGTCTTAGAAATGCAGATCCCAACATTTCCTTTTAAACTCAGGCAACTTGGCTTTTTTCTGCTCTGTGATCTTGAAAGTCGCTTGGAGGAACAGCTGAGTGCATGGGGCTGTTGTCCTCTCAGGGCTAACATGTTGTAGCCCAGGGGGTGCCCAGGGGCCTTTCTGACTGGTTGGTTAGTTGGGTAAAAGAGTAGAGTCAGGAGAGCAGGAAATCCTTTCTTAACTCACTATAAAAATAAAAGCGTTCCCCAGGCCTCAAATAGTCTCATCTCAAGATAAATTTCCTTTTGCCAAGATTGCTGCTGAAAATAATCCATTGTAGCCAGATAATAGCTATGCAAAGAATATATAATAGACTGGCAGGGGCATGCCTACCGATTCAATACAGAAAGGTGAGGGTTTCATTTGCTGGGGTGTAGTGGGTGGGAGAATTCCTTATTGCAATCACACTCTACTTCTCCATCCAGAAAACTCTCCAACCCTCCTGGAGGACTCTCCATTTTCTCCTCTTTCTCCTCCTTGTGTACCTACCTAGACCATCTGCTCCCATATGTCCTGTCTGACTTCCTGTTCCAGTTACCTATCACTGCGTAAGAGATCACCTCAAAATGCAATGGCTTCAAACAACAACAATCATATACTGCTTTCTATCATGGGTCCAGGAGTTGACTGGACTCATTAGGCAGCTCTCCCACAGGGTCTCTCTTGGGGTGGCAGTCAGGCGGTGACTGCGACTGGAATCACCTGAAGACTCACTCTCCAGGTCTGATGCCTGGGCTAGGAGACTCAACAGCTAGGTGCCGAAGCAGCTGCAGCTCCTCAAGTGTCTCTGTCTCCATGTGGTCTCTCTAATATGGTGGTTGTCGTATAGCCAGGCTTCTTACAAGGGTGATGACTCAGGACTCCAAAGCAAGTGGGTGAGAGAAAGGGAGAGAGGGAGAAACAGGGAGAGAGAGAGAGAAAGTGTGTGTGTGCCAGTACGCGCGAGGTGAAAGCTGTATTGCCTGTGAACTACCCACCATGTCTTTCGTCCTCTTGACAGGAAACCTCCTAGAAATGTTTGCTGTCTCCAAATCCCTCTCCTTACGTTCTTCCAAGAACTTTGAAGTCATATTTTATGTAGCTACTCCTTCAAAACATATCTGGTGTTCGGCCAGTTCTTACGCCCTCCAGCACTGCTACCTGGGACTTCTGCTTGAATGACTGTAATAGCCTCTCAACTAGTCTCCCTGCTTTCACCCTTGCCCCTCACTGTCTATTCTCAACACAGCAGCCAGCAGCATCCTTCTCAAATGTAAGTCAGACCAACTGATTGTCAGCTCAAAAATTTGCAATGCATCTGCATTCCACCCAGAGCAGAGACCGCCATCCATGGAATGGTAGAGAAAGCCCAACATGCTCAGGGACACTCCCTCTCTGACTTCATCTCCTATTGTTCTCCTACACCCCCTGCTTCAGCAATATTGGCCCCGTTGCCATTTTTGTGAATATTCTAGCATGTTTTCACCTTGGGGCCTTTGCTCCAGGCTAATCCATCTGTCTGGAATGCATTTCCCCTGGATGTCTGTTATGGATGACTTTGTCCTTTCCTTGAGGTCTTTGTTTAGATATCAACTTCTTAATGATGCCTATCCAAGCTGCCCTATTTATCGTCACAATCCTACCCCACATTCCTGATCCTTTTCACTCTGCCCTGTTTTCTTTTTCAGTAACACTTATCACTTGACATGCAATATCATTTCTGACAGTTATATATTTTTGTGATTATTTAGAGAACATAAGCTATAGTTGAGTGGAAATCTTTTCTATTTTGTCCACTGATGTCCCAAACACCTAGAGAAGTACCTGGCATGTTGCAGGCATCAATAAATACTTGTTGAATTTTTCCTTTTTCACAATTTCCTTCTACGTTGTTATGATGAGATCTTATTTCCTCTGTAATTTGATTTTAAAAGTTTTAATAAAAAACAATACATATTATTTATGATAAAAAGTCAAAGAGTAGAGAAGGGTATAACATAAAAATAGAAGTCCCCCTCTTCCCAGGGAAGGCCCCTTTATACCACTGCCCAGAAGAAATTGCTATTAAAGGTTTCTTGTGTATTCTTTCCTACTTTTCTCTGCAAATACAAATATATGCATATATATTTATCATAAATGCATTATATGTTATATGTTATTTTAATGCTGCTTTAAAAATCCCCTTTATTTTTTGTAACTTAGTAGTAGATCATGCATAGCTTTTTATGTCGATACCCACAGCTCTACCACATTCTTTTTAAGGGACATTTGATATTTTACTATTGGTAGTTTCCCATTTTTAACCATTCTCTCAAATCAATGGATTGTCATGTAATTCTTCCTATTCTTACTATTTCAGAAAGCTGAATCAAACTAGCAAAATAGTTTTATCTAAAGACATATAAGGCCGGGCGTAGTGGCTCTTGCCTGTAATCCCAGCACTTTGGGAGGCTGAGGCAGGCAGACCACCTGAAGTCAGGAGTTTGAGACCAGCCTGGCCAACATGGTGAAACCCCGTCTCTGCTAAAAATACAAAAATTAGCTGGGAGTGGTGGCGGCTGTCTGTAATCCCAGATACTCAGGAGGCTGAGGCAGGAGAATCACTTGAACCGGGTAGGCAGAGGTTGCGGTGATCCAAGATCGGGCCAGTGTACTCCAGCCTGGGCGACAGAGTGAGACTCTGTCTCAAAATAAATAAATAAATAAATAATAAAGACATATAATGCTTACTTTAAAGAAAAACAAAACAAAACATGTACTAGTTATTTTTTTCCTCCCTCTGTGGAATTCTTAGAAGGTTTATGGTAGTTTGAAGCTTTGCATGGACCATTTTGAAACAGCAGCAGCCTGAGGTTCCAGGGGGTTATGAAGACTCCCAGCTGAGGACAGACCCTGGCAGATAAGTTTCAGGGGGCTCTACACCAACCATTAGAGTCATAGAATAAGCACAATAGAAAAGGACCATTAAGGTCAGTTAGCCAAACTCCAGAGTTTGTTGATGAGAAAGTCAAGGTTCAGGATAATTCAGTTGGTAGCCCTGTAGCAGACAGAGAGACTGAAAACAAATCTGACTTTCAGTTCACGTGGTGCTAACCCCTAGAATAAATAAACACGAGGAGAAATCAGACTAATCCCAGTCTTCTTCTAACTTGTCACAAGACACAAACCACTTACCTTCACTTCCTCATTTTTTCCATCTAATAGTTCCCAGTTATATACATGTCCTTCTCACTCCTCTGATTGCAACCAGACATCTCTTACAAGTTTACAAAGTTTTGAAGATAAAAACGCTATTTGGAAAGCGTAAAGTTAAAAACAGCTTGGTAAATGTTTTTTTTTTTTTCTATTAGTAATTCGATCTCTACAACTGTAAATATTGTGGTAGGAATCTAATACAGATCTAAAATCAGTAAAATTCAATCTTGAATATGGGCTTCAGTCCTGCCATCAAAATAGTGCATCCAGGTGGATAGGTTTTGCCACCTTGAAGAGTTGTTTATTCAAACTTTTGTTTGAAGAGTAGGAAAGCAGTGTTACCTTTAGGCCTGACTTAGCCCTTGCCCCACAATCTATTGTTTTTTCTCACCATAGATTTCCCTGACAGCAGAGAGAGAGTTCTGTGCTCAAGAGATACACACAGCTTCTGACAATAGAGCAGCAGAGTATTTGGTTCCTAATTGAGCAGGAATGGTGTTTGACTCATCATCATTTCCCTACTTTGTCTAGCACAGTACCTTGCACAGAGTAGATTCTCAATAATGTTTGTTGAATGACTGTGGGAGCATATAATTCATAATGGAGACAAAGCTCAATGAGGCTTTAAATTTCTAAATCCACAAAATGCCCTCATGTAACATTGCTGGATGATATGGTTTAGCTGTGTCCCCACCTAAATCTCACCTTGAATTGTAGCTCCCATAATCCCCACGTGTTGTGGGAGGGACCCAGTGGGAGGTAATTGAATCATGGGGGCGGGTTTTTCCCATGCTGTTCTCATGATAGTGGATAAGTCTCACAAGATCTGATGGTTTCATAAACGGCAGTTCCCCTGCACATGCTCTCTTGCCTGACGCCATGTAAGACGTAATTTTGCTCCTCCTTCACCTTCCACCATGATTGTGAGGCCTCCTCAGTCATGTGGAACTGTGAGTCCATTAAATCTCTTTTTCTTTATAAATTACCCAAACTCGGATATGTTTTTATTAGCAGCATGAGAACAGACTAATACAATGGACATTGGATGCAATTCATTTAAAAAATCATCTTAAAAATATCTTTCTTTTTTCTCCCTCAAGTTGGTCCCACTCAAAACATAAACACACCATTTTTTTTTTTTTTTGTCTTGAGACAGAGTCTTGCTCTGTCACCCAGGCTGGAGTGCAGTGGTATGATCGTGGCTTACTGCAACCTCTGCCTCCCGAGTTCAAGCAATTCTCCTGCGTCAGCCTCCTGAGTAGCTGGGATTACAGGTGCATGCCACCATGCCCGGCTAATTTTGTATTTTTAGTAGAAATAGGGTTTCACCATGTTGGCCATGCTGGTCTCAAACTCCTCACCTCAGGTGATCCTCCCGCCTTGGACTCCCAAAGTGCTGGGATTTCATGTGTGAGCCAGTGTGCCCAGCCACCATTTTTTAATACTTGTAAATTTTTCCTATAAAAACAAACCAATTTCTCTATGCCCCAAAACCGCTAAGTAGCACAAAATAGAAACATTAGAGTACCAAGAATACTTGAACTGAAAAGGAAATTAATCAAAATGCAGACACACATTATACCAAGTGCATTTGCTGTAGCTGTGTAAGGCAACTTGAATAGAATTGGTCAACAATGAGTCTGAATCTTGGTTTGAAATTGCCTGTCTGATCTCTGCTTCCTCATCAGTAAAATGAGAATATTTATATGGCCTTTCAACTTCAGTGTGAGGGATCAATGATGTAATATAAACAACAAGTCTGCCTTAGAACCTGGCACACCATAAGTAATAAAAGGCAGCCAATATTTTAAAAAATACACAAATCATGGTCTGATGGCTGTCCAATATAAATTCTCTATTTTCCATTTTAACTAAAGAGACGATATATTGAGAAAATAGAAACACCTGTGTGTATGAAATCACCCATTCCCATTTTTACAATAATTAGTTTGCTAATTGAGCATCCAAATTTACCCAGTGTATTTGCATGTGTAATTAGCTGTGATTCAATACCAAAGCCAGGCCTATCATGGTATACTATGCTATTTTACAAGTCAAATTACTGAAAGATGCATGTCTTTAGGCAATCATTACAAATAAAAAAAAAAAAACCGAAGCAAAACAAAATAACATAGATTATTTGTATCAGATGGACAAAACAGACCTGGCTTGATGCCGAACCCTTAAATCTCAAAATAACGATAGTTGAAGCTAAGGTTCCAGCTTAAGTCTGAAGCAGGTAGTTTCCAATGGCTTGAAAGGAGAAATTTCTACACTGAAGGAAATTTCCATTGGAATAAAGGAATATTTCACACTTTTAAGTCATCTTCTCTAGATGGTCTTTTGGGTATACTTTCTCTTTAAATAACAGATTTAGAAGCACTTTGTTCATTTGTTTAGAATTAATTCCATTCACAAGTTTAACACAGCCTAAGGTTTGGTCTAGACCAGGGGTCTGCCAGCTATGACCTCTGGGCTAAATCTGTCCCTTCACCTGCTTTTTTTTTTTTTTTTTTTCCAACCTGTGAGCTAAGAATGGGTTTTACTATTCTAATAAATAGTGAGTTCATTTTTCTCCCTCACCTGCTTGATCAGAGCCCAACTTTCTCATTGCAGTTAATCTTCCTTCTGGCATGGATCTTGGAATGCAAACTTGCTGGGATCTCCGAGTTCCAGGCTTCCCGTGCAGCCGGTGTGGAGAGCCAAGAGATGTTTTGTTTGGCATAAAGCATTCCAAGGGTCAGTGGGCTTGGGCTCAACTATTGAGCATAGGACAAGGGCAGCCCCATCCTGACTGTGACTCTTCCCACAAGAGACAAACGAGCTCTGTGCTTTCACTGGGGTTTCAGGTTCAAAGGGACAGAGCGTCTGAGAAAAAGGATTATGAAAGAGTCCGTCTGCAGCTCCACTTCCCGTGCCCTTCCAATGATACCATCCTCGTTTCTTCTGTGGCATGCTCCCCACTTCAATCCTTCCTTCAGAGGCCCCAAACCCTCCTGGTCTCTCCTTGTCACCTTGTGAAAATCTGATCTTCAGGGAAAAATTCCTTACTATTTATACTAGTATAATGTGAATCTTCTATGGGATTTTAAGAAAGTTCAAAGCCTTGGTTTACTCAGCAAATATTTAGCTTGCACTCACTATGTGGCGGGCATCCTAATGATGGAGTATATGTAAAGACAAAAAAAGTTTCCGGACCTCAAAGTGTTCTCCATCTATAGGGGCAGATGACTGAGTTGACATCTCGAGAAGTAGAATAGCAGAGTGGCTAAGAGTGCCAGCTCTGTCTCAATCACCTAGGTCTCACCTCAGCATTAATTTCACTTTCCTCATTGTAAATGAGCATATCTCTTAGAATTGGGATAAGCATTAAATAATATAGACTTGGAATGAATTTGCTTAGAACTAATTCCATGCACAAGTTTATCACAGCCTAAGGTTTGGTCTAGACCAGAGGTCTGCCAAGTATGACCTGTGGGCTCAATCTGTCCCACTACCTATTGTTGTTGTTGCTGTTGTTTTTTAATGACCTGTGAGCTAAGAATGGGTTTTACTATTCTAATTAGTTACATTCTCAATGGTTATTTAAGTACCTCCATAATATCCTCAATTTTGCCTAAAATATTTACCATCTGGCCCTTTACAGAATAAGTTTGCTGACTTATTGGTCTGGACCAATGCTATCTAATAAAACTTTCTGCAATGATGAAAATGGTCTCTATCTGTACCCTTGAATACAGCAGCCACTAGCCTAATGTGGCTTTTTGAGCTCTTGAAATATAGTTAGTGTGACTAAGAGATTGAATTTTAATTAATTTAAATTTATGGAGCCACATGTGACTATGACATTAGAGCAGCTCTAGACAGCCTGAAGTCTAAAGACTCTATGCTTTGTCGGTGCTCCCCTCTCTCAATTGAATCAACTACCCTGAGGCTGCATGAGTCAAGGGGAAGGCCACACTCTTCAATCAGATTTTTTGCCCTGGACTGGCTTTCATTGTCTACTAGAAAATGCTTAATGGGAAGTGCTTAGAAAATGTACATGGGCATACACTTAATTAATCTAAGTTGCTGCTTTGTCTGTATCCATTAAATCTGCTTTATTTTGGGGTAAACTACAGTAGAAGTTGGCTTTTTCAACCCTGCAAAGCCTTAAAATTCAGGATGTCTTACTCAACTTAAAGTGTAGAGTTGCAGCCAGAGCACAACTGTATTTCCTTCTAGCCCTGCTTGCAGAATGGCTAACTTCAGTCCTATTTCATTTCTCTTGTAAGACTGCTAAAAACAGTAAGAAGCCACCAACATCATTATGAATATTGCCAAATCATTTCGCCTAAGAGTAAAGTCACAGTTGGCATGTGTTCTGCCCTCCAAGACAAGATAGCATAGGTGACAGTTTTATCAGATATCTTGTGATGGCATAATATAGGCCACCCAGCTTTCCAGCCTCTGATATCTGAGTCTTCCCAATAGCCTGATGACATCCGCATCACATATTTTAGGTTCGCTCATGGACAGTAACTTATTTCCAAATTCTATACTGGTTAAAATTAGGTTTGCATTTGTGCAATAGAAAATCCAATTGACATTGGCTTAGCATAACAATTTTTTGATTTCTCATAAACTCTTGGCAGTCAGCAGGTCCAAGCCATTATTTCTGCTCTGCTCTCTGAGGTCATATAAGGAAGGATCTGGATGCTCTGGGTCATCTACGTCATCTAACTGGTTGCTGTGCCATCCCTAGCTCATTTTTCTCATGTGCATTGCCCAAGATGGCTGGCTACAACATCCACATTACAAGAAGCCAGGTGGAAGCAGACAGGAGAAAGAGGAGAAAGGGGAACTGCCCCACCGTTTAAGGACATGTCCCAGAAACTGTACACCTCACTTCCTCCCAAATTTCACTGGCTATCACTTAGTCATATAGCCACACTTAGCTGCAAGTGTGTCTGGGAGATATAATTATTTTTCACAGTGGTATATGCCCAACTACAAATGGAGGTTCTGTCATTATGAGATGAGAGAAAGGCAGAAAACATGTTGAGAGATGTGTAGCAATCTCTGGACTCCACGGGGATAAAAAAGAATTGAGAGTATCAAAATTCAGGATCAAAATCAAAATTAAAGATAAAAAATATCAATAACTATCACCTGGAATAAGAACAACGTACAGTTCAGCTACACATATACAAGTGGCAGCATCTTGTCTGGAAGGAACTAATGGTCTTTCTACATTGTATTTTAGATATGTATTTTTTTTTCTCCCTTCCACAGGATTTTGAGCTCCTTAAGGGCAGAGACTTTGTGTCTCCTGCTCCTAGTAGGCATCCAACACGTATCTGTCAACTGAAAGAATGAATATGAGTCAGTAGATACATATTAGAATTCTAATATCCACTGGCTGGGTCCTTGGTGTGTCCCATATTGTTGTTTCTGTGTCCATCATTCTTTTGCAGGGTATCTTCTACTGGGCACAGAACCTGCCTCAGAGGGGCATATGGGTAATGAACTACCAAGAAAGGAGTAGAACCCAGTTCTTCCAACCCTCCACCCAGAGTGCTTTTCACAACCTCATGTGTAATAAGTGCAGTAGGAGATGAGAGGAGGGAGTGATTACTTCTGTCTGGTTTGATCCCAGAAGGTTTTTTGAAGAAAGTGTTTTTGAATGAGACATTATGAAAACAGAGCTTCTTAAACCTTTTCCCCCAAGGAATCCCTGGGCAGATAGAAGAGACAGAAATCTGACCTCTGCTTAGTCTGGGGGTATAGACTGAAGGAACCTACTCAAAGGAGAAATTTTTCTCATTTTTCTTTACTTCACGATTCATATATGCAGGCATTCATTCTTTCATTCATGTATCTCACAGACATAACGAGGTCCTAATTAAGTGCCAGGCATTGTTTTACATGAGACCACAAGAGGCCCTACCCTCTTGCAGCTTACATTCTTGTACAGAATAGACATCATACGAATAAGCAACATAAATCATCAAGATAATTTCTGACCGTGGTAAGGGCTATGACCGAAATCAAACAGGGTAGTCAGTTACAGAGTGCATATACCTCTCTGTGCCTCAGTTGACTCATCTGTAAAATGGAGATAATAATAGAGGTCTAGGCTAGGCATGGTGGCTCATGCCTGTAATCCCAGCACTTTGGGAGGCCGAGGTGGGTGGTTCACTTGGGGTCAGGCATTCCAGACCAGCCTAACCAACATGGTGAAACCCCGTCTCTACTAAAAATACAAAAATTAGCCAGGCCTGGTGGTGCATACCTGTAATCCCAGCTACTTGGGAGGCTGAAGCAGGAGAATCGCTTGAACCCGGGAGGTGGAGGTTGCAGTGAACCGAGATTATGCCATTGCACTCCAGCCTGGGCAATAAGAGCGAAACTCAGTCTCAAATAATAATAATAATAATAATAATAATAATAATAGTCTATAATTCCAAAACCCAAAACTGAAAGCTTTGTCCTAACTCAGTTGATTGCAAACATAATATGATCTGAATGCATTTGGAGGTAGATCTTGACCTGAACTGAAGTTATTTATTCTTTTTAATAAATAAATGAGTTATTTATTCTTTTTAATAAATAAATGAGTCATTTATTCTTTTTAATAAATGAGTTATTCTTTTTAATAAATAATAAACTGAGTTATTTATTCTTTTTAATAAATAATAAATAACTGAGTTATTTATTCTTTTTAATAAATAATAAATGAGTTATTTATTCTTTTTAATAAATAATAAATAACTGAGTTATTTATTCTTTTTTTTTTAATAATTCCACTTAGAGTGGACAATCCTATATGTCACTGCAGAAATTTTGTGTGTTTGATTATGGAATGCTGCCCCAGGCCTCAATAGTTATTACATAATTTAGGGTACATGTAGCGTATTACCTTCTAAAATTTGAAAAATTCCGAATTCCAAAACACATGTAGCACCAAAGGTTTCGGATAAGGGATTGAAGACCTGTAGTATCCATTATTGTGAGGATTAAATGAATGAATATATGGAAAACACTTAAAATGATGCCTGGCATGTGGTAAGTGCTACGTAAGTTAACTACTATTACTATTATTATCACTATTCTTACATGAGAAGATATTTAGATAAGTTGGTCAGGGAAAGCCTCTCTGAGGATGTGTCACTTGAATAGGCAACTAAGGGGTGGTAATGACCGGGCTGTGGGAAGAGGAGGAGAAAGATGATTTCAGGAATAGGAAACAGCAAGTGCCAAGACTGTGGTGGTTACAAGGCTGGCTTGAATGCAGAACAGAAAACAGACCAGATGGCTGATATGTGGTAAAGGAGGGGAAAGATGGCTCAAGGTCAGAGAGGTAGGCTGAAGTCAGAACACCCTTGATATAAGCAATGGTAGAGACTTTGGATTTCATTTAAAGTGTAATAGGAAGACATTATAGTTGATCTGATTCAGGTTTATAAAGAACGCTCTGATGCTGTTGGATGAATGAATTATAGAGGAGAAGGGGGAGCAGGGAGAGCAATTTGGAGTCTAGCATAGTGGTCCAGATGAGACCTAATGACTAATTGGAGTTGGGAGGTGGTAATAGTCAAAGAGAAAAGTGGACAGGTGCGAGAAAAAAGTTTAGAAATAAGTGGGGGGCGGGGGAGGTTTTCTGATTAATTTGCATTCTAATTTATAATATGTCACTGTGTAGAGGCTAAAAATTTCACAGTCATTGTCTCAGGTGTGTTAAGGCCAGTGGCGTGCTGGACCCCACTTGAAATTGGCCATGGAGGGAATATTTACACTATAGAAATTGACAAATGCTACAAATCAAGACAACAAATCAGGCAAAGCTTCTTGTTAAACATTTACCATCACACCACTGGTGAAGGTGACTTGATTTTTCCACAACTAAACTTCCTTCATTTCACAGCCTCCATTTTCCCTGATCACGAAAACACTTAAACTAGGCACATCCTCGGAAACGCAGTATGAGGACTGCTGTGTCAATCACTTCATGTTTTTAACTCAATTCAGCGATCCTCCCACTTCTTCCCAGGCTCTCATTTAGGTACATGGGAATGGGATGGGAAGAGGGACCTGGTTCATGATTGTCATTTACCCACCTTGGCCCCCTCTGAAGTACAACTCCACTCTCTGCTTTACAATATCACTCTGGGCAGCATTACCAATTGCCTCCTGATAGTGGGATCTATGAACCCATTATGTCTTTGGACAAAAGCATAGCCAGGGGTTGGGTCCAGGGCCTGGGATCCTATAACCGTACAAATCCTATTATCAGGGACTATAAAATCCTATTATCAGGGACCATAGCCATCCCTCTATCTTGACTCAACTCCTCCTCCCTGAGTAGTGAACATTTTTCCTAAATCTCTGAGAAAGACTGGTGCTCTAGAAAGATGTACCATATTTATTTAAGGGCTTCCTGTACCCACTGGCATATTGCCATATATTCTGAGGTATCTGAGTGCTCCTTTTGAGAAACATAGCCTTAAAGGATAAGTAGAAATCTGGTGGGTGAAAATGGTAGGGAAGAGGACTTCTAACGGAGGGACTTGCAAGTCAGGGAACTTGGGTTTATCGACTAGTGAGGCTAGTAGAGGAATTCAATCAGGTAAGCCGGACAAGTAGACAGGGTACAAATTATGGAAGACTTTGGATGCCATGATAAAAAGCTTCAGCTCATACTGTAAAAAATAAAATAAAATAAGAAGGTTGGGTGCAGTGGCTCATGACTGTAATTTCAGCACTTTGGGAGGCTGAGGTGGGACGATCGCTTGAGCCTGGGAAACAATTTCAAGGAGTTCACAGCAAGAAACTGACTGATTAAGGTTTGGGAAGCTTGATAGATAGGGTAGACTGGGAAAGTGAGAGAGGAGGCTTTGGAGTGGACCAAGGATAGAGGGATCTCAGCTGATATTATGTCAGCTAAAACCTCAAAGCAAGGAGGATGTTAAGAACAATGAAGGAGGTCAGCTGGACTCTCAATGTTTTTAACGATAGGGAGGAAAAGATAGGGGGGTGACAAGAAGAAGAGACAATTTTGTACCTCTAACTCCAACAAACTTTAGACCTGAAAAATCCCTTCTGAGCCATCTTGCATTGGAGAAAAAAAATTGCTTATTTACCTCCAATTAGAGGAATTAAGGGAAGTAGGATTTTTTTGTTTTTCTTTTGAGACAGGGTCTTGCTCTGTCACCCTGGCTGGGGTGCAGTGGTGTGATCACGGCTCACTGCAACCTCAAACTCTTGGGCTTAAGAGGTCCTCCCAACTCAACCTCCCGAGTAGCTGAACTACAGTTGTGTGCCACCATGCCCAGCTAATTTTTTATTTTCTGTAGAGAGAGGGGTCTCACGCTATGTTGCCCAGGCTAGTCTTGAACTCTGGCCTCAAGCGATCCGCCTGCCTTGTCCTCCCAAAGCGTTGGTATTAGAGGCATGAGCCACCACATCTGGTGGAAGTAGGCATTTGGTTTCTTAGATAACAACATGATTGGTTGATTCAGTCACTTGGGAAGATAAAAGCATTAACTGAGCTAGATCCCTATGGTAGAGACACAGGCTGGACCACTCCATGCGTAAGTACTAAACTAAAACCAGTGTTCTGGAGTAGACATTGCTAGAAATCCTGAAACTTGAGAGCCAGTCCACGGTTAAAGCATTCTGTAAGGCAGAGCCAGTGGAAGGTAATAAGGTGATTTTTAAAGCTCTTCTGCACTTCCCATATTCCCTTTTAGGGCCTTTCTCCCTAGGGTCCCAGTGTCTGTCATGCTAAACCTAGATGCACAACAATCATCTTTATGGGTAGTTTCCCATATGTCCCAGTTTGCCTGACAGACTCTTGGTTTATGCCTATAGTCTTGGTGTAATTATTACCAGCCCCACTTCATTCTTGTAAGTATACTAATGGATCAGTTATACGGTTCCTCTGATTATGTATCACCTAGGCAGTGCCCTGACTCTACTACTATCTCCTCTCCAAATTTATGTAATGTAAACCCAATGTGTAGGGAAAATGCTCATCCTAAAATCTCCTTGGAGGGGATAATTTGCAAGATTCTTTGCAAAAACAATCCAAGACAAGAGCCAGATTATGGAATGTCAGTGCCAGAATGGCAGGAATGTATGTTTTCTAATCAAATGCCACTTACTACTGGGTAACCTTGGGCTAATCAGTTAATATTGCTGAGCGATGTCTTCATTTGTAAAACGGGAATCTTAGAATATTCTGAGACTCAAATACTATGAAAGACTCATGTAATGTGTACCAGGGCAGGTTTAGCAGGCCGACATAAATTGCACTAAAGTCTTCATGTGTTATTTTTCATGGGTGTATCCATATTCTAACATTTCTTCACCCTCCAAATTTCAGACTTTGGCAGTGAATCTATGGCTCTGCAATTTTAGTGTTCCATGTAACAACGAATAGGAAAATGCTGCTTCTACCCTCTCGAAAGCTATTTTGCTAAAGAGCTAAGATGCTAAAAGCTAAATATGTAACTAAATAGTTGCAAATCTCAGTAACTGACAAATACAGTCATGGGGTTGGGGATGCTGTTTAGACAGCTGAAAATAAGACCTGAATTGTTTATTTTTAAAATGTTGCAAAAGAGAGGCAGCAAATGGGAATTTTTAATTCTGATTCTTGGTATGTTTTAGAACAATGATTTGTTCTTTCTTATACTTTCAGGTGTTTCCAATGTGGACACTGAAGAGACAAATTCTTATCCTTTTTAACATAATCCTAATTTCCAAACTCCTTGGGGCTAGATGGTTTCCTAAAACTCTGCCCTGTGATGTCACTCTGGATGTTCCAAAGAACCATGTGATCGTGGACTGCACAGACAAGCATTTGACAGAAATTCCTGGAGGTATTCCCACGAACACCACGAACCTCACCCTCACCATTAACCACATACCAGACATCTCCCCAGCGTCCTTTCACAGACTGGACCATCTGGTAGAGATCGATTTCAGATGCAACTGTGTACCTATTCCACTGGGGTCAAAAAACAACATGTGCATCAAGAGGCTGCAGATTAAACCCAGAAGCTTTAGTGGACTCACTTATTTAAAATCCCTTTACCTGGATGGAAACCAGCTACTAGAGATACCGCAGGGCCTCCCGCCTAGCTTACAGCTTCTCAGCCTTGAGGCCAACAACATCTTTTCCATCAGAAAAGAGAATCTAACAGAACTGGCCAACATAGAAATACTCTACCTGGGCCAAAACTGTTATTATCGAAATCCTTGTTATGTTTCATATTCAATAGAGAAAGATGCCTTCCTAAACTTGACAAAGTTAAAAGTGCTCTCCCTGAAAGATAACAATGTCACAGCCGTCCCTACTGTTTTGCCATCTACTTTAACAGAACTATATCTCTACAACAACATGATTGCAAAAATCCAAGAAGATGATTTTAATAACCTCAACCAATTACAAATTCTTGACCTAAGTGGAAATTGCCCTCGTTGTTATAATGCCCCATTTCCTTGTGCGCCGTGTAAAAATAATTCTCCCCTACAGATCCCTGTAAATGCTTTTGATGCGCTGACAGAATTAAAAGTTTTACGTCTACACAGTAACTCTCTTCAGCATGTGCCCCCAAGATGGTTTAAGAACATCAACAAACTCCAGGAACTGGATCTGTCCCAAAACTTCTTGGCCAAAGAAATTGGGGATGCTAAATTTCTGCATTTTCTCCCCAGCCTCATCCAATTGGATCTGTCTTTCAATTTTGAACTTCAGGTCTATCGTGCATCTATGAATCTATCACAAGCATTTTCTTCACTGAAAAGCCTGAAAATTCTGCGGATCAGAGGATATGTCTTTAAAGAGTTGAAAAGCTTTAACCTCTCGCCATTACATAATCTTCAAAATCTTGAAGTTCTTGATCTTGGCACTAACTTTATAAAAATTGCTAACCTCAGCATGTTTAAACAATTTAAAAGACTGAAAGTCATAGATCTTTCAGTGAATAAAATATCACCTTCAGGAGATTCAAGTGAAGTTGGCTTCTGCTCAAATGCCAGAACTTCTGTAGAAAGTTATGAACCCCAGGTCCTGGAACAATTACATTATTTCAGATATGATAAGTATGCAAGGAGTTGCAGATTCAAAAACAAAGAGGCTTCTTTCATGTCTGTTAATGAAAGCTGCTACAAGTATGGGCAGACCTTGGATCTAAGTAAAAATAGTATATTTTTTGTCAAGTCCTCTGATTTTCAGCATCTTTCTTTCCTCAAATGCCTGAATCTGTCAGGAAATCTCATTAGCCAAACTCTTAATGGCAGTGAATTCCAACCTTTAGCAGAGCTGAGATATTTGGACTTCTCCAACAACCGGCTTGATTTACTCCATTCAACAGCATTTGAAGAGCTTCACAAACTGGAAGTTCTGGATATAAGCAGTAATAGCCATTATTTTCAATCAGAAGGAATTACTCATATGCTAAACTTTACCAAGAACCTAAAGGTTCTGCAGAAACTGATGATGAACGACAATGACATCTCTTCCTCCACCAGCAGGACCATGGAGAGTGAGTCTCTTAGAACTCTGGAATTCAGAGGAAATCACTTAGATGTTTTATGGAGAGAAGGTGATAACAGATACTTACAATTATTCAAGAATCTGCTAAAATTAGAGGAATTAGACATCTCTAAAAATTCCCTAAGTTTCTTGCCTTCTGGAGTTTTTGATGGTATGCCTCCAAATCTAAAGAATCTCTCTTTGGCCAAAAATGGGCTCAAATCTTTCAGTTGGAAGAAACTCCAGTGTCTAAAGAACCTGGAAACTTTGGACCTCAGCCACAACCAACTGACCACTGTCCCTGAGAGATTATCCAACTGTTCCAGAAGCCTCAAGAATCTGATTCTTAAGAATAATCAAATCAGGAGTCTGACGAAGTATTTTCTACAAGATGCCTTCCAGTTGCGATATCTGGATCTCAGCTCAAATAAAATCCAGATGATCCAAAAGACCAGCTTCCCAGAAAATGTCCTCAACAATCTGAAGATGTTGCTTTTGCATCATAATCGGTTTCTGTGCACCTGTGATGCTGTGTGGTTTGTCTGGTGGGTTAACCATACGGAGGTGACTATTCCTTACCTGGCCACAGATGTGACTTGTGTGGGGCCAGGAGCACACAAGGGCCAAAGTGTGATCTCCCTGGATCTGTACACCTGTGAGTTAGATCTGACTAACCTGATTCTGTTCTCACTTTCCATATCTGTATCTCTCTTTCTCATGGTGATGATGACAGCAAGTCACCTCTATTTCTGGGATGTGTGGTATATTTACCATTTCTGTAAGGCCAAGATAAAGGGGTATCAGCGTCTAATATCACCAGACTGTTGCTATGATGCTTTTATTGTGTATGACACTAAAGACCCAGCTGTGACCGAGTGGGTTTTGGCTGAGCTGGTGGCCAAACTGGAAGACCCAAGAGAGAAACATTTTAATTTATGTCTCGAGGAAAGGGACTGGTTACCAGGGCAGCCAGTTCTGGAAAACCTTTCCCAGAGCATACAGCTTAGCAAAAAGACAGTGTTTGTGATGACAGACAAGTATGCAAAGACTGAAAATTTTAAGATAGCATTTTACTTGTCCCATCAGAGGCTCATGGATGAAAAAGTTGATGTGATTATCTTGATATTTCTTGAGAAGCCCTTTCAGAAGTCCAAGTTCCTCCAGCTCCGGAAAAGGCTCTGTGGGAGTTCTGTCCTTGAGTGGCCAACAAACCCGCAAGCTCACCCATACTTCTGGCAGTGTCTAAAGAACGCCCTGGCCACAGACAATCATGTGGCCTATAGTCAGGTGTTCAAGGAAACGGTCTAGCCCTTCTTTGCAAAACACAACTGCCTAGTTTACCAAGGAGAGGCCTGGCTGTTTAAATTGTTTTCATATATATCACACCAAAAGCGTGTTTTGAAATTCTTCAAGAAATGAGATTGCCCATATTTCAGGGGAGCCACCAACGTCTGTCACAGGAGTTGGAAAGATGGGGTTTATATAATGCATCAAGTCTTCTTTCTTATCTCTCTGTGTCTCTATTTGCACTTGAGTCTCTCACCTCAGCTCCTGTAAAAGAGTGGCAAGTAAAAAACATGGGGCTCTGATTCTCCTGTAATTGTGATAATTAAATATACACACAATCATGACATTGAGAAGAACTGCATTTCTACCCTTAAAAAGTACTGGTATATACAGAAATAGGGTTAAAAAAAACTCAAGCTCTCTCTATATGAGACCAAAATGTACTAGAGTTAGTTTAGTGAAATAAAAAACCAGTCAGCTGGCCGGGCATGGTGGCTCATGCTTGTAATCCCAGCACTTTGGGAGGCCGAGGCAGGTGGATCACGAGGTCAGGAGTTTGAGACCAGTCTGGCCAACATGGTGAAACCCCGTCTGTACTAAAAATACAAAAATTAGCTGGGCGTGGTGGTGGGTGCCTGTAATCCCAGCTACTTGGGAGGCTGAGGCAGGAGAATCGCTTGAACCCGGGAGGTGGAGGTGGCAGTGAGCCGAGATCACGCCACTGCAATGCAGCCCGGGCAACAGAGCTAGACTGTCTCAAAAGAACAAAAAAAAAAAAACACAAAAAAACTCAGTCAGCTTCTTAACCAATTGCTTCCGTGTCATCCAGGGCCCCATTCTGTGCAGATTGAGTGTGGGCACCACACAGGTGGTTGCTGCTTCAGTGCTTCCTGCTCTTTTTCCTTGGGCCTGCTTCTGGGTTCCATAGGGAAACAGTAAGAAAGAAAGACACATCCTTACCATAAATGCATATGGTCCACCTACAAATAGAAAAATATTTAAATGATCTGCCTTTATACAAAGTGATATTCTCTACCTTTGATAATTTACCTGCTTAAATGTTTTTATCTGCACTGCAAAGTACTGTATCCAAAGTAAAATTTCCTCATCCAATATCTTTCAAACTGTTTTGTTAACTAATGCCATATATTTGTAAGTATCTGCACACTTGATACAGCAACGTTAGATGGTTTTGATGGTAAACCCTAAAGGAGGACTCCAAGAGTGTGTATTTATTTATAGTTTTATCAGAGATGACAATTATTTGAATGCCAATTATATGGATTCCTTTCATTTTTTGCTGGAGGATGGGAGAAGAAACCAAAGTTTATAGACCTTCACATTGAGAAAGCTTCAGTTTTGAACTTCAGCTATCAGATTCAAAAACAACAGAAAGAACCAAGACATTCTTAAGATGCCTGTACTTTCAGCTGGGTATAAATTCATGAGTTCAAAGATTGAAACCTGACCAATTTGCTTTATTTCATGGAAGAAGTGATCTACAAAGGTGTTTGTGCCATTTGGAAAACAGCGTGCATGTGTTCAAGCCTTAGATTGGCGATGTCGTATTTTCCTCACGTGTGGCAATGCCAAAGGCTTTACTTTACCTGTGAGTACACACTATATGAATTATTTCCAACGTACATTTAATCAATAAGGGTCACAAATTCCCAAATCAATCTCTGGAATAAATAGAGAGGTAATTAAATTGCTGGAGCCAACTATTTCACAACTTCTGTAAGCTTTATTGTGTTTCATAGTTTCCGTTCTTCTTCTGTGAGAACAAGGATAATGGCATTAAAAAATCAGCTTTTGGTCATTATAAATTGTCTTCTATTAAAACACATATACACATAAAATCACTTGAAGACAATTTAAACATCTTCTGAAATGGATCAAGAGGAAGGGAAACTGAAAATAATGCAACTCAGAAACCACAGAGTATTTTGACATGAGGTTAAGCACCGTGGTTTGTTGTAGGAAAATAACAGCACACCAACAGATGGTTTTTATCTGAATTCTTTGGTAATCTTGACATGTCATTCTTCTAACTTTCTGAGGGCCCTCAGTGCAGTTTTGTAGGACTGGAGCTGTTCACAGACGGTCCCCACAAAGCTCTGAACGTGGGGCTTCTCTGCTGACTGGCCTCTGGTTGGCTCCACCCCGGAAGGAACTCCCAGATTCTCCATGAATTCCGCTTCCACCATCAAGCCTTGGTCCAAGCCCCTTTCAACCTTGACTTGGCCAGGAAGTGTCCTTTCTCTTCAGATAGATACTACACCTTAGCAAGACTTGGCATTTTTAGAATCCAAGCCAAGGGAGGCACTTGGCAAGGCAAATGTTATGGATGAGAAAAAGGCAAAACAAGTGTCTGCAGTTTGTAGAGGAGAGAGAGGATGAGTCTGATTGTAGCCCTGACCCTGAGTCAGGATCTCTCGGCCCCATTTGCAGGTCTACTTCCAGCTCCATCTGTCTGGACACTCTTTTAGGTCCAGATCATCTCTTACATGTGGCCAAGGAATATAGAGTATGCAAGGGGATGTAGCGACCTGAGAGTGTGAGTAACTTGTGCCCATCTCCAAGGAAGCTGTGATGGGGATAGCAAGGACACACACTCTTCTTATTTATAATGCCTTTCCCCCTCCCATGAGATATGCTTTTTATTTACTTCCTCCTTCTCATCCTAAGTCGGGTGAACAAGAGGACCAGGTTGCACATCCTACTACTTATTTATGGCCCAATTTTAACATGGGGGTGGAGTTGAGGTTGGAATTGTTCCTCCGCCTCTGCTGCACATGCTCAGTAAGCAAGAACACTGTTGATGGGAAAGGCTTAGTCACAGACAGTGGGAGCACATCCCTCCTTGGAGCTTTGGGTCGCTGTGCTCCAGAAACAGTTAGTTATAGCACACCCTGCTCCTGGCATCTACTGGAAGGTGAAGCCCTTGACCCTAAGAAACATTGGGAATGATTTGTACCCTCCAAAGTCCAATAGCTATGTCGGAGGGAAACGATCAAAGAACATGATTGAGGAGACTCAAACAGAGATGTGCTTCAGACAACACCAAGACAGAAAATTAATCCATTTTACCAAGTTAACAATGTACTGAAGGCGAACAAGAGACCAACCCACCTGCCAACCAACGCTATGAAGAAGGAGGGTTGATCAGTCTGGCTAACATGGTGAAACCCCATCTCTACTAAATATACAAAATTAGCTGGGCGTGGTGGCACACTCCTGTAATCCCAGCTACTCGGGAGGCTGAGGCAGGAGAATCGCTTGAACCTGGGAGGCAGAGGTTGCAGTGAGCTAGGATCAAGCCACTGCACTCCAGCCTGGGTGAGAGAGTGAGACTTGGTCTCCAAAAAAAAAAAAAAAAGAAGGAGGGTTAAAAAGAGAATAAGTCCCAAACTCATAAGATGGTGTGGAAAGGGCCCTGGTGACATAGGGGCCACCCATGCCAGTGAGAATGAAATCACAACAGGGCAGTTTCACACTGTTTCAGGTTTTTATTTTTTCTTCTTCTTCTTTCCCTCCTTTCTTCTTTTGCCTCCCCCTCCCTCTCGGTTTCCTTTTTGGCTCTAGACACCCACAGCAAGTGTCAAGCAATGTACAAGAATGAAAAGAAGACAGCCGTTGTTGCAGGTGGATGCTTCTGTTTGGAAGGTGTGGTTTTGTGTGCACTTTTGGTTGGAAACCTATGTCTCTCTCACACACATGTCCCCCACCTGCTTCAGTGAGCATGATCTTCTAAAATTGGCTCCATGGAATCTTCCCTAGGTGACACTGGCTGGACTCTGACACATTCAAATTCATTCTTTCTACTTATCTCAACTTTCAAGCACTAATTCAGTCTTTAAGATTCCCCTAATCTCAGGTTGTAATTCATTTCTAACATGTTTGTCATGACATCAGTGGTTGCATGTCTTCATATGTTTATCACTGCCCCCTCTTGGGAATTTATATTAATTAAACATTTTGGAAAAGCTCAGACTTAAAATGACTGAGAAGGTTCATGTTACAGTGTCTCACACTGAACACTCACTAAAAATAGTCTGGTAAAATCCAGAAGGAAATGGGAAGTCCTGGGGGCCTCATGGCAGTTTTCAGACTTCCCTAGAGCAAAGATGAGCCAGACAGCGGCTCCCACAAACAGAAAATGGCTCTCAATATTCTTCTGGCCAGTGGCAACTACTGAGGGTAAAACTAGACAGAGACGGCTAACTAGGAAGCCATATTGCTCTTGTATGACACATGGCTGCTTTACTTCTCACTGGCCAAGGCAAAACCATGAGGCATTGATTCCAGGGGATTTCATAACAGTGAATTGCATGAGTTGACTTGAGCAAAAGAAGTTTGTAGTAACATCTCCATGAACCATATCTGAGGCCCATTATCCAGGGGGACCACACTGCTGAGAAGATTGCTTGGGCTGTTTTGGGAGCCAGAACTAGGTTGTTGTCCTGCTATCACCCTGGGATGGTGGTTACATCCCTGCACCAGGTCCAGATGGAGGCCCACCAAACAGAACTTAGTAACAGGTGACATGCATTAAATAAAACAGTTTATAGCTCCCATCTCTCTTCTGGGCCTACTTTTCTCATGATTGATTTCTTTGCCTTTGGATTGAGGCATTGTAACTAAAATTCCCAGTTAATTTACAACGTTCCAAGGGTTGTTTCAACACATCACTCCTGTCCATTAACACATTGTGATGGATTAATTTGTGAGATGATCAACTCTCCAGAACAGGCCACCTAAGAAAACAGAACACAGGAAGCATGTTCTGAATGGAGAAGATGCATTTTAAAGTAATCCCAACTTTGGCTCCTGCTCATGAGGGCAGGCCCACAAAGGGAATGACAGGCAAGGAGGGAGTGAGGAGGATCTTAGGAAGAAGGGCTCAAGATGAAGTCACTGGTATCCCGACAATGTCATTCAGTAAGGGGTGGAGGGGAAGGAGGAAGGGAAGTCACATCTATTAAGCAGCAAATGCAAATTAAATGCTTCCTTTATTCCCTTGAATCTTCACATCACCTCTATGAGGCTAGTATTAGCAGCTCCATCTTAAAGATGATGGGTTAACTCAGAGATAAAGGTGAGATCAGAGAGGCAAAGTCAACTGCTCAATCTCTGGGACCCAGGAGTCCGCATCCCTGGAATACTTTTGAAGCAACTGGCTTGCAGAGCAGTTTGGGAAGCACCACATCTTCCTTTGTGACACCAGGGACTGTTATTACAGGGATCACTTTAGTAAGGAAAGCCCAGACCCCCAAGCTGTGCTCAATTTCCTTCCTTTTGTGTATAAACTTTGGTGCTCTCAACCTACTTCCCGGGAGTGGAGCTGCACTTAAACTCAAATTGCTTCCCGCTGGGCACTGTTTTTGGACAGGTATAATTTAACTATATAGGACTGGCATTTCTGTTTAGGGCCCAAAGGTGAAGACAATTTGAACAAGAACACTAGGGCAGAATTAGATAGACAGGGGCAGGTGGTTAATGGAATTGAAGTCTCGTAAGTCCTGATAGAGTTGCTGATTACATTTGTGGGTAAAAGGATGTCTTTACCGTAACTTCCATAACATCTTACTGATAGACGCTGTGGTTCTACTTATGTGGCGCCAAGCGCCACCTAGTGGGGTGGGAAATCCCTCCTGGATGCTGATGTTCTGCTTCTGAGACCCTTAGACGGGCTTCCAAAGGGGGATGTGGGAAGAAAATGTAAGAACAGATATAGTCATGTTTTTAAAAGTATGTCTGTGGCTATTTTTATCATATACCCAGTGTATTAATACAGAAATATGTAGGGCTGTGTGTTGAATGTTTACTGATGGGAGGGCAGTTTACAAAGAAGTTGAAGGCCACAGACTATTGAATATTTGTTTCTATCATTTATTTCCATTGTTTTTGCTTTAAGTCTCAAAATGGGGCCAGTCATGAATTTCCTTTTGCCCATGCAGATGTAGATGTATAGCCTTGAGTTAACTGGGTGACCGATCCTCTTTTTCCTACATTTCCATTTTTTATAGACTGTGGCCCCCATTTTAAAACTGTATTTGAGTATCAGTAATCTTTCTTGCACATTCTAGCTGAACATTCTCTCTCTCTCATATTTCCGAGCAATCCAACCACTAACCATTCCCTTCTGTCACCACCCCCCGCCCTATAAATAGCATTTTGAAGCATGCAGTAACTTGCCAGTTTGAGGATTTAGGTCTTTTTCATCCTGCTTGCCTACTTGACTGTCAGTTCATGAAGACAGTTGGTGAACAGGCATGATGCTTGGGTGTTTCACGCCCGTTAATTAAGTCAAAGATGATGGGGCGCTTACTTGCTAAGATATATATACATGTACACACCTACCTATGTATTCTGTATGCACATATATATAGCTGTCCATATATGTTTGTGTATATGCACACATATACATGCAAGCATGTATATATTTGTGTGTATTAGAATTACTGATAATTAGAATTACTGAATTACTGATGGCCATGTTTTGCATAGATTAATTGTAAACCTAAGTAAGATAAACCATAAAAAGTACTCAGCACAGGGTCTGACATCTATCAAACACTCCATAAATAACTTTTTAAATTCTTTTTATTACTTTTTAAATTCTTTTTATTACTTTTTAAATTCTTTTTATTGCTTTGGATATCTAATCAAGTATATAATCTTTTTTTTTTTTTTTTTTTTGAGACAGAGTCTCACTCTGTCACCCAGGCTGGAGTGCAATGGTGCGATCTCAGCTCACTGCAACCTCCACCTCCGAGTTCAAGCGATTCTCCTGCCTCAGCCTCTCCAGTAGCTGGGACTACAGGCACACACCACCACACCTGGCTAGTTTTTGTATTTTTAGTAGAGACGGGGTTTTGCCATGTTGGCCAGGCTGTTCTCGAACTCCTGACCTCAGGTGATCCACCTGCCTCAGCCCCCCAAAATGCTGGGATTATAGGCATGAGTCACCGCGCCTGGCTAATCAATTACATAATCTCAAGAGGCTAATTCTATATTCTTCATACAGTGAAAATTTTTAACATTTTTCTTTTAGTATACAGTATCTGGGAAATTTTTTCTACTCATCACTTACTCTGTACATAAAGTTTATGTTCAACATTTCATGTACTATATTCATACATTATTTAACAATTTTTTTAATTTAAAGGGTGACACTCAACGTATTGCTTTTCCATTTGTTACATATTCTCAATCAAAATTCGTTTTCTCTAGATTTAAATCCATCAAAATTTCCAGAAATGTCCCAGATACCCAGACGTCCTGTAGGCTTTAAATATAATTTTTCATCTTCAATAATCTTCTATTTACCATAAGAATGCTGACCACTTCCTGCTTGTAGCTTATCTGAGGAAAGTCCCTTTTAGTTGATCCAAGTTCCCAGATTTCCCCAATTCTGCTTTTTCCTGTGATCCCACAAGAAGTTCCAAAAGTATGAAGTAGCGCCAAATGTTAACTTGCATAAAACCCTGTGATGATACTTGTAAGCATCAGCATTGAGTTCTTCCTGTTCCTACCCACCCCTACTCCTGATTTCCTCCTGACTCTGGGTATAATTGGTGTTCTCCATGGTCACATGTGAGTTTAAATTCTTCCAGATGTTTTGATAAAACTTCATTTTAAAAGCCATGTTGAAGGAGACCATAGCAGAGTTTGTATGCAAAGGTATGGAGTGGTTTCTTCTGAGAATGGGCCCAGCAGGGCTTACCTGCCTATAAGAGGCACTGGTCTCCAAAGTTGTGCCAAGTCTAGCCTTCGTGAAATTCACCTGGGAATTTAGAATCCCAGTTGGAATGCTTGATGTTTAGGTGTTTCATGCCTGCTAATTAAGTCAAAGACGTTGGGGTGCTTACTTGCTGAGATATATATATATATATATATATATATATATATATATATATATATATATATGTACACATCCACATATATATTCTGTATACCCACATATATACCTGTCCATGTAAGTTTGTGTGTATATGCATACATATACATGCAAGTGTGTATATATTTTGTGTGTGTGTGTGTGTGAGAATTACCGATAAGCTCATAGCCATGCTTTGTATAGATTAGTTATAAAACTAAGTGTTCAGAATTGTTGGGGCTTGAGGGAGCTGGTTACTCACACCCTCTCCAGCTGAGCAATTCACACTGCAGACAGTGCAGCTGAGAGTGAGCAGGTGCATGAATTCCATAGGCCATAGCTTGGACTTGCACTCTTGCAACTCTCCAGTGCCTCCCGGTAGCAAAGAAGAAACGCAAGCCATCAATCCAGAACAAAGGATCCCTGTCACAGAGAGCTCACCTTAGGGCAGCAGAAACAAACAGAGGGTGCACTCCACCTATAGGAAGGCTGTCCCAAGAGAACAAGAGCCAGGAGACTTGAGGCAGCAGCAGCAGGGACAGTTTCCCCACTGTCACCAATCCCACAAGTCACTCTGTCTCTTGTGAGAAGCATAGGAAGGAGGAAAGGGGAAGAGGGACAAGTCCCCACCCTTCCGTATTTCAGGGGTTGATTTCGAAATGTAGGGAGAAGAGAAAAGTTCCTCTAAAGTACCATCCTGAAGCTAATAAATGAATAAATTCTCAACCAGATTGTCTACACTGAGGAGACGGGTCTGTAAAACATGGTGCCGTGCTTGGACTCATGACATGAAAAAGACTCTTCCCTGCAGAGCAGAGACCAAAGCTTGCAGGTTTCCCCTCATTATGAATCTACTGTACAGAAGATAGACAGAGTCCCTACCTTCATGGGGCTAAAGATATAATTTCCAAGACTTGGCCGGGTGTGGTGGCTCACACCTGCAATCCCAGCACTTTGGGAGGCCAAGGCAGATGGATCATCTAAGGTCAGGAGTTCGAGACCAGCCTGGCCTCGGTGAAATCCCTAAACATACAAAAAATTAGCCGGACGTGGTGGCTCATGCCTGTAGTCCCAGCTACTCAGAAGGCTGAGGCACAAGAATTGCTTGAACCCAGGAGATGGAGGTTGCAGTGAGCCGAGGTTGTGCCACTGCACTCCAGCCTGGGTGACAGAGCAAGACTTCATCTCAAAAAAAAAAAAAAAGAAAGAATTTCCAAGACTCATTATTATTGATTGGGTTCTACAATTTCCCCTAGGCATTTCTGAAATGGTATAGAATATAGCTATGAAATTTGTATTCTGCATTACATAGATGTAATATTCAGAAACTGTTGATTGCATTCATCCATCCATCTATCCATCCATCCATCCATCCATCCATCCATCCATCCATTCAGTCAGTCAGTCAATAAATATTTATGGTGTGGCCACCATGGGCCTGGCATGATGCTTAGGGTGAGGAGACACTGGCGAGCCAAAATAGAAATAGTCCCTGTTCTCCTGGAGCTTATTCAGAAATCCATTAATCAGATTATTGCACTGAAGGAGATTCAAGTGTGATGAAGGAAAGGAAGAGGTTTCTATAAGAGTGATGACTTGGAAAAGGGAGCGAAACCAGGGAGCAGGAGAGGCGGGCTGCCCTGAGGAAGGCCACCCAAGGTGAGATGTGAAAAATGAGTTAATTGAACCAGGCAACACTGAAAGATGACCATATTTGGGGGCGGGAGACAAAGAGTGTGTCTTAGTCATATGGCATTTGGGAGCCTTCGAATCACCAAGTGGATGGAGATGCTGAGTCAGTAGGTGCCCATAGTCTACAGAGCTCAAAGAATAGAGCTGAGCTGGAAAGATGCAGTTGAACACTCCTGTGGCAATGGGAGTAATGGACACCTTGGGCGGGGTCTTGCTACTCAAACCATGGTCCCTGGACCAGCAACATGGGCATCCCCTGGGAGTTCATTAGACATGCTGACTCTCAGGCTCCACCTCAGACCTGCTAAATCAGACACACAGGCAGAAGATGACCCTGTCCCATCAATGACAAGGTTTACAACCAGAGATTTTCAGGGTGAGGATAATACCACAATATCCCAGCAGTGAGTATATATTTATTGTGAGACAGTCTCAGTGATTTTTATTTTATTTTTTTAAGACAGCGTCTCACTCTGTCGCCTAGGTTGAACTGCAGTTGTGAGGTCTCAGCTCACTGCAGCCTTTGCCTCCTGAGCACAAGCAAACCTCCACCTCAGCCTCTCGCGTGTGCCCCCACACTTGGCGAGTTTTTTTAGTTTTTTTTGTAGAGACAAGGTCCAGGCTGGCCTCGAACTCCTGGGCTCAAGCAATCCTTTTTCACCTTGGCTTCTCAAAGTGCTAGGATTACAGGTGTGAGCCACTACACCTGGCCAGTCCTAGTGATTTAGGTATCAACTCCCCAACCTGTTACAGTGGCTCTTAACTTTGCCTGCACCTTGCAATTACCTGGGCAGCTTTAAAAAAAGACTATGTCTGGGTTCTACCATAAAGATTGTGATTTAATTGGTTTGGGCTACAGACTGAGCTTTGGGATTTTAAAGCTGGAGGGCGATTCCAACATGCAGGCAAAGTTGAGAACCACTGCTTCAGAGTCATTGCTTGATTGCAACAGATTCTCAAGCATGAGCAGGCATCAAAATCACCTGAGGGGCTAGTTAAAACAGATTGCTGGGCCCTACTTCTCAGCTTCTGATTCAGTAGGTCTGGAGTTGGAACCCGAGAATTTGCATCTCTTACAAGATAGGTCCAAGTGATGCTGGTCTTGCTCTATTGAGCGGTTGTCAAACTTGACTGGCTAATAGAGTCACCTATGGGTGCCTAGGCCTTGTGCTAGAGCCCCTGGATTAATAGATATGAAGGCAAAGTCCTGACATCTATGTTTTAAATAAAAACCCACCCAGATGATCCTGATGTAGATGACCTAAAGATGAACTTTTGCAAAACCCTGCTCTAGACACAATTTATATTTATAACCTTAAGCACTGAGATGACACTGGGAGGTGGAGTAATCTTCGAGAATGCCATCTCTTCTTTCTCTTTTCCTTCATCCCCATTCAAGCTGATCCTAAACTGTATGCATTGCCTCAGGGGGCACGTGCAGGGGAAGCAACCTAGTCGGCTTTTGTCTTCTACAGGAAGGCCCAAAGGCCTTAGGGGATCATAGAAGAGCCCGTGGAACAAAGCGACTCTAGGGCATCAACCAGGTGTCCAGGAAGAGAAGGGATAGGGCTGCTTTTCTGCCCCTTCTGGAGAAAGACGTGAAGAGGGAAGGGGAGGAAGGTAATATTAACAGATCAGGGAGGTCTGTCAGACCTGAGAAAAGTGGGACCCTGCCAACTCCACGTGAGAAATGATCAATCTTCCACAGAGTTGAGATGAAGGAGTTGAATTAAAAAATCAATTGTGTACCCCGCTTCCACACACCCCACTCTGGTTTGCCACTGCATCAGACTCAGAAGCTGTACCCAATCCCTGGCAGGCAAGGACTCCTGTGAAAGGAAAATACCTTGGGCCCCCAACATCGCTAAGCTAAAAGGAAAAGTCAAGCTGGAAACTGCTTAGGGCAAACCTGCCTCCCATTCTATTCAAAGTCATCCCTCTGCTCACTGAGATAGATGCATATTCTGATTGCCTCCTTTGGAAACGCTAATCAGAAACTCAAAGAATGCAACCGTTTGTTTCTCACCTACCTGTGACCTGGAAGCCCCCTCCCTGCTTCGAGTTGTCCCCCCTTTCTGGAAGAATCAATGTACTTCTTACAGAGATTGACTGATGTCTCATGTCTCCCAAAAATGTGTAAAACCAAGCTGTGCCCCAACCACCTTGGGCACATGTCGTCAGGACATCCTGAGGCTGTGTCACAAGCACGCGTCCTTAACTTTGTCAAATTAAACTTTCTAAATTAACTGAGACCTCTTTCAAATTTTCGGGGTTCACACTCCCCACTCCTCCGAGGGTCTGAGTTGATCTTCTGGAGAGTGAGGTAGGATGAAAGCTCAGAGACAAACACAGAATGGAGTCATAAAAAACAAACGTCTCTGCACATTTCAGTTGGTGGACTAAGTCACAGCAGATACATTAGACATATGTTTAACTATTTGAACATTTTTCACCTGGGTATATTTCTTGCATAATTGTATTTGTTTTGTTTTCAAAATTTAACTCAGTAAGTAGATTTAGAATATACATTGGGAATTCTGAGCTCGATTTTGTATCATTCATCAATTATAAAAGTGACCCCTCCCTAGCATAGAACGTAGTTAAAATCCTCTGTCTGTTCCAAAATGGGACGAGCAAAAGATCGTTTCATGTTTCCTTTTCTTACATCTTAAGCACTTTGGTGCCTATAGGGCAAACTATGAATCAAAGTTGTTTTTTATTTAGAAACTTGGATTTCCTTAACTGAAGATGCTCAAAAGCCTGCCGGGCGCGGTGGCTCACGCCTGTAATCCCAGCACTTTGGGAGGCTGAGGCGGGCGGATCACGAGGTCAGGAGATCGAGACCACGGTGAAACCCCGTCTCTACTAAAAATACAAAAAATTAGCTGGGCGTGGTGGCGGGCGCCTGTAGTCTCAGCTACTCGGGAGGCTGGGGCAGGCGAATGGCGTGAACCCGGGAGGCGGAGCTTGCGGTGAGCCGAGATCGCGCCACAGCACTCCAGCCTGGGCGACAGAGAGAGATTCTGTCTAAAAAAAAAAAAAAAAAAAAAAGCCTGAAGCAAAACTTTTAGACATGTGTACATTTCATAAACTTAATCCCAGCACTTTGGGAGGCTGAGGCAGGAGAATCGCTTGAGCCCAGGAGTTTGAGACCAGCCTGGGCAACATAGCAAGACCCCGTCTCTACAAAAAATAAAAAATTAGCTGGGCATGGTGTGTGCCTGTAGTCTCAGCTATTTGGGAAGCTGAGGCAGGAAGGTCACTTGAGCTGAGAATTTGAGGCTGCAGTGAGCCGCGATTGCACCACTGCACTCCAGCCTGGGTGAAAGAGCGACACACTGTTTAAAATATAAAATAAAATAAAATGAAAAAATAAAATTTTATACTGTACGTTGCCACACAAAAATTATTACCTACGAGTCTGATCAGGAAGCCCGAGATATTGGGTGGTGGGCGCCATCTTGTGGCAGCATGGTTATTAACATCTTGGCCATTGGCTGGATCTTCAAGCCAATGCTGACACGTGAAGGCGTTTCTGCAGTCCCTGAAAAAAGGTGCAGGTGCAGGAAGGAAGAAACAAAAATGCCTTTCTCGAATGCTAAAAGCACTGATTCTGGAGATAGGAAGACTTGCAAAAGAGAACTAGAAAAAAAGAGGAAATAAAACATATTGGGGGGAAGGGCAGAGGAGTCCTGAGACTGTGAGGAATCAAATGAAGATTCCATGGAGAAGTAGCCTGTATAACAGGAATGGCCCTTCTCAAATCTTCTCCATGCCAAGCCCCGGGCCTCAAATCTAGCAGGTTGTTCTTGTGCTTTTCCAACAGCCCTCATATATTTGAATCAATTATCCCCAACATCTTCCCACATATTTTCAGCATTTGGTACTGATCCCTCTACCAGATGCCCTGTCCCCAACAAGCAGCCTCGCCTCCTATATCTGCCCACCAATGGATGCGTCCTCAAATTCTGTCCTCTCTACATCAAACATGTTTTATGTCACCGACTTCATCATCATCATCTCACAAAACCCAGATTCTTTCCTCACAGAGCCTATCTGCATTCGTTCTCATTCCAAGGAGAGGTGGCCCTTCCCTTCCTAAATTGCAAGCCCACCCACCACTGCCCCTGGTTCATTCACTTTCCCTACTTGGGAAAGCGGCTCCATGAGGTTGACTCTGTCCGTTGCACATGTGACCACTCTTCTCCATCCTGCCGGCTTTTCCTCCTCACTTGAACACACTTCTTTTAAAATTATCTTCCCTCCAAAGATGTTTGTCGCAGCATTGTTTGTAATTTCAAAAAATTAGGACAAGCACAAATGCCAATCAATAGAGGATTCATTAAGCAAAATACCACATGCATAACCGGCTACAGAACACAGCCACTGAAAAAAAAGAACAAGACAGATCTGCATATCCAAACCAGAATGCTAGCTGGAAAAAAAAAATGATGCAGAATAGCACGTATCATGTGAACTCAGTTTTCAAAAAGAATTCTGTACGTAATTATATGTCAGTATATACATAGGAAAAATCTTGAAGAACATATACCAAACCATTAACAATGGTCAACTCTGAGGAGTGGAATTTGGAGAGCTTTCATCTGATGTGTTCTACATTCCTTTATTGGGATATTTAGGACCATGTAATAACATTATACTCAGAAAAATTTTATATACAAAAGAAACTTCCCTTAATTCTATCAATATCATCCTCTGTTTCCCTTTAATTTTCACCAACATCCATCCATCCATCCATCCATTCGTCCCCATCCATTTTCACCAACATCCATGTGTAAGACCAGGCTGGATGGATACAACAGCCCTTGGGCTCAAAACTTGTACAGTCTGGTGAATGTAACACGGAGCCACCAAAATGTCATCCAGCAGAGAAAGTGGCAAGTACGACAGAGCTTTCCGTTCAGATCCAAGCTTTGCTGCTGAATTTGGGTAAATGACTGAGCCTTTATGAGCCTGTTTCCTCCTCTGAAAATGGGGATTATAGTAACAAGCAGAGAGAACAGGAGTGGTGGGTGGGTAGCGCCTTAAGTAGGTGTTGGTGCAGAGGACTCCATCCCATCTGGGCCACAGACCATCAGGAGGCACGTGGGGACTTGGGGACAAAGAAAACAAGCAGCCCATATCTGCCGGCAGGACCTGGCAAAGTGGGCGTGACACCAACAAGTTGCATCCCAGAGGTGACCACAAAGCGCCCAGGATTTGCAAAGCTAAGGTCAAGTGGAGGCAGGAGGAGACAGTTTCAGGAAACACCTGTGGCCTATCTCACCCGTGTCTTCCCTGGCCAGGGAAGGGCAGCCGCTTAAAGGGGCCAAGGGAAGCTGCAGCGTGGCTCCTAAACATGGACGCACAGTAGCTGTCCTCTCAGGAGCTCTGCACCCCCACTTAAAACCAGGATCACAAGAGATTTGTGTAAAGGAAGCCTCTTGTGCATTTCTTCATCTGAATCGTTGACTTAAAAGTTTCTTCCACGTAAGTCCTTTCACTTTAGCTTTGTATATATTTAGCATTGATTTCACAACAAACAACTGATTCCAGGCACTTGGTGTTTTCCCAGACCTTGAGCTTTTTCCAGGGTTGCACGTTATTTCCATATGTGGTACTTCGCGGCAGCCCCAGTATGGGGAAGCCATTTGCTGCCTTATGAATTGTCTGGTCATCCACTCGAGAGGAAAGGGCTGTGTCCAGGGCTGGGGAAGGCCCCAAGAGTGGTTCTTCAGGCCTACTGTTGGCAACAGCCCAGGAATGTGTGAAGTCTGTAACAACAAGCGTAGTAATAATAATTCCAGCTCTGCTAGTTGAACGCTCACTTTGTGCCAGCTACTTTTCTAAGAGTTCCACGATATGAACAATTTAATCCTCAAAGCCAACATCTGAGAAAGATACTACTATTCTTATCCCAATTTGACAGATGAGAAAACTAAGGCTCAGAGAGGCTTGTCTGCTGGTGATTTGTGTGTCTGGGAAGTGCACGTTGTCTGGCAGGCTTGCCTGGCAGAAGCGGTTCATGACAGGTCTTCTCCATTTTGGAATCAAGATCTGTGTCAGCATGGATGGCAAGGGGAAGAGTAAGGAAAGATTGGTCTAGGAGATGCCCAGGAGCTTTTGGCCTCACAGTGCAGGGTGGGGAGAGCAGACCTGGCCACCAAGGACCAGTTTCTGGGCTTGGGCAGAAGCCAATCATCTGGCTACTTTACAAGCAGATGGAGCTTCTTCCTCTCAGTAACCTTCCTGCCCTGGTGTCAATTCCATTTTCATTTTCATCTTTTATGGTACTGGTTGTGTGGAGAAAACTGAAGGCTCATTTGGTATAAGTAAGTAACTCATTTTTATGAGTTTGCTTGACATAGATACTAGACTGTATGTGTGTATATATACATATAAACATGCATATGTACATAAAAAATATATATATATCATATATACATGATGATACACACACACACACACACACACACACACACACATATATATATATACGTATACAAGCATGCTTTACAAGGCCAATTGACTGGTCTACAATTGGCTGACACTTGGTGGCCTAGAAGCCAGGGTATGTGAGTCTCGCTTTTCTAGAAAGCTGACAAACTCTCCAGTTCCAAGGATCCTTGCTCAGTCAACGGCTGGAAGTCATTTTTACTTCGCTGTTTTTTGTTTGTTTGTTTGTTTGTTTTTTTAGACAAAGTCTCATTCTGTCACCCAGGCTAGAGTGCAGTGGCACTATCATGGCTCACTGCAATCTCCACCTCCTGGGCTCAAGCGATCCTCCCACCTCAGCCACCCGAGTAACTGGGACTACAGGTGCACACCACCATGCCTGGCTAATTTTTGTATTTTTTTAGAGACAAGGTTTTGCCATGTTGCCCGGGTTGGTCTCAAACCCCTGAGCACAAGTGATCCTCCTGCCTCGGCCTCTACAAAGTGCTGGAATTACAGGTGTGAGCCACTGCACTCGATCCATTCTTACTTACTTTCTTTACTTTATTTCCAAGCAAATGTTTGGAGGGAAACCAAGAGACTTGGATGCGGCCAGCCGAGGCCTTTGGGTTTACAATCACAAATGTTTTTGGTTTGCCCATGAAGGCCCAGGCTGCACTCTCTGATGTCACAGGAATCACCTCTCAAACCATGCACCAGGTCTTGAATTCCCTTAGGGTGTGATCTTTAGAGGTCCATCTAGGTATACCCACCCAAGCCATTCTTTGACTGCTGACAGGCCTTCCTTCATAACAAGGTGTTCCACAGTCCATTTATATATGGATGTCATCTCTGCCCACCCTGCTGCCAATTTGGTTTTCTCCCACTCCTGGGGTGTAAGGCAAGATGAAACATATCACATCCCGTTCTAAACTTTATTCTTGTGGCCAGGGGTCAGCAAACTTTTTCTGTAAAGGGCCAGATGGCAAATATCTTAGGTTTTACAGGCCAAGAAGCAAATTTGGCATATTATGTAGCTACTTATATAGTAAAATAAAAATTTCCACAATTATGTAATTGATGAAACTCAAAATGTAATAATAATAATCGAAGGCAGTTTTTTTGTAGTATAGGTTTAATAATGAGAAGAATGGAATCATTTTTGGAGGTGCTAACATTCTGCTTGGTTGGAATTTAAAGTTAGTGTTCTGTATCAGCAAATCCATTGCCAATGTTCATCTAAAAATGTTTTCACTTCTGGGCCGGATTTCGTTCAAAGGCTGCAGTTTGCTGACCTCTGCTCTTGGTTACACCTTTTGAGGCCCTTGCTCTCCGAGCATAAAATGGAATCCATTTATCAGACTAAATCGGGAAGATTAAATTTTCCAGCCTCACGAATGCTCAGCCATTGACTCACTCGTTCATACAATGAACACTCATTGAGCTTATACTACATGCCAGGTGCTGGAGGAGGCATGGGGCGCCCAGGAGAAAGATGCTCGCTTTGCGGCCACAGCCCAGTGGGAGGGAGACCCATACCTACCGGTGCTGTCTCAGAAACTTGTGGAACAAAGATGAAGCAATGTTCATGTTATTCGCCTACATCTGTGAATTACACAAGGAAGACGAGTTTGAGAAATCCGAAGTTCAGTACAAATTTATGGTAACTTTTTTAAAAAAGAATACACTGAAGTTTTCTTAGTGAATGGAATAATGTTCCCTTTTTCTCCCCTGTACACACAAATACACAAAAACTAACAAAAATACGTCGTGTGTGTCTGATTTGGGTTGTATTTAAATCATTTCATAAATGACTTTTTCCCATAACTTCAGTTTCAAAGTTTTAAAGCACAGTCAATTAATGATTTGGCAACAGCTAAGAAATCACAAGTTCCCTTCTTTTCATGTAAACTTCTGTAAAACACACGCTACGTTCTGCTGATGGTAAATAGAGCCATTTCAGGAAGTTAGCCAGTTTCTCTTCTCGGCCACCTCCTGCATAGAGGGTACCATTCTGCGCTGCTGCAAGTTACGGAATGAAAAATTAGAACAACAGAAACATGGTAAGCCACTTCTATTTCTTTAGCAAAGCTTTCCAACAGAATATGGGGTTTCTGACCCAGAAATCTGGGTTGGTGGCAAATGGTGTGAGCCTAGAAAGTAATAAATGGGCAAATAAGGATAAAAATTAAAGATCGAAACAACTGTAAATGCAGGTAAAGCGGCTTGCTATGATCTTTAATTTGTGCACACGTTAGTATAAAGGAATTAGAGAGTAAATTTTGAAAATCAAATGCAGTGATGATCTTACTAATTTGGACAGGAAAATAAGAAAATTTCAAGTTAGAAATTGAACTGGAAATATTACTTACTGGCCCTACCAGAGACAATATCCTCTTCCAGAACAACAGGGTTGGAAGAGAAGGTGAGGGAAATATTCTTCCTTTGCTATTTCTGTAGAAAAGGACAAACTCTCTTCCTTCACATACATAGGTCAATTGCTAGATCCTAGTGAAGCCTGAGCTTAACCTACTGTTGGAGGCTTAAAGTTCGACATTAATTGCTACTTTTCTTGGTCAGAGTTTTAAATAATTAGGTTGGTACAAAAAACTGTGATTACTTTTCCACCAACCTAATAACATGCTACAATTTCTGTAATTATTATTTTACACTGTCAAGACATAGCAGGTGGTCCGTTTTTGTTATTGTCAAGAACTGTCAGACTAAAAATGAACTTTACACTTCTTTTTAAATGATACATTTTCTAGAAAATTCAATGAGGTTTAAGAGCAATTGAAAAGTCTGATTTCAAGAGAGTCTCATCCAAAATGTACTATATATTTTTCCCCAAAGTCCTTGGAGTTAATTTTGACAACAATTTAAAGTACACTTAAGTCTTTTGAAGTTAATGGGTCTGCCACCCAGGTTGGAGTGCAGTGGCGTGATCTCAGCTCACTGCAACCTCCGCCTCCCGGGTTCAAGCGATTCTCCTGCCTCAACCTCCCAAGTAGCTGGGACTACAGGTGTGTGCCACCACGCCTGGCTAATTTTTGTATTTTTAGTAGAGACGGGGTTTCTCCATGTTGGCCAGGCTGGTCTCGAACTCCTGACCTCAGGTGATCCGCCTGTCTCAGCCTCCCAAAGTGCTGGGATTACAGGCATGAGCCACCGCGCCCGGCCTGAAGTTAATTTTTATACCCACCTAATGTTCATTATGGATCTTGAAGGTAAATTAATTCTGCACTAAAATTTTACAATGCTTTACAAAATGACTGTAGGTGGCCCATATGGAATTCGGTCAACTGGGCCAATGACACATATGGGATTGCAGTTGAAATTATCCAATTCCTACTTGATATTTGTAAGCTGCTGTGATAGCCAGTATAATTGTACTGTAAGAATGTGGTAAATAGCCGGGGCCCGGTGGCTCACGCCTATAATCCCAGCACTTTGGGAAGCCGACGTGGGCGGATCACTTGAGGTCAGTAGGTAGAGACCAGCCCGGTCAACACGGCAAAACCTCGTCTCTACTAAAAATACAAAAATTAGCCAGGTGTGGTGGTACGCACCTGTAGTCCCAGCTACTCAGGAGGCTGAGGCAGGAGAATCGCTTGAGCCCATGAGGTGGATGTTGCAGTGAGCAAAGATCGCACCATTGTACTCCAGCCTGGGCAACGGAGTAAGACTCTGTTTCAAAACAACAACAACAACAACAACAACAGATTGGTAAATAGAGTAATAATAAAATCAAATTAAACTTGCAAAAAATGGCCACTTTGCTCCCACTGGTGGCCAATGGAGGTCAAGGACCTGGCTGACCTCCTGCCTAAAGGCAGAGGTTGTTAGCCTTCGCAATGGACTCAAATCAGAGGGGGAGCTTTCAAAACTCCTGCTGCCCAGACTGAACCCCAGATCAATGAAACCAAAATCTCTGGATACAGGGCTTGGCATTTGTAGCTTTTAGAGTTCCTAAGTATCTCTACTGTGCAGCCAAAGTTAAGAATCAGTGCCTTAGAACATCAACAGTTTTTTGGTCCTTTTGTTAAAAAGCACAGTCCGTTTTTTTAGGTGGCTAGAAATGCTCCAGGAAGAGCTGAAATGTATTTACCAGCCACCTTGGTTTGATTTTAGAAAGCAAAATAGAAGTTCTAAGTATGCTTTCTCTGAAAAGCTGAGACTGCAGATAAGAGTGAGGGCAGTTGATGGAGTTCATTCTCCTCTTTCAATCACTGCTTCTCATCCTTTCATTATAATAATCTAAGAATCTCAGAGATTATGAAAGAGAAAGCAGTCTTATGGAAGACCCCAGACTCACAGAATATTAGGGTGTGTTTCACAGGGAAGGATGTCATTACCCACAGTTAGTCTTTGAAACGCAGTTGGACATTATTTGTAAGTGCATCATAGTGTCGCCTCCAGGTTCCATTGAGGGGAACGTCATTCCAATGCAACATCTCTGAGTTCATCTGGGTTATTAAATGGGGTTGAGGGATTTGTTATTTTTAAATTAGTAGCCCCAATTTAGGACTACTCAAGACCATAGGACAAGCCTGTCCAACCCTCGGCCTGCGGGCTGCATATGGCCGAGGACAGCTTTGAATGCAGCCCAAGACAAATTCATAAACTTTCTGAAAATATTATGCATTTGTTTTTTAGCCCATCAGCTACTGTTAGTGTTAGTGTATTTTATGTGTGGCCCAAGACAATTCTTCTTCTTCCAGTGTGGCCCAGAGAAGCTGAAAGATTGGACACCCCTGCTATAAGACACAGTAATATAAATACATAACCTGTGGTTCTGGATTGGCATTAGCAGATACAGGCTGTGTTGATTTTGCAGAAAGTTACAAAGAGCTGCTAGTTGGTGTGTATGTCTAAAATCAGTAGATTTCCTGTGGTTCTAAGGAATGACAAAGAATCTGGAAGTTCTCTGTGGTAGCCTGCTCAGTGCAGAAAGGGAACGTGGAAAATCCGCCACCAGCATTTGAGTCTTGGAGGTTCCACATAGGGCTATCAGGTCTCTGCTGATCACTGAAACCAGATCATGGCCAACTAGCCCCTTGGCTTCAGCCCTCCCAATTCATTAACTACTCAGGTAAATCTAGGGTCACTTTCAACTCTACCACCTACCATCTGAGTGACCTTGAAAACATTCATCTCTCTGAGCCTCAGGTCCCATGTCTGTAAAGCAGGGGCCTCATGGACTTCTTTGGGTTTTTTTGTTTTTGTTTTTGTTTCTGAGGATTAAACAAATGCTCCCTACCCTATTTCCCAGCATCCAGTAACACAGTTTTTCATATTTTTGTGTATGTTAAGTCAGGACCCATCTCTTTAATGATAAGTGCACTTAATGTGGTCATGTTTTCTTTTGTCTTCCAAAGCTGTTAGTGAATCCATTGAATTTGGGATGGGTAAAATAAAGTATCTATTATTAATTGTAAATTTCATCTAAAGTGACAAATCCTACCTGCATAACCATTTCTTAATTTCCTTTCATCATGTATCAGTGGTCAACATTGTTAACTGCGAATGAATCAGAATCCATCAAAAATTAGAACTATTTCCAGTCTGGCAAAAATTCAGCTCTGGTTGAATCCAAACATTGTGCTGAAGCAGCTAAGTAATTCAACTGAGGAGATTAATTACATGTTATAATCAATAGGTTCTCTTGACACTTCAGTGTTAGGGAACATCAGCAAGACCCATCCCAGGAGACCTTGAAGGAAGCCTTTGAAAGGGAGAATGAAGGAGTCATCTTTGCAAAATAGCTCCTGCAGCCTGGGAAAGGAGACTAAAAAGGTAAAAAGCTGTTAATTCCAGGAAGACAGCTTTACGCCCCTCCCAGACCACCTGCACTGCACACTACGTGGAATTTATTTTAGTCTCACATGGCAGCGTCCCTACCTTTGTGCCCACACATCTGGTCTCCGCCCTGGCTGCAGCCCTCCCCTTCAGGCGAATTCTGGGTGTGTCCTATCTGCTCATTGCAACTCCCAGCGAATGAGTTTTCAGCGAAGGCAGACTTTCTGACCTGTTCTTCAAACTGCACTGGTCTTTTAAAAACGTGTTTGGTGGCCATCAGCATCCAATTTCAGAAGAAAGATTTGGGTGAGGACTGAGAGAGGCTGTTGTTGTTGTGCTGTCTGTTTCCTTCAGAATCTGCAGAAGAAAATTGGCAGGTCATGTACTGTGGACCTAACCAAAGGACAAATGATGTATGGAAAATAGAAAAACTGTTGTGAAATTGCTTCCTCATTAGCAATAACTGTATTTGGCAGGGAGAGGAGAAGTTGGGCACATTTTTTTTTCTTTTTTTTTTCATGATTCATACGTTTTCTTTAAAGAAGTGGGTTTTGCTTTTCACTGGGTGCTCTAAGACAACCCCAGTGAAAGATCTGGACCACGAAGACCCAGTCATCCTCATAAGGGTGTTCATTGCAGCAAGCTCAAGGGCATGCCAGGCAAAGGCCTTTTTTCTGGCAGCTTGAACTTGTCTCAGCAGAGGGTTTCACAGAACAACTGTCATTTACCTGTTCTCTGCTCTTACTTGATTCGTTTCCCAGGACTGCTGAAACAAAGTACCACAAACTTGGTGGATCAAAACAGCAGAAATATATCCTCTCACAGTTCTGGAAACCACAAGTCAGAAACCAATGTGTTGTTGGCAGGGTTGGTTCCTTCTTAAGGGGCTAGAGGGAAAATCTGTTTCATGCTCCTCTCCCAGCTTCTGGTGGTAGCTAGCAATTCTTGATGCTCTCTGGCTTGCCGCTGCATCTCTCTAGCCTTCACCTCTCCTCATGTGGGTGGCCTTCTTTCCTGTGTGTCTATTTCCAAATTCCCCTTTTCTTATAAGGGGACCAGTTATTGGATCAGGGCCCACCTTAATTCAGTAGATCCCATTTTAACTTGATGACATCAGCAAAGTCCAAATAAGGTTGTATTCACAGGTACCAGGGGTTAGAACTTCAAGTTATCTATTAGGGGACACAATTCAACCTAAAAACTCCCCTTTTTTGATTCTCTATTCTGCCACTTCTACTCAATCCAGGTTCTTCACTTCATCAGCTCCCAATCTAATACTTATCTTATTTCTAGTAAGCATCTCTTCCTTATCTTAACTGGTCCCTGGGGCCTGGCCCGAGCCCCATTATACCATCAGCTGTTGACATCAAGGGTGGACTTCTCTTTCGGCACAGAAGGCACAGGGCTGTAGGCTTCAGCCTTCTCTGCTTTGCTCTGCCCCATCTACTGTTCATCCACCTGCTTTCCATTTTGCTAAACTTTGTAGAAAATTCTTGTCAGCTGTTGTCTCCTCCTACACTTTCTTTGATCTTAGAGGATTCTATTCTTTTACTATGGCTTTAATCGGAGCACCCGACTGTTAGGTTCAACCAACAGAAGTTGGTTGTGCTCTCTCACTCTTTCTTTCTCTCTCTCTCTCTTTCTCTCTATTTGCATAGTGGTATTTTTTTTTTCCTCTATTTTATTGGCAGAATTGCCATTTCTCTAAGTTATTGTAGAGTTGCTGTTTCTCTATTTTATTTGCATATTTCTCTTCTGCCAGGCTGGATTGTTTCTATTGATTGGTTCTGCTGTAATGAGGGTGACTTCTCATTAGTATCCTTCTCACTTCATCTGGGACCAGATGCCCTTTGATATCCTTTTGGAGCCACAACTTTTGGTAGTCAGAGGCATGGGTGTGGCTCAAAGGAAGAACTTGGCTCAGAAGGTGCAGCTCTTGCTGGGCCTTTGGTCTCTGCTCTGTCTTCTGAGATCAGTGGCTGCTGGGACCTGGGGTTCCCCCATGCCGGGCATGGTCACACAGCACTCCTATGGACTTGAGCAGAGCACCCTGCAAAGTGAGCATTAGCAATCCATTCCAACTCTGTGCAGTCCTGCACGGAATATAGAAGGTGGAGCAATGACAGTCTCCCCAACTTCTCTGCAAGCAACCTGCTCACCATTTCTTGCCCTTCCCATTTATGTACTTTTCAAAATCAGGTTATTTGGAATTTGTCGACTCATGTTTCTTACTTCAGTACTTTTTTGGGAGGGCAGCATTAGAAACCTCAAACTCTTAACTAAAAAATGTCTTTGGGAATGTTCTGGCCATTTTCATGGCCCACAATTTGCTTTAAGCTGCTTTAGACTCTCCCAGAGGCTATTTTCATCCCGAAAGAACAGAGCAGAGCTCAAAAGACTCCAGTTTTGGTCTCTAGCAGCCCCTAGAGGATTTCCCCCTCAATTCCTCTCTGCCTTGTATGAAATAGAATTGGATTTGAAATCGGATGTTGAGGCCTTACCTCCAGGCTAGTGAGGCCACACAAGATGGATCCTCTGGACCCGCCCAAGTGTCCACCTAAACATGAGTTACCAACTAACAATGTTTTGTTTAGCATGCAAAGGGAGTGGTCTGGAATCTGGCCTTGCCCTGACATATTCTCCTTGGGCCTTTTTAAAAAAATAATTTGTGTTAATCTGTAGTTAAAAATTATAATAAGGACCTGACAAACACTACCTCAGTCAGATGATCAAGGTACACATAAATAGTGAAAGTCATGTTGATAGCATGCACCCTTCATATGATATGGCTAGAATGGCCCTGCACTTCTGTGATCTTCCTCCCCTAGACTCATCAGCTCGATCTAATCATAACAAAAGCATCAGATAAGTCCCCGCCCAGGGACATTCTACATAACCATTTCCCTTCCCAGTTATATTTTTCTCCACAATACTTTCCACCATCTAACATTCTATCTTTCAAAATGGGCAAGTATTTTAGCCTGGTTTGTTCATTGTTTTATCTGCAACTCAAATACAGTTCCTGAAATAAAATATCTGCCTAATAAATATTTAATGAATGAATGAATATAGCATTGCCTTATCCGTTTAATTGCCACATGGTATTTCATTGTGTGAACATAATATCGTTTATTTACCCAGACTACTACTCATAGGCATTTAGATTATTTCCGGTCTTTTGCTATTGCTAACAGCCTTTGCAATGAACATCCTTGTATACAGACATTTGCATATATGAGGGTGTGTCTTTAGGATCTACTTCTAGAATTGAAATTGCCAACTCCAAGTATATGTTTCCAATTGTGATAGATATTACACATTACCCTCCATCTTAGAGGTGGTGTTAATTTAGATTCCTGCCAGCAAAATTTAAGAGTGTTTGTTTCCCCATATCCTCAACTGCCTAACAGAATCAGTGAAAAATGGTATGACAGTGTAATTTTTGAGTGAGGTTGAGTATCTTTTCCTATGCTTTAAGAGCAATTTATGTTTCCTTTTTATGTGAACTGTCTGTTAATATATTTTTTCAATTTTTCTATTGGGTTATTTGTCTTTTCATTAATGCATATACCTGTTACATATTTATACCAAGTATGTATTAAATACTAACATATTGATGAAACAGAGCAAAAAGCCTAGAAATAGATCCAAATAACAGAAGAGTTAGTATGTGATACAGGAAGCCTATAAAATCAGTGAGCAAAAGACCATCCAATTAATAACGTTAGGGTAAATGGGTCTCCATTTAGAAAAAAATAATGTGGGTCTACACCTCACATTTTATACCTAAACAATTCCAGTGGGATAAGAAAATGAAATCATAAAAAATTACTAGGAAAAAGATGAGAAAATTGTTCATAAAACTGAAGTGTGGAAGATCCTTTATGCCTTACACTGCCCTGAGTGATCTCATTCATACCCATGGCTTCAATTGTCATGAATCCCAAATTCATTCCTCTGTCAGAACTCTCTTCTGAGCTTCAGACCCACATACTCAGCTGCCTACTGGACACCTCTACTTGAATATCACAAACTCAACTCAAAAGCAAACCTGTCAAATTTAATTACTAGTAGCCCTACCCCAAACAATCTTCCTGCTCAGTGAATGACACCCATCCCTCCAGGTGCACAGACCAGGAACCTAGAAGTCACTCTGATTGCATCCCTCTCCCTCACAACCTCTACCTCCCTTTATTCATCCATTGCTATGTCTCTCAAATGTACCTCCCAAATATCTCTTGAACGCGTTCTTTTCTATCTCTATTGCCACCACCCTAGTTCAAACTCCCATCATCTCATGACTGAAGTTCTGTGCCCTCTTGCCAGTGAACACTGTAGAATCAATCTAAACATGGTGCCACCCTGCTTAAAAACCTTCAAAGGCTCACATCACTTCTCAGATGAAGAGATTGGGGAGACGTTGGTAATAGGACACAAAATTTCAGTTAGGCAGGAGGAAAAAGTTCTATTGAAGAACTCTATTGTACAATATGGTGACTATAGTTAATAACAACATATTATACACTTGAAAATCACTAAGAGAGTCCATTTTAAGTGTTCTCATGACCAAAAAATGATAAGTATATGAGGTAATGCATATGTGAATTAGCTTGACTGAGGCATTCTACATGTATACATATTTCGAAACATCATGTTGTACATCATAAATGCATACACTTTTTAGTTGTCAATTTAATTAATATTTTTTAAACCTACTCTGGCCTTTTTTTCCTTTTTTGAGACGGGTGGTCTCTGTCCCCCATGCTAGAGTGCAGTGCGCAATCATGGCTCACTGCAGCCTCCACCTCCCAGTCTCAGGCGATTCTCCAGTCTCAGCCTCCCAAGTAGCTGGGACCACAAGCATGAGCCACCATGCCCCGCTATTTGTTTTTGTATTTTTTGTAGAGATGGGATCTCGCCACATGGCCCAGTCTGGTGTCCAACTCCTGAGCTCCAGTGATCCACCTGCCTCAGCTTCCCAAACTGCTGGGATTACAGGCGTGAGCCACTGTGCCTGGTCCACTCTGGTCTTTACTCAAGTCCCTGGCTTTCTCTCAGTCTCTTAAACTTATGTGCTTAGTAAGATGAGGACTGAAAAATGTCCACAGAACATAGTGACATGGAGATACTGAGAACCTCAACGACATCTCCATTAGCCACTTCCTCTGTGCCATTCCAGTCCTCTGGGCCCCACTGTGGCAAGCAGTCCTACCATGGCAAACATGAAAGCTGATGTGCCTTGTCTTAGACCCACACCATATCTCTCTGAATTCCTGTCCCAGGGCTTCTCTGGAGGTACAGCCTGGGAAACTCACGGGAATAGACACAGGGCCTTTGCACATGCTGCTCCCTTTTCCTGAAAAATTCCTTTGACATCTTGGTTGTGCCTTACACATGCCTACTCAACCTTAGGATTGCAGTTCAGGTTTCACTCCTTTTTTTTTTTTCTTTTTGAGACGGAGTTTCACTCTTGTTGCCCAGGCTGGAGTGCAATGGTGTGATCCTGGCTCACCACAACCTCTGCCTCCTGGGTTCAAGTGATTCTCCTGCCTCAACCTCCTGAGTAGCTGGGATTATAGTCATGCACCACCACGCCCAGCTAATTTTGTATTTTTAGTAGAGACAGTGTTTCTCTATGTTGGCCAGGCTGGTCTCGAACTCCCGACCTCAGGTGATCGGCCCGCCTCGGCCTAGGTTCCACTTCTTTATGGAAATCTTCCCCAGTTGCCTTGACTAGGCCAAAGTCCCCTCTTCTTAGGCTCTTACAGTGTCATGCACTTCTTTTTTATCACAGTGTAAACCTTGTAATGTTGTGTTTAAGTCATATCTGTTGTACCCATGAGACTGGGAGCCAATTCATATATTGTGAGTGTAATCGAACAGACTTCCCAGGCCACCCACTAGCTAATCAAGGCAGGGATGAGTCCGGAAAGTGACTTTGAAATCTAGCAATGTTGGAACTTGGAAATCACACAGGCTGAGATCTGCTCAGGTGCCTGAACAAATATAGCATTGCCTGTGGCGTCTCCCTCAAAGTGCCTTGCATGTCTGAGCCCCGTTGCCCCTTCCTTTGGTGTGCCTGTGTCTCCCGGTACAGATGTGAAGCCTGGAGACCTGTGGCTGCCTCTGCAGGAGCTCCATGTTTTCAAGCCATAAATCATCTTAGAATTCATAGCATCTAGATATATTAGTTTTCTATTACTGCAGAACAAATCGCTCCCAAATGTAGAGGCTTCAAAGAATGCCCATTGATTGGCCTTAATTTCTGTAAGTTAGAATCTGGGCAGGTTTGCCTGAGTTCTCCACTCCAAGTCTCATAAAGCCAAGCTGGGCTGTCATCTGGAGGCTCTGAGTAAAAATTTGTTTCCAGGTTCATCCAGATTGTCAGGTGATTTCAGTTCCTTGCAGTTGTTGTTCGACTCACTACCCCACCACCACCCCGAAAACCTCATTTCCTTGCTAGCTGCCTGCAGAGAGCCACTCTCAGCTTCCACAGGCTGCTTGCATTCCTTGTTGTGGGGCCGCTACCTCCTCAAGCCAGAAATAGGGCATCCAGTTCTTCTCATGCATCCTACCCCTCTGACTTTTCCTTCTGCCGATAACCAGAAAAAACGTTCCGCCTTCAAACGCTCGTATGATTAGACTAAGCCCATCCAGATAAATTCCCATATGCCATATACTATAATGTCATCACAGCAGTAATACCCGGGACAAAATTCATGGGGGTCATCTTAAAATTCTGCCTATCACACCAGGTATAGTAGAGGCTTGTTTTAGTGCAAGTTAAACATTAAGCAGCAACATCACGATAGTGCTGCATTTGAAAATAACTACTAGCAACTGAACATGTCTGGGAGTTCTGCTCCACTTTAATTTCCATCTCAAAAGGAGCTGGGTTTTCCTTGGCTGTTACAAATGGGCAATAATGATTGAGCTTAAGAATAATCAATGTCCACATAAAAATCTTTTATAACATAGTGAGAGTGTGACATATAAAGGTGTTAGTTCACCGGCCCTAAATTTTAGGAGAATTTTTAAAAAGGCACTTATCTGGTTTAATCCATAATAAAGACATGAGTTGGGCTTTAGTGAAAAATCTAGGCTGGTTTCTGTGTTCAGTGAAAGAAGATTTGAGAGTTCTCTTAATTACAACCCTTGATCAAACCTACCACATTAATCTGTTTATTGCATTGTATGGTTACCAAAAGTGATATATTCAGCCCTCTATTTATTAAGAAACAGTTACAGAAAGTGAGGCACTCTCCTGTGTTACTGAGGGTGCATAAAAATATAAAGCACCATGTGTCTTCCCTAGAGAAGTTTCAAAACTAGCAAGCAAATAGCTATTAATGCTAATGTTTGTGTGATAGGGAACATATGAGTAGTAATTATTCCACAAACAATTTTTTGAGTGCTGTTTACATTTGAGGCACAGTTCAGGCACGAGGATTTCAAAAGGAGATTGTGTAGCATGATGGCTTGTTAAAAATATGATTTTGGAATCAGATTTGCTCAAGTCCCAGTGCTACAGCATACCATCCTTCAAAAAGGTACTTAAGTCTCTGAGTTTGTTTTCTCATCTGCAAAATATAAATAATAAGAGGACCTACTGCGTCATGTTCTTGTGAGCATTAATGTGGGTGATGAAATGTTTATGAAGCACTTAGCACAATACCTGACATTTTGTTTGTTATTATTATCAACATAAAGTGCCCACTTTCCAGTCATGCAAGAAGAAAACATAATATATGTCACCATAGAAGTATAGAACAATTGTGGGAAATACCAGTAAGAGAGATATAGCTGTATAAATAAGGTAAAGATGACTGCCTAGAAGATCTAGGATGATACCATATTAGAAGTTGCATCTGAACTCTCCTTGGGGACTGGCCAAAGTTTCATCAAGTGTCATGTCAGTAGGTTGGTGCTATAAATATATAGCTTGCAAAGCTATAGACTTACTATAAACCATAGCTGTGGTCCAGCTTAGACTCATTATGGTGGTGGAGTATCTTGATTAATGGCCTCTGCAGAAGCTTCCCAGGTCTTCTCATCATCATAATCTCAGATAGCTTCATCTTCAACTTCCTTTTTTTTGTTGTTTTTGAGACAGGGTCTCACTCTGTCATCCAGGATGGAGTGCAGTGGCACAATCATGGCTCACTGCAGCCTCGACCTCAGGAGCTCAAGCCATCCTCCCACTTCAGCCTCCCGAGTAGTTGGGACTACAGGCATGCACCACTACGCCCGGCTAATTTTTTCATTTTTTTGTAGAGTCAGGGTCTCCCTATGCTGCCCAGTCTGGTCTCAAACTCCTGGGCTCAAACCATCTTTCCACCTCGGCCTCCCAAAATGTTGGGATTACAGGTGTGAGCCACCACACACAGCCCATCTTCAACTTCTTTTAGCACCATGAAGCTGAACATAGTAAAAAAGTAAAATCATTCTGGACCTAATCTGATGCAATTTATTTAATTGTTAAGTGAATGCACACATCAAAATTCATACAAGTATGGGGCAGCGCTGCTAATTTATTTACAAAACACCTGGCAAATACTGCTACTCTAATACTGTGCTTCCACTTTTGATTTTCCTTAGGAAAACATGTTCCTTCAGTCGTCAATGCTGACCTGCATTTTCCTGCTAATATCTGGTTCCTGTGAGTTATGCGCCGAAGAAAATTTTTCTAGAAGCTATCCTTGTGATGAGAAAAAGCAAAATGACTCAGTTATTGCAGAGTGCAGCAATCGTCGACTACAGGAAGTTCCCCAAACGGTGGGCAAATATGTGACAGAACTAGACCTGTCTGATAATTTCATCACACACATAACGAATGAATCATTTCAAGGGCTGCAAAATCTCACTAAAATAAATCTAAACCACAACCCCAATGTACAGCACCAGAACGGAAATCCCGGTATACAATCAAATGGCTTGAATATCACAGACGGGGCATTCCTCAACCTAAAAAACCTAAGGGAGTTACTGCTTGAAGACAACCAGTTACCCCAAATACCCTCTGGTTTGCCAGAGTCTTTGACAGAACTTAGTCTAATTCAAAACAATATATACAACATAACTAAAGAGGGCATTTCAAGACTTATAAACTTGAAAAATCTCTATTTGGCCTGGAACTGCTATTTTAACAAAGTTTGCGAGAAAACTAACATAGAAGATGGAGTATTTGAAACGCTGACAAATTTGGAGTTGCTATCACTATCTTTCAATTCTCTTTCACACGTGCCACCCAAACTGCCAAGCTCCCTACGCAAACTTTTTCTGAGCAACACCCAGATCAAATACATTAGTGAAGAAGATTTCAAGGGATTGATAAATTTAACATTACTAGATTTAAGCGGGAACTGTCCGAGGTGCTTCAATGCCCCATTTCCATGCGTGCCTTGTGATGGTGGTGCTTCAATTAATATAGATCGTTTTGCTTTTCAAAACTTGACCCAACTTCGATACCTAAACCTCTCTAGCACTTCCCTCAGGAAGATTAATGCTGCCTGGTTTAAAAATATGCCTCATCTGAAGGTGCTGGATCTTGAATTCAACTATTTAGTGGGAGAAATAGCCTCTGGGGCATTTTTAACGATGCTGCCCCGCTTAGAAATACTTGACTTGTCTTTTAACTATATAAAGGGGAGTTATCCACAGCATATTAATATTTCCAGAAACTTCTCTAAACTTTTGTCTCTACGGGCATTGCATTTAAGAGGTTATGTGTTCCAGGAACTCAGAGAAGATGATTTCCAGCCCCTGATGCAGCTTCCAAACTTATCGACTATCAACTTGGGTATTAATTTTATTAAGCAAATCGATTTCAAACTTTTCCAAAATTTCTCCAATCTGGAAATTATTTACTTGTCAGAAAACAGAATATCACCGTTGGTAAAAGATACCCGGCAGAGTTATGCAAATAGTTCCTCTTTTCAACGTCATATCCGGAAACGACGCTCAACAGATTTTGAGTTTGACCCACATTCGAACTTTTATCATTTCACCCGTCCTTTAATAAAGCCACAATGTGCTGCTTATGGAAAAGCCTTAGATTTAAGCCTCAACAGTATTTTCTTCATTGGGCCAAACCAATTTGAAAATCTTCCTGACATTGCCTGTTTAAATCTGTCTGCAAATAGCAATGCTCAAGTGTTAAGTGGAACTGAATTTTCAGCCATTCCTCATGTCAAATATTTGGATTTGACAAACAATAGACTAGACTTTGATAATGCTAGTGCTCTTACTGAATTGTCCGACTTGGAAGTTCTAGATCTCAGCTATAATTCACACTATTTCAGAATAGCAGGCGTAACACATCATCTAGAATTTATTCAAAATTTCACAAATCTAAAAGTTTTAAACTTGAGCCACAACAACATTTATACTTTAACAGATAAGTATAACCTGGAAAGCAAGTCCCTGGTAGAATTAGTTTTCAGTGGCAATCGCCTTGACATTTTGTGGAATGATGATGACAACAGGTATATCTCCATTTTCAAAGGTCTCAAGAATCTGACACGTCTGGATTTATCCCTTAATAGGCTGAAGCACATCCCAAATGAAGCATTCCTTAATTTGCCAGCGAGTCTCACTGAACTACATATAAATGATAATATGTTAAAGTTTTTTAACTGGACATTACTCCAGCAGTTTCCTCGTCTCGAGTTGCTTGACTTACGTGGAAACAAACTACTCTTTTTAACTGATAGCCTATCTGACTTTACATCTTCCCTTCGGACACTGCTGCTGAGTCATAACAGGATTTCCCACCTACCCTCTGGCTTTCTTTCTGAAGTCAGTAGTCTGAAGCACCTCGATTTAAGTTCCAATCTGCTAAAAACAATCAACAAATCCGCACTTGAAACTAAGACCACCACCAAATTATCTATGTTGGAACTACACGGAAACCCCTTTGAATGCACCTGTGACATTGGAGATTTCCGAAGATGGATGGATGAACATCTGAATGTCAAAATTCCCAGACTGGTAGATGTCATTTGTGCCAGTCCTGGGGATCAAAGAGGGAAGAGTATTGTGAGTCTGGAGCTAACAACTTGTGTTTCAGATGTCACTGCAGTGATATTATTTTTCTTCACGTTCTTTATCACCACCATGGTTATGTTGGCTGCCCTGGCTCACCATTTGTTTTACTGGGATGTTTGGTTTATATATAATGTGTGTTTAGCTAAGGTAAAAGGCTACAGGTCTCTTTCCACATCCCAAACTTTCTATGATGCTTACATTTCTTATGACACCAAAGATGCCTCTGTTACTGACTGGGTGATAAATGAGCTGCGCTACCACCTTGAAGAGAGCCGAGACAAAAACGTTCTCCTTTGTCTAGAGGAGAGGGATTGGGACCCGGGATTGGCCATCATCGACAACCTCATGCAGAGCATCAACCAAAGCAAGAAAACAGTATTTGTTTTAACCAAAAAATATGCAAAAAGCTGGAACTTTAAAACAGCTTTTTACTTGGCTTTGCAGAGGCTAATGGATGAGAACATGGATGTGATTATATTTATCCTGCTGGAGCCAGTGTTACAGCATTCTCAGTATTTGAGGCTACGGCAGCGGATCTGTAAGAGCTCCATCCTCCAGTGGCCTGACAACCCGAAGGCAGAAGGCTTGTTTTGGCAAACTCTGAGAAATGTGGTCTTGACTGAAAATGATTCACGGTATAACAATATGTATGTCGATTCCATTAAGCAATACTAACTGACGTTAAGTCATGATTTCGCGCCATAATAAAGATGCAAAGGAATGACATTTCTGTATTAGTTATCTATTGCTATGTAACAAATTATCCCAAAACTTAGTGGTTTAAAACAACACATTTGCTGGCCCACAGTTTTTGAGGGTCAGGAGTCCAGGCCCAGCATAACTGGGTCCTCTGCTCAGGGTGTCTCAGAGGCTGCAATGTAGGTGTTCACCAGAGACATAGGCATCACTGGGGTCACACTCATGTGGTTGTTTTCTGGATTCAATTCCTCCTGGGCTATTGGCCAAAGGCTATACTCATGTAAGCCATGCGAGCCTCTCCCACAAGGCAGCTTGCTTCATCAGAGCTAGCAAAAAAGAGAGGTTGCTAGCAAGATGAAGTCACAATCTTTTGTAATCGAATCAAAAAAGTGATATCTCATCACTTTGGCCATATTCTATTTGTTAGAAGTAAACCACAGGTCCCACCAGCTCCATGGGAGTGACCACCTCAGTCCAGGGAAAACAGCTGAAGACCAAGATGGTGAGCTCTGATTGCTTCAGTTGGTCATCAACTATTTTCCCTTGACTGCTGTCCTGGGATGGCCTGCTATCTTGATGATAGATTGTGAATATCAGGAGGCAGGGATCACTGTGGACCATCTTAGCAGTTGACCTAACACATCTTCTTTTCAATATCTAAGAACTTTTGCCACTGTGACTAATGGTCCTAATATTAAGCTGTTGTTTATATTTATCATATATCTATGGCTACATGGTTATATTATGCTGTGGTTGCGTTCGGTTTTATTTACAGTTGCTTTTACAAATATTTGCTGTAACATTTGACTTCTAAGGTTTAGATGCCATTTAAGAACTGAGATGGATAGCTTTTAAAGCATCTTTTACTTCTTACCATTTTTTAAAAGTATGCAGCTAAATTCGAAGCTTTTGGTCTATATTGTTAATTGCCATTGCTGTAAATCTTAAAATGAATGAATAAAAATGTTTCATTTTACAAGAGGAGTGTATGATAAATATATCATAGAGAAATTGGTCTTTAATATAAAAGAAATTGCCATATACACTGAATTTTTTCAGAACTCTTTTTAAAAAACTATTTGGTAGAAATCAAAGGGGAAGCAGTTTTCATGACACTTTTACTTTAAGATACTTATTAATAGATAAATTCTATCTTGATTCCCTACTCAGAAGACATAAAGTCAGAATGCCTGGCTGTTGGTAGCCTTTGTGCAATTCCCCCAAATGAAACAACTTTGGCAACCCTTTCCACTTCTACTGTCCCCTTGGTTCCTCTGCATCAGTCCATAGCATCCTCTATCCAGTATGAATCTTGAGATATCTAATGAAATTTACCTGAGAATAACTAGAAATTATCCAAGCATAAGAAAAGGAAGTTGCTTCAGAATGAAAAGAAGATAAACCTCCAATATACCATCTTTCCTTTTTAGTTAAATCTTACAGCATGAGTTACCTTTTAATATGTGCTTCTAAGAAACTGACCAAAATAATGTGTCATAGTGTTATTTAATACGCACAAAGTGGAAAGCAGTGCAAGTTTGCCAAGGACAATTTAATTTTGTCACATTGCATGCTGTTTTGTGACCATGAAGAGTTTATACAAAGATGTTTATGCTTGTGCTTGTTGAGGTATAGGGACAAATATCTAAAAGCAAGATCAGATGGGTGTGGTATCTCACACCTATAATCCTTGGATTAAAATCTACCTCAATTGTAGGACTACCAGTTGAACCACATGCTTCCCACTGCCCTCAGCAAAGGGCACCTTAGTTAGAGGAAAGGTAGAGCCTTTCTATGGAGGAGGAATTTGTGAGGTTTGAGTTTTATCAGCTACCTGGGAGTCAGACCCTGATAGATTCTCCTTCACACTCCCTGGACCTTTTCCTGCCAAGTGGAGGCTCTCACTCAGAGGAAATCTCCATTCTTTTGATGCAGGTCATTCATACTCAGATATTCTGCACTGTTCAAGCAATAAAAATTGAATGAGCACCTATTATGTACACCAGTTGGCACTGTGTCAAAATGTACTTGTGCAGAGACCTTGGATCATTGGTGACAGGTCTTCTTCTCCTCTGCATTTTTCTCAAGACCAGGCCTCAGTGTAGCATGTTTCCATGGAGTGAAAGAGGGGAAGGAAGAGTGGGCTTTGGAAAGTGGCAGCTGTGTCATAGCAGTCAGCCTCTGTGTATGTGAAGGACTTTCCAGAGCCCCCCCACTAAAGCCTCCATGCTCCTCCTGGGACTGCCACAGTTCTTGAAACTATCCATACAGTCTTCATGAGTTATTTTTAATTTTTTTTTCTTCTTTTCTCTTTCCTCCTTTTCCCCTTTTCCCCACTCCCTAGTTAGATCTTTAAAAATGCAATTGTAACCTTTATCTTCCCTTCACCAGACACTCCCTACAGGGCAAGCTTATGTATACGCTTACCTAAAAGCTCCAGAGCCAGAAATCTCTCCCACTCGGGGACTGCCTCAAGAGACAGCAGTCAATTTACAACCTAAAGCATGCCCACAACAAAACTCTCTCCCACCTGGAGGATATCTTGAGGCAATGGTCACTTTACAACCTAGTTCTGCCTGCAATGGCACCAGCTCAACCACCTGGTACATAAGACACAAAAGCAAGTTGCATAGACCTCACCTTCTCACTCCCTTCCCTGCATGCCATTAATGCCAACTCCCCCTTTAAAAGCCCCTGCTTTCTGCCCCAAAAGCAAAGTGATACCCTTAAAGTCAGGAGCCTATACTTCTTCCCCCTAAGCTAATTTTTGGAATAAAAGTCATTTTATTGAGAACCTCCATAAACTGTTGGTGGGAATATAAATTAGTAAACCATGATGGAGAACAGTTTGGAGTTTCCTCAAAGAACTAAAAATCGAATTACCATATGACCCAGCAATCCCACTGCTGGGTATACACCCAAAAGAAAGGAAGTAATTATATTGAAGAGATATCTGCACTCCCATGTTTGCTGCAGCACTGTTTACAATAGCTGAGATTTGCAGCAACCTAAGTGTCTATCAACAGATGAATGGATAAAGAAAATGTGGTACACATACAAAATGGAGTACTAGTCAGCCATAAAAAGAATGAGATCCTGTCATTTGCAACAACATGGATGGAACTGGAGGTCATTATGTTAAGTGAAATAAGCCAGACACAGAAAGACAAATATCAAATGTTCTCACTTATTTGTGGGATCTAAAAATTAAAACAATTCAACTCATGGACATAGAGAGTAGAAGGATGGTTACCAGAGGCTGGGAGGGGAAGTGGAAGCTAGGGGAGGTGGGGATGGTTAATGGGTACAAAAAAATAGAAAGAATGAATTAGATCTACTATTTGATAGCACAACAGAGTGACTATAGTCAATAATAATTTAACTGTACTTTTTAAAAATAACAAAAATCGTGTAATTGGACTGTTTATAACTCAAAGAATAAATGCTTGAGGGGATGGATATCCCATTCTCCATGATGTGATTACCCATTGCATGTATCAAAACATCTCGTGTACCCCCTAAATATATACACCTACTATGTATCCACAAAAACTAAAAATAAAATTTTGTTTAAAAAGTCACTTTCTTTATACCACATCTCACCCTTGTTAATTGGACTCTGCGAGGGGTGAACAACTGGACCTGTGATTCAGTTAAAATTAGATCCTCAGGCACCTTCTGTTGAGAAAGAATAGGTCTCAAATGTTGCAAATCTCTTTTACCTTTCTCAAGGTTCTAGCCTCTCCTATCACCAATTTAGGTAAGAATATAAAATCATCAGGCCTGTGTTACCTCAACTATCTTCCTCTTTGATCCAAAACGTATACTTAGTGGACAAAGGCTTTTTGGACAACTAATATGTGCTAAGTCTTAAGGTGGGTTCAGAAATGGCCAGGATCCATCAACTAATCAATGGATAAATAAAATGTGATCTATCCATACAATGGAATATTATTCAGCCATAAAATGTAATGAAGCACTAATACTATGATGCAACATGGATGAACTTTGAAAACATCATGCTAATAGACCAATAACAGGCTCTGAAATTGTGGCAATAATCAATAGCTTGCTAACCAAAAAGAGTCCAGGACCAGATGGATTCACAGCCGAATTCTACCAGAGGTACAAGGAGGAACTGGTACCATTCCTTCTGAAACTATTCCAATCAATAGAAAAAGAGGGGATCCTCCCTAACTCATTTTATGAGGCCAGAGTCATCCTGATACCAAAGCCGGGCAGAGACACAACCAAGAAAGAGAATTTTAGACCAATATCCTTGATGAACATTGATGCAAAAATCCTCAATAAAATACTGGCAAACCGAATCCAGCAGCACATCAAAAAGCTTATGCACCATGATCAAGTGGGCTTCATCCCTGGGATGCAAGGCTGGTTCAATATATGCAAATCAATAAACGTAATCCAGCATATAAACAGAACCAAAGACAAAAACCACATGATTATCTCAATAGATGCAGAAAAGGCCTTTGACAAAATTCAACAGCCTTTCATGCTAAAAACTCTCAATAAATTAGGTATTGATGGGATGTATCTCAAAATAATAAGAGCTATCTATGACCAACCCACAGCCAGTATCATACTGAATGGGCAAAAACTGGAAGCATTCCCTTTGAAAACTGGCACAAGACAGGGATGCCCTCTCTCACCACTCCTATTCAACATAGTGTTGGAAGTTCTGGCCAAGGCAATTAGGCAGGAGAAGGAAATAAAGGGTATTCAATTAGGAAAAGAGGAAGTCAAATTGTCCCTGTTTGCAGATGACATGATTGTATATCTAGAAAACCCCATCGTCTCAGCCCCAAATCTCCTTAAGCTGATAAGCAACATCAGCAAAGTCTCAGGATACAAAATCAATGTACAAAAATCACAAGCATTCCTATACACCAATAACAGACAAACAGAGAGCCAAATCATGAGTGAACTCCCATTCACAATTGCTTCAAAGAGAATAAAATACCTAGGAATCCAACTTACAAGGGATGTGAAGGACCTCTTCAAGGAGAACTACAAACCACTGCTCAAGGAAATAAAAGAGGACACAAACAAATGGAAGAACATTCCATGCTCATGGGTAGGAAGAATCAATATCGTGAAAATGGCCATACTGCCCAAGGTAATTTATAGATTCAATGCCATCCCCATCAAGCTACCAATGACTTTCTTCAAAGAATTGGAAAAAACTACTTTAAAGTTCATATGGCACCAAAGAAGAGCCCGCATCGCCAAGTCAATCCTAAGCCAAAAGAACAAAGCTGGAGGCATCACGCTACCTGACTTCAAACTATACTACAAGGCTACAGTAAACAAAACAGCATGGTACTGGTACCAAAACAGAGATATAGATCAATGGAACAGAACAGAGCCCTCAGAAATAACGCCGCACATCTACAACTATCTGATCTTTGACAAACCTGAGAAAAACAAGCAATGGGGAAAAGATTCCCTATTTAATAAATGGTGCTGGGAAAACTGGCTAGCCATATGTAGAAAGCTGAAACTGGATCCCTTCCTTACACCTTATACAAAAATTAATTCGAGATGGATTAAAGACTTAAACGTTAGACCTAAAACCATAAAAACCCTAGAAGAAAACCTAGGCATTACCATTCAGGACATAGGCATGGACAAGGACTTCATGTCTAAAACATCAAAAGCAATGGCAACAAAAGCCAAAATTGACAAATGGGATCTAATTAAACTAAAGAGCTTCTGCACAGCAAAAGAAACTACCATCAGAGTGAACAGGCAACCTACAGAATGGGAGAAAATTTTCGCAACCTACTCATCTGACAAAGGGCTAATATTCAGAATCTACAAGGAACTCAAACAAATTTACAAGAAAAAAAAAAAACAACCCCATCAAAAAGTGGGCAAAGGACATGAACAGACACTTCTCAAAAGAAGACATTTATGCAGCCAAAAAACACATGAAAAAATGCTCACCATCACTGGCTATCAGAGAAATGCAAATCAAAACCACAATGAGATACCATCTCACACCAGTTAGAATGGCAATCATTAAAAAGTCAGGAAACAACAGGTGCTGGAGAGGATGTGGAGAAATAGGAACACTTTTACACTGTTGGTGGGACTGTAAACTAGTTCAACCGTTGTGGAAGTCAGTGTGGCAATTCCTCAGGGATCTAGAACTAGAAATACCATTTGACCCAGCCATCCCATTACTGGGTATATACCCAAAGGACTATAAATCATGCTGCTATAAAGACACATGCACACGTATGTTTATTGCGGCACTATTCACAATAGCAAAGACTTGGAACCAACCCAAATGTCCAACAATGATAGACTGGATTAAGAAAATGTGGCACATATACACCATGGAAGACTATGCAGCCATAAAAAATGATGAGTTCATGTCCTTTGTAGGGACATGGATGAAATTGGAAATCATCATTCTCAGTAAACTATCGCAAGAACAAAAAACCAAACACCGCATATTCTCACTCATAGGTGGGAATTGAACAATGAGAACACATGGACACAGGAAGGGGAACATCACATTCTGGGGACTGTTGTGGGGTGGGGGGAAGTGGGAGGGATAGCTTTAGGAGATATACCTAATGCTAAATGACGAGTTAATGGGTGCAGCACACCAGCATGGCACATGTATACATATGTAACTAACCGGCACATTGTGCACATGTACCCTAAAACTTGAAGTATAATAATAAAATAAAATAACAGAAACAAAGCAGACATAGACAGTATGCAAATTAAAAAAAAAAAAGAAAACATCATGCTAAGTGAAAGAAGCCAGACACAAAAGACCCTATATTGTATGATTCCACTGATATGAAATGTTCAGAATAGGCAAATGCACAGAGACAGAGAGTAGGTAAGTAGTTGCCTGAGGCAGTAGAGGGTTGAGGGATTGGGAGAAGATGGGCATGGCTATTCAGGGGTCTGGGGTTTCTTGTTGAAGTTATGCAAATGTTCTAAAATTGATTGGAGTGATGATTACACAACTCTGTGAATATTCTGACAGCAATATTTCTCTTCCTGGCCCATTTTTTGGGTGGTTTTTCTGGCATTGCTGCACCATGTCTGAAGCTCCTGGCACTTACACTCTTGAAGTCTTCTCTATCAGCTTTCCCGGACCCTCTGCTTTTTTCTTGGAATTGATCAAGATTTGCCAGATCATAGTTTGGCACTGACCTCTGATTGTTGGCTTCTGTAAAGAACCCCAAACTACAGGAATTGGAATGCCTGGTCTGGTCAAAGGAGAGGATCTGGTTGATTCTGGACAAATCACTCCACCTCGCTGAGTATGATTCTTCATCTATAGAGTGGACTGAATGATCTCCAAGTACTTTCAAATATGAAAACTACTCTAGTTTCCTCAAGCTGCCACAAACTGCACGGCTTAAAAAACAGAAGTTTATTGTCTCATAGTTCTGGAAGTTAAAAGTCTGAAATCAAGGTGTCTGCAGGGCCACGCTCCCTCTGAAACCTATAGAGAAAGATCCTTCTTGCCTCTTTTGGCGTCTGGTGTTTGCCAGCAATCCACAGTATTCCTTACCTTGAAGACGCAGGACTCCAGTCTCTGCCTCTGTTGTCACATGGCCATCTTCCCTCTATGTCTCTCTCCTCTTCTTAAGAACAGAAGTCATAGTGGATTAAGGACCCACCCTACTCCTACTATGACCTCATCTTGACTAATCACATCTGCAACAACCTCATTTCCAAATGAGGTCAGCTTCTGAGGTCCTGGGGGTTAAGACTTCAACATGTAATTTTGTGGGGATGCAGTTCAACCCATAACCACAACCGTGGCTTTTCTTCCTTAGAAGTTACTGAGAACTCCATGAAAGTTGAAAATGCCCTTGTGAATGGGAGAGTCATTCACGACTATTGGAAGAAAAAGGCAATTTTCCTGTCGGCTATTAATAAAGCTATTATAGCAATATGGCAAGGTTTCTACTCTGATTATCCTTGAACTTAAAGTCATAATAGTATCCATTATTTCCAGTGAGTACAAGGGAAGGTCACATTACTGTGTTCTCTTCATTGCTGCCCTTAAATGCTTTCAGGGAAAGGGGGAATAGATAAAGCCCCAGGCCTTACTCAGCAATCGGGGCAAGACGTAGCAGTGTTTTGAACCTGAAGGAGACAACCCAGGGCTTCCTGTGCCAATGACTCAGAATGGAAAATGGTCTTTATAAATGTCCCTCCAGTGTGCAAAGGGTAGAGACTAGAATTTAAAATTCATCAGATATTAATAAGAAAAACCAAAGCAAACAAAAAATCTACTTATGATCATAGAACATTGCCATTGGGGAGCTGTTTATTATTTGAGCCTTTTTAAAATTTCTTTTTTTGTGTGTGAGAAACATATTTCTAGGAGTAGAGAGAAAAGGCTCCCCTGTTTTATGTACTCAGTCTTTCCCTCCTTTGAGATTACCCCTAAACTATTTTAGGGATAGCTCCCTGGTTATCTCAGTAATGATGACCCCAGAAGTTCAGAGATAATTAAGAGCCATGTCTGGGTTTGTGAGAGAAGCCCAAATGCAGTTATTCAAACCAGAAACCAGAGCCTCGTTGTTGACTCTTCCCTCTCACCGTGAGATCCAACCACTCATCAAGGACTCTCCATTTGACCTCCTAAATTCTTCTCCCATCCATCCCCCATCTTTGTGTCCATCATCAACACCCCTTGTCCAAGATACCTGCATTGCTCACTAGCTTCCTGGTATCCACTGTGTTCCCTCCAATTCAGTTCCAGAAGCTAGAGTGATTCTTATCAAAAGTGTGGCTTCTTCTGAATTAGGCTGACAATCTCAACTCCTGGAGAAGACCCACAATCCCTTTGTGACCTTCCATTTGTGCACCCCTCCAGCCTCCACTCTAAGCACCCCCACCAGTTGTCTTCGGTTTGTGCTAAGAACACACCAAACTCCCATCTCAGCACCTACACACATACGACTGCCCCAAGGCACGTCTGACTCCAGACTTCACTTAGCTAATTCCTGCTTACCCTACAGGGAGAGGTTAAATGCCACTGAGAGCAGCTTTATTCTAACCTCCAAATCCCACTCAGACGTCCCCCTTATACTATCTTCTCAGCATTTACCACAAGTTTTGTTGGATAAATGATAGAGAAATGAATAGTGTGGCTACAACACGTGTCTTCCATTAGACTGTAGGCCCCAAAGATCAGGGAAGGTGACTTTTAGTCCATCACTCTGTCCCCAGTATTCATCACCACGCCTGATACACAACAAAGACTTTCAATAAATACTTTTCAAGTGAATGAATGAATGAGCAAAGGTTCAGGTTGGCTTCTCTAGCTACACCCTAGGACAGATACAGTAAGGTCAGGCCACATTGTCAAATGTCCCACTGTAGCAGTCATGCATAAGGGTAGGCCTTCTGCACCTTCCATGTTCCCATTGCCCACTCATGGTGGCAAGCATGCTGATTGTCTCTTGAGTACTACACAGCACCAACAATCTCAGGTACCATGATGCTGATTCCATGAGGCTCTGAGCCTGGGCAAGAATCATTTACATTCTTATTGAGTGTTGGGCTATGGTTCAGAGCAAGCACAGCATAAGCCAAGAAGAAGGCAAAGGATGTTATCATGAAATGGAAGAAGTGTGTAAATTGAGTGCAACTATGTAGAAATCATGCGATGGTCCATAAACAAATATGGGCATAAGAGCAAGTCTGAATTCAGGCTCATGGAAGGCTGGTGTGGCTCTGCCAGCATGTGCTAGTTCACTAGTTCTATGCCACCATTCAAAGCAGAATTTCCCCAAGTCAATTCCATACGTAAGTACTCCATTAAAAACGCTCCTGAGTTCAAACAGGTTTGGAAACATCTTAGTTACTATAGTATTTCTCATATGCCTTGTGATCTCCAAAAGAGAACTATACTACACTGTGTCCCAAACTTACTTGATCACGATTCCTTTTTTTCTTTTTTTGCAGGGCATCTCCTAGAGCTAATGTTCTCTCTCTCTCTTTGGAAATGCAGATTTGAAGGCCTGAGATTTACCCAGCCTAATGAACCCCTGAAAATGTTCCCAGGTATATGATGATAGTCACCATATTGACATGAATTGTTCTGTTTTAAAAACAGAAAAAAAAACCACAATAATCTAGGCCATGTCCCTTGAGGCCTTTATATCAAGATGATTAGCTCCTTGAACTGGTCCTATTAGGTCTCTAGAGGAGAGATTATTGCTTCTGAAGAGAGATGTGACAACAAGGCAGAATATGATTCAGAAGCGGTAAATAATAAAACTAAAAATGATAGCTTCTCCTTTGGTACAGGGTGGAGAGGTTAATATTCATTTCTAAAGCATCATTAGCCATATAAAGTATAATTTCAGCACTTGACATAAACTGAAAACACACATAATCCTCCCATTGAGTGGGCTAACCTTGGCTGTGGCTGGATGAGCTCTCTAGGGACTTATTAGGGAATATGGTACTTTCAAAGATGTTAAATCCAGTGGAAGTGACTGAAGCAATTAGTCTCTGATCTTGAGAGAATTTCCACCTTTGAATCAGCAAACCCTATCCAACCGAAGTTGAGTACTCTAGAGATGATATTGTTTATACTGGAAACCAATATGAAATATGTGAATGTATGTATAATGTACATATATAGACACATGTAGAGGAGTATTTATATATAGATAGAGATGTTCATTATTGACTGCTTAGTAGATATAAAGAAGAGAATAAAATTTAAAAATAAGGAAATAAGGAAAATGAGAGCATGATGTAGTAATTTTTCTATTTCTATTTAAATGTTCTTTCCTAACATCCAGTTTGTTGTGGAGTCACCAAAAAGCATCACCTCATCAAAACACACACACACACACACACACACACCAACAAAAGACATAACCTACCAGCCAAAAAAAAGCCCAGGACCAGACGGATTTACAGCTGATTTCTATCAGAGGTGCAAAGAAGAAAAGAGCTGGGACTCTTTCTACTGAAACTATTCCAAAAAATTGAAAAGGAGGGACTCCTCCCTAACTCATTCTATGAGGCCAGCATCATCCTGATACCAAAACCTGGCAGAGACACAACAAAAAAAGAAAACTTCAGGCCAATATCCTTGATGAACATTGATGCAAAAATCCTCAACAGGCTGGGTGTGGTGGCTCATGCCTGTGATCCCAGCACTTTGGGAGGCCAAGGTGGGCAGATCACTTGAGAGCAGCAGTTTGGGACCAGCATGGCAAAACCCCCTCTCTACTAAAAATACAGAAATTAGCCGGGTGTGGTGGCTTGTAATCTCAGCTACTTGGGTGGCTGAGGCATGAGAATCACTTGAACCCAGGAGACGGAGCCTGCAGTGAGCCATGATTATACCACTGCGCTCCAGCCCAGGGGACAGAGCAAGACTTTGTCTCAATAAAAAAAGTCCTCAACAAAATACTGGCAAACTGAATCCAGCAGTACATCAAAAAGCTAATCAACCACAATCAAGTAGGCCTCATCCATGGGATGCAAGGTTGGTTCAACATACTCAAATCAATAGATGTAATTAATCACATAAACAGATCTAAAGACAAAAACCACATGATTGTCTCAATACGTGCAGAAAAAGCCTTTGATAAAATTCAACATTCCTTCATGTTAAAAACTCTCAATAAACTAGGTATTGAAGGAACATACCTCAAAATAATAAGAGCCATGTATGACAAACCCATAGCCAATACCATATTGAATGGGAAAAATCTGGAAGTATTCCCCTTGAAAACAAGAAAGACAAAATCTGCATCATTCCCTGAGGGGCATTTCTTTTCCTGGCTCAGCACATAGGCTAAAAAGAGGCCAAGAGTGAGCAGATCTGTGAGCTGTGGTTCAACGTCTGGTGGTGGGGAAGAGAAAAGAAGAAAGAATTGGGAAGGAGAGAGAAGAAACAAGGCCTTGTGAGTGGGGAAAGATGCAGGTAGGAGTCAGTCAAGTATTTATCTTGAGGTGTCTATCTCACATCAGTTTCTCTTTGAGGCAGTGGTTTTCAAATTCGGCCTATATCACCTAAAGGGCTTGTTAAAACACAGTCTGGGGCATGCCTGACAAGTGTGCAGCTCCAGTGAGTTACCAGGTGCTGCTGATGCTGCTGATTGGGGAACACACTTTGAGAACCACTGGTCTAAGCATCCCCCAAGTGCACAACTCAAAATCAACAATTTCTACCTCCACCTTAGACAGCACTTTGCTCCTGTATCATGGCACTTCTTTGTTTTATCTTGGTCAGAGTTAGTAGCTTGATCTCCCTCCTCTGTAAATTCTGTAGGGGACTGAAGATTGTAAATTCCTGGAAGGCAGAGGCCACAGTTTACTCATGCCTGTATCCTCCAGAGCACAAAGTACGGTACGTATTAGTTAGCAGTTGTTTAATCAATGTTTGTGGAATAAAATTCTAGAAAGTGATCTGATAAATATGTGTATTATGTAACTGATGCATACATTAACCTTTCCAGAGATTTACATGGTTTGTTTACTGATGGCAATATCTTAAAACCAAACAAATGCATTTCTAATGATGTTCATTTAAGCAATGCACCAGATCTGTTGAGGGGATATAGTTTTGGCAAAGACGTGCTGACTGGTTCTTAAACCACAACGGCTGGATTTTTCTGGCTTTCCTGCTCCTCTGACTTATCAGGAGAGCTTTGCGTACCTCCCGAGCCTCCAACAGCCAGAAGTTTCAAGTTAGCCACTAATCTGAACACACGATTATCATGTTCTGATCACAAAATATGAAACATTACAAAAGGAAGGCTCATTTAATTTTCACATGTACACAGTCCAAAGATAAGGTGTGGCTCCTTATTCGCATTACTCTGCGAACCCAAATGCACATAGGGAGCCACACCAGATGGGAGTGGCTCCCTATCTGCATTACTCTGTGAACCCAAAATATCTGAGACAAGCCTCAGTCAATTTAGAAAGTTTATTTTGCCAAGGTTAAGGATACACCTATGACACAGCCTCAAGAGGGCCTGACAACATGTGCCCAAGGTGGTTTGGGTGCAGCTTAGTTCTATACATTTTAGGGAGATATGAGACATCAGTATGTGTAAGATGTACATTGGTTCGGTCCAGAAAGGCTGGACAACTCGAAGCAGGGGAGGGGACTTTCAGGTCATAGGTAGATAAGATACAAAAGGTTGCATTATTTTGGGTCTCTGATCAGCCTTTCACTGAATATACAATTCACATGGAAGAGGAGTTCGAGATCAGCCTGGCGAACATGGCAAAACTCCATCTCTACTGAAATACCAAAAATTAGCTGGGTGTAGTGGCAGGTGCCTGTAATCCCAGCTACTCTGGAGGCTGAGGCAGGAGAATTGCTTCAACCTGGGAGGCAGAGGGTGCAGTGAGCTGGGATCGTGCCACTACACTCCAGCCTAGGCGACAGAGCAAGACTCCATCTCAAAAAAAAAAAAAAAATTGTAATCATTTTGACTGTAAAATATAATTTCCATAAACCCTTTTATAACCTTTTATTAAGGAGTGGGTTAACATTCCAAGAAAACTTGTTAATCTGACACAGGGGCCCATATGCTGGTCTTGCATCAGTGTACCTTCAATATTAATGGTTAATTTATAGAGAAACTGAACTAATTTTATCTCTCAAAATTGGCCTTTACAATCTCTTACACCATCCTCTTCCATGGTAGTCCCTGGGCCTTGAGGAGTTGAATAGTTTTAATTTCTGGATTGGTGCCTCACAAACACAGCTTATTTTGATTGGCATCTTCTACCAGGTCTGAAGATGAGGCTTTAACTGGTGTCAGTGTTTAAGATTTAGCAGGACTTGGTGTCTTTTTTAGACCCAGGAGTCAAAGCCTTGAAACTTAATGGCACAAAGACTTTAAGAGCAAAATACAGAAAGTTACATGGATGTGATAATCTTAATTTAAAACAATTTTTAAAGTCTCAGTTTTTTTCTAAGCAAATCAAAAGTTAGTAACAATGACATAGGAATTATTTTGATAAAATGTAAAATTTGTTTGTTAGACCAGTCACCAAAAGGCAAAAGAAAAGACCTTCTGCAGTGCAATTGCTGTTCCTATGGGTGTCCATTTAGATAACCTGCAAGTCAAACTAATGAAAAGGGTACATCAATTAATCAGACATAGGAAGAGTGTTTCTTGGGTAATAAGTGAAAATTTTTGGATTCATAGAACAATTTAAAGCCAAGAGCACAGAATGTTATGTTGGAATAAAATATTTCCTTTAGACATTTATAAAACATTTTTAGCATCAGACTTCAACAAACAGTTAGAACCTAAGGGAAAAAAAATCTTACAGGAACTGAAAATGAGTTGAAGGATAGAGTTATTATTTCAGGCCTTTTAAAAAGGGAGAGAAAGCTGAAAATAGCAAGACACAAAAAAGTTGAACTTTGGGTTCAAAAAAATTAAAATCTCTGGTAATTTTATTAAGAATAAACCAATACCTTAAGAAAATTCCAGGCCAGGCGTGGTGGCTCACACCTGTAATCCTAGCACTTTGGGAGGCTGAGGTGGGTGGATCACCTGAGGTCAGGATTTCGAGACTAGCCTGGCCAATATGGTGAAACCCTGTCTCTACTAAAAATGCAAAATTAACCAGGCATGGTGGCATATGCCTCTAATCCCAACTACTTGGGAGACTGAGGCAGGAGAATCATTTGAACCTGGGAGGCGGAGGTTGCAGTAAGCCACTGCACTCCAGCCTGGGCAACAAGAGCAAAACTCCGTCTCAAAAAAAAAAAAAAAGAAAATTCCATTGTTCTACCCAATTCTTTAGTGTATAAGTGCTCTTTAAATATTAAAGCCCAATCTCTAGAAAGACCATCATAAATAATTTCCCTTTAATTTTAGGCAACTTGATCATAAAGACCCTTTTTTTCCATAAATTCTCTTTTTACAAACCTTATTACAGCTTACACAGGCCATTCATGATATTCATGACATGCTTGGACTTTGTGGATTGTCCTGAACATATCTCTTTCTTAAACAACCAGTCATTTTATTCTAGGACAAAAATTTACCATACAATATTTTTTCTCATATAAAATTATTTTGTTTTTAACCTTTCTTGCCAAAAATACCTCTTTACATTTATAACTTTTTTTACATTGCTTTTATTTACTGGTTACCATTACTTTGTTTTATAAATAACTTTTAAATAAACTTTGAATTAGACAAAAATTATTTTCTTTTAAATAAGAACACATTTCTTTTTTTTAGAAAAAATGTTTTCTTATCACTTAAAAAAATTGGAAATGACCCAGACATTCAATGAATATCTATTATTTAACTTTAGATTTTAAATTTTATAAGTTTATTTATAAGCATTTATCTCATTACATTTACCTAATTAATTTTTAACATAGTTTAACCAGATTACTTATAAAAACTGTGATAGTTATCATTTAAAGTTATTTCCCTGTTAACCATTTTATAACCTGTGAATTTCAGGTTTTCCTAAGTGAGAACCTTAAGGTTAGATAAATAGTTTTTTTGGTGTGTTTTTTTTTTTTTGCCAATAACTCAGGATTTAGCTGTTTTCATTAATTGAACAATATTAAATGATTTATCAAAGTTTACATAAAGATAATTTTCCTTTGGGCTGCATTCATAGCTTTACAACCCTCATGCCAAATTTTAACATGTAGCAGCGATAAAATATAAAACCACTTTACCAATAAATCTAAACAATAATGTATGTTGACAATTCTGAAGCCATTTCTAATTCTGTTTCATGAATACTTTCAAAACCAGCTTATTTACTAAAAATTTACTTGAGTCATATGAACTTGAAAAAGCATTTGGCTTAAAGTATTTTTTTCTGATAATTTGATTTTGGCTGGGTGCAGTGGCTCACATCTGTAATCCCAGCACTTTGGGAGGCCAAGGTAGGCAGATCACTTGAGGTCAGGAGTTCGAGACCAGCCTGGCCAACATGGTGAAACCCCGTCTCTACCAAGAATACAAAAATTAGCCGTGGTGGCACACGCCTGTACTGCCAGCTACTTGGGAGGCTGAGGCACAAGAATCACTTGAACCTAGGAGGTAGAGGTTGTAGTCAGCTGAGATTATGCCACTGCACTCCAGCCTGGGCAACAGAGCAAGACTCTGTCTCAAAGAAAAGAAAATTTGATTTAAGCGCTTTTTTTTCCTTTAAGCCAATTAATTAGAGCTTGTTGGTGTATTTTTAGTAGTGAAACATTATATACATGACACATAAATACATAGATATATTAGACATGCAGATAGACCTTATAGATTCATAAGACCTCTTCTTTTTCCTCCTATTTTAGACTTCCAATTTCTTGATGACCCATTTTATTACCCTAGGTAGCTGTCAGCTAGATAGCCCCAAATTTGCATATCAAAGGAATAGCTCTCAGGTGAAAAATCAGATATTGAAATTTATATCTCAAGGTAGAGAGAGAGAGTCTGGTGGTGCTAGGAGATTAAAAACAAATGCCAAATCAAACATAAATTTATAGAAATCTATCAGGATTGTATAAGGAAATAAATTTTATTTAGATAGGTAGTTCTATTAAATACATTTAGTCTCTATCTTTTAACTGGATCTCTGAGCTCTGAGCAGAGCACCCATTGAATCCTGGGTCTCCAAAAAGCGAGAATTATTATGGGACTAGAACACATGATGCTTTTACAGTATACTTTTTTTTAAAAAAAAAGATATTTCTTTAAGTGTCTAAACTATACTCTTCCTTACTTTAAACACCCAAGAGAAACCTCTGTTATAATAACTATTTTAGTTAAAGAAAAAAAGAAAGAAAGAAATCAGGTAACACAATAAAAAAACAAGCAGTTTAAGATCTGAGATGAACTTGTCTCTTTACGCTCTTTGTGTTCCATAAGGAAAAACAGAGGTTTCTCCCCAAAAGGGAGTCTGGCACTGTCTGTTTTCTTTAAGGAATCCCATGCTATTAGAAACTGTATTGGTTCCCTCATGCAGCAGAGGGTGGCAAAAGAAAGTAGAGACAGCAGAAGTAAATGGCGAAAACAGAATTCAGTCTACTGAGAAGAGAAAAAAAACTTTTTCTCAAAAAAAAAACAAGGTCCTAGGAGAGAAAAAAAAACCATAACAACCTTTTTAAATACACACACACACACACACACACACACACACACACACACACATCATCATCATCATCATCATCTTGGATATTAGCTTTTAATTAAACTGACTTTTAACCATTGAGCTCCATTTAAAAAAAAACCTTTTTAATCTCATTACCATATTTTAACTAGGATAAATTGCTGATATTTCAAAAGTAACACAAATATCAAACCAGAAAGGGCTTTAGAAACCAAACCCAGACTGTCTTGATGAAAAAAAAGTGGGGGCAGAAGCTTAGCTATGGAACTGCTGCATGGGGCGACAGCCATTACTCTTTCAGTTTGGCTTGGCTAACAAAAACTGGCCTTATTATGTAAATAAAGCCCTCAGGGTAGTCAAAATCAAGAACCTTTCTCTTTTATCCCCTTTTGCTGGACTGTTTTTCCTTCTCCCTGCTTTTTTTTTTTTTTTTTCCAGCTGTGGAATTTAGCCAATTCAGAGGTCTTGTTCCCCGTAATGTGGAACTTTCCTTCAGATTTGATCAAGTTGGATAGAGTTGGTCAAACCCAATTGTCAGGCCTCTGAGCTCAAGCTAAGCCATCATATCCCCTGTGATCTGCACGTACACATCCAGATGGCTGGTTCCTGCCTTAACTGATGACATTCCACCACAAAAGAAGTGAAAATGGCCTGTTCGTGCCTTAACTGATGACATTGTCTTGTGAAATTCCTTCTCCTGGCTCATCCTGGCTCAAAAGCTCCCCCACTGAGTACCTTGTGACCCCCCACTCCTGCCCGCCAGAGAACAATTCCCTTTGACTGTAATTTTCCTTTATCTACCCAAATCCTATAAAACGGCCCCACCCTTATCTCCCTTCGCTGACTCTCTTTTTGGACTCAGCCCACCTGCACCCAGGTGAAATAAACAGCCTTGTTGCTCACACAAAGCCTGTTTGGTGGTCTCTTCACAGGGACACGCATGAAATTTGGTGCCGTGACTTGGATCGGGGGACCTCCCTTGGGAGATCAATCCCCTGTCCTCCTGCTCTCTGCTCTGTGAGAAAGATGCACCTACGACCTCAGGTCCTCAGACCGACCAGCCCAAGAAACATCTCACTAATTTCAAATCTGGTAAGCGGCCTCTTTTTACTCTCTTCTCCAACCTCCCTCACTATCCCTCAACCTCTTTCTCCTTTCAATCTTGGCGCCACACTTCAATCTCTCCCTTCTCTTAATTTCAATTCCTTTCATTTTCTGGTAGAGACAAAGGAGACATGCTTTATCCATGGACCCAAAACTCTGGTGCCGGTCACGGACTGGGAAGGCAGCCTTCCCTTGGTGTTTAATCATTGCAGGGATGCCTCTCTGATTATTCACCCACGTTTCAGCGGTGTCAGACCACCCAGGGATGCCTGCCTTGGTCATTCATGCTTAGCGGCAAGTTCCGCTTTTCTGTGGGAGGGGCAAGTACCCCAACCCCTTCTCTCCGTGTCTCTACCCCTTCTCCACTTTTCTGGGGGAGGGGCCAGAACCCCTCAACCCCTTCTCCTTCACCCTTAGTGGCAAGTCCCGCTTTTCTAGGGGGCAAGAATCCCCAATCCCTTATTTCCGTGCCCCGACCTCTCATCTCTGCACCTCAACCCCTTATTTCCGTGCCCCGACCCCTTTCCCGCTTTTCTGGAGGTTAAGAACCCTCGAACCCCTTCCCTCCATGTCTCTACTCTCTCTTTTCTCTGGGCTTGCCTCCTTCACTATAGGCAACCTTCCACCCTCCATTCCTCCGTCTCCCTTAGCCTGTGCTCTCAAGAACTTAAAACCTCTTCAACTCACACCTGACCTAAAACCTAAATGCCTTATTTTCTTCTGCAATGCCGCTTGACCCCAATACAAACTTGACAGTGGTTCCAAATAGCCAGAAAATGGCACTTTCAATTTTTCCATTCTACAAGATCTAAATAATTCTTGTCATAAAATGGGCAAATGGTCTGAGGTGCCTGACTTCCAAGCATTGTTTTACACATTGGTCTCTCCCTAGTCTCTGTGCCCAGTGCAACTTGTCCCAAATCTTCCTTCTTTCCCTCCCGCCTGTCCCCTCAGTCCCAACCCCAAGTGTTGCTGAGTCTTTCTAATCTTCCTTTTCTACAGACCCATCTGACCTCTCCCCTCCTCCCCAGGCTGCTCCTTGCCAGGCCGAGCTAGGTCCCAATTCTTCCTCAGCCTCCGCTCCTCCACCCTATAATCTTTTTATCACCTCCCCTCCTCACACCCGGTCTGGTTTACAGTTTCATTCCGTGAGTGGCCCTCCCCGACCTGCCCAGCAATTTCCTCTTAAAAAGGTGGCTGAAGCTAAAGGCATAGTCAAGGTTAATGCTCCTTTTTCTTTATCAGATGTCTCCCAAATCAGTGAGCATTTAGGCTCTTTCATCAAATATGAAAAACCCAGCCCAGTTCATGGCTCGTTCGGCAACAACCCTGAGACGCTTTACAGCCCTAGACCCTAAAAGGTCAAAAGGCCGTCTTATTCTCAATATACATGTTATTACCCAATCCGCTCCTGACATTAAATAAAACTCCAAAAATTAAATTCCGGCCCTCAAACCCCACAACAGGACTTAATTAACCTCGCCTTCAAGGTGTACAATAATAGAGACAGCCAAGTAGCAACATATTTCTGAGTTGCAATTCCTTGCCTCCACTGTGAGACAAACCCCAGCCACATCTCCAGCACACAAGAACTTCCAAACGACTAAACCGCAGTAGCCAGGCATTCCTCCAGAACCGCCTCCCCCAGGAGCTTGCTACAAGTGCCAGAAATCTGGCCACCAGGCCAAGGAATGCCCGCAACCCAGGATTCCTCCTAAGCCGTGTCCCATCTGTGCGGGACCCCACTGGAAATTGGATGGAAATCGGACTGTTCAACTCACCTGGCAGCCACTCCCAGAGACCCTGGAACTCTGGCCCAAGGCTCTCTGACTGACTCCTTCCCAGATCTTCTCGGCTTAGCGGCTGAAGACTGACGCTGCCTGATTGCCTCAGAAGCCCTGTAGACCATCACAGATGCCAAGCTTTAGGTAACTCTCACAGTGGAGGGTAAGTCCGTCCCCTTCTTAATCAATACGGAGGCTACCCACTCCACATTACCTTATTTTCAAGGGCCTGTTTCCCTTGCCTCCATAACTGTTGTGGGTATTGACGGCCAGGCTTCTAAACCTCTTAAAACTCCCCAACTCTGGTGCCAACTTAGACAATACTCTTTTAAGCACTCCTTTTTAGTTATCCCCACCTGCCCAGTTCCCTTATTAGGCCGAGACACTTTAACTAAATTATCTGCTTCCCTGACTATTCCTGGGCTACAGCCACACCTCATTGCCACCTTTTCCCCTAGCTCAAAGCCTCCTTCACATCCTCCCCTTGTATCTCCCCACCTTAACCCACAAGTATAAGACACCTCTACTCCCTCCTTAGCGACCGATCATGCACCCCTTACCATCCCATTAAAACCTCATCACTCTTACCCCGCTCAATGCCAATATCCCATCCCACAGCATGCTTTGAAAGGACTAAAGCCTGTTATCACTCGCCTGCTACAGCATGGCCTTTTAAAGCCTATAAACGCTCCTTACCATTCCCCCATTTTACCTGTCCTAAAACCAGACAAGGCTTACAGGTTAGTTCAGAATCTGCGCCTTATCAACCAAATTGTTTTGCCTATCCACCCCGTGGTGCCAAACCTATATACTCTCCTCAATGCCTCCCTCTACAACCCATTATTCTGTTCTGGATCTCAAACGTGCTTTCTTTACTATTCCTTTGTACCCTTCATCCCAGCCTCTCTTCGCTTTCGCTTAGACTGACCCTGACACCCATTAGGCTCAGGAAATTACCTGGGCTGTACTGCCGCAAGGCTTCACAGGCAGCCCCCATTACTTCAGTCAAGCCCAAATTTCATCCTCGTCTGTTACCTATCTTGGCATAATTTTCATAAAAACACACGTGCTCTCCCTGCTGATCGTGTCCGATTAATCTCCCAAACCTCAATCCCTTACAAAACAACAACTCCTTTCCTTCCTAGGCATGGTTAGTGTGGTCAGAATTCTTACACAAGAGCCAGGACCGCACCCTGTAGCCTTTCTGTCCAGACAACTTGACCTTACTGTTTTAGCCTAGCCCTCATGTCTGTGGGCAGCGGCTGCCGCTGCTTTAATACTTTTAGAGGTCCTAAAAATCAAACTATGCTCAACTCACTCTCTACATTTCTCATAACTTCCAAAATCTATTTTCTTCCTCATACCTGATGCATATACTTTCTGCTCCCCGGCTCCTTCAGCTGTACTCACTCTTTGTTAAGTCCCACAATTACCATTGTTCCTGGCCCAGACTTCAATCCGGCCTCCCACATTATTCCTGATACCACACCTGACCCCCATGACTGTATCTCTCTGATCCACCTGACATTCACCCCATTTCCCCATATTTCCTTCTTTCCTGTTCCTCCCCCGATCACGCTTGATTTATTGATGGCAGTTCCACCAGGCCTAATCGCCACACACCAGCAAAGGCAGGCTATGCTATAGTACAAGCCACTAGCCTGCCTCTTAGAATCTCTCCTCATTTTCTTTCCATTGTGGAAATCTATCATCAAGGAAATAACTTCTCAGTGTTCCGTCTGCTATTCTACTACTCCTCAGGGATTATTCAGGCCCCCTCCCTTCCCTACACATTAAGCTCGAGGATTTGCCCCCACCCAGGACTGGCAAATTAGCTTTACTCAACATGCCCCGAGTCAGATAACTAAAATACCTCTTAGTCTAGGTAGACACTTTCACTGGATAGGTACAGGCCTTTCCTACAGGGTCTGAGAAGGCCACCGCAGTCATTTCTTCCCTTCTGTCAGACATAATTCCTCAGTTTAGCCTTCCCACCTCTATACAGTCTGATAACAGACCAGCCTTTATTAGTCAAATCAGCCAAGCAGTTTTTCAGGCTCTTAGTATTCAAGGAAACCTTTATGTCCCTTACGGTCCTCCGTCTTCAGGAAAAGTAGAACGGACTAAAGGTCTTTTAAAAACACACCTCACCAAGCTCAGCCACCAGCTTAAAAAGGACTGGACAATACTTTTACCACTTTTCCTTCTCAGAAGTCAGACCTGTGCTCAGAATGCTACAGGGTACAGCCCATTTGAGCTCCTGTATAGACGCTCCTTTTTATTAGGCCCCAGTCTCATTCCAGACACCAGACCAACTTAGACTGTGCCCCAAAAAACTTGTCATCCCTACTATCTTCTGTCTAGTCATACTCCTATTCACCGTTCTCAACTACTCATACATGCCCTGCTCTTGTTTACACTGCCGGTTTACACTGTTTCTCCAAGACATCACAGCTGATATCTCCTGGTGCTATCCCCAAACTGCCACTCTAAACTCTTGAAGTAAATAAATAATCTTTACTGGCAAGGCTATGCTGAACCTCCTTAGGCACTCTCTAATTAGATGTCCTAGGTCCTCCCAATTCTTAGTCCTTTAATACCTGTTTTCTCCTTCTCTTATTCCGTTTAGTTTTTCAATTCATACAAAACTGTATCCAGGCCATCACCAATAATTCTAAATGACAAATGTTTCTTCTAACAACCCCACAATATCACCCCTTACCACAAAAACTTCCTTCAGCTTAATCTCTCCCACTCTAGGTTCCCACGCCGCCCCTAATCCCGCTCGAAGCAGCCCTGAGAAACATCGTCCATTATCTCTCCACACCACCCCCCAAAATTTTCACCGTCCCAACACTTTACCACTATTTCGTTTTATTTTTCTTATTAATATAAGAAGACAGGAATGTCAGGCCTCTGAGCTCAAGCTAAGCCATCATATCCCCTGTGACCTGCACGTACACATCCAGATGGCCGGTTCCTGCCTTAACTGATGACATTCCACCACGAAAGAAGTGAAAATGACCTGTTCGTGCCTTAACTGATGACATTGTCTTGTGAAATTCCTTCTCCTGGCTCATCCTGGCTCAAAAGCTCCCCCACTGAGTACATTGTGACCCCCACTCCTGCCCGCCAGAGAACAGCCCCCTTTGACTGTAATTTTCCTTTATCTACCCAAATCCTATAAAACAGCCCCACCTTTATCTCCCTTGGCTGACTCTCTTTTCGGACTCAGCCCGCCTGCACCCAGGTGAAATAAACAGCCTTGTTGCTAACACAAAGCCTGTTTGGTGGTCTCTTCACACGGATGTGCATGAAACCAATGAAAAAAAGACCAAAACAACAACCAAAACAGAAACAAAGAACAACAAAAAACAGCTAAGCAAAGCAAACAATGCCACAATTTATAGGTTGGTGCAAAAGTAATTGTGCTTTTTGCCATTAAAAAGAATGCAAAACCGCAATTACTTTTGCACCAACCTAATATATGATTACCAAGCGCTCTAATGGTAAGGATAAATTAAAACCAGCTGATTGTTAATTTTAACTTTAGCCAAGACAAAAGCCCAATTCAGCTACTTACCTAGGAATGGGGCTCAGGCTGAACACTGCTCTCTACCATCTTTGAAGCAGGAAAAAACTCAAACTCGCCTTCCCTGTTGGAAGTGAGCTGAAATTCCAGAAAGGAGTTACCTGCACTCTTCATCATGGAAGCAGGAAAACTTGCCTTCCTTTTTGGGAGCAAGTGAAACTCCAGAAAAGGAGTTATACAGCAAAATAAACTTTAGATCTCAACCAAATTTGGAGAGATCAGGGATTCTCTTGGTCGGGGGTGGGGGTGTCTCCCAGGCCTCAGCCAATTGTCCTACTGGCTTGAGCCATAAAGATAGCTCAAGCTGGTACCAAGCACCAACAGTAGATTTGTCAAAGGTCAGGGGTACCTCCACTCAGAATCCCTTCATGGTTACCAATTTGTGAATCCAAAATATCTGAGACAGGCCTCAGTCAATTTAGAAAGTTTATTTTGCCAAGGTTAAGGATGCACCCATGACACAGCCTCAAGAGGTCCTGGCTACATGGGCCCAAGGTGGTCGGAGCACAGCTTGGTTCTACACATTTTAGGGAGACGTGAGACATCAATCAACATGTGTAAGATGTACATTGGTTCCGTCCAGACAGGCAGGACAACTCGAATCAGGGGAGGGGGCTTCCAGATCACAGGTAGATAAGAGACATTTGTTGCATTCTATTGGGTCTCTGATTAGCCTTTCACTGAATATACAATTCACATGGGAGAGGAGGGTGGAGGAATAGTCACTTATGCCTGGTCTGCCTTGGTGAAACGACAGGGCAGAGGAAGCAATCAGATATGCATTTGTCTCACATGAGCCTCAGAGGGATGACTTTGAGCTCTGTCTGTCCTTTGTCCACGAGGAATTTCCTTGTGGGCAAATTGTGAGGGAGGTATGTCTTTTTTTTTTTTTTATCTTTGTAGCTGTCTTATTTAGGAATAAAATGGGAGGCAGGTTTGCTTGACGCAGTTCCCAGCTTGACTTCCCTTTAGCTTAGTGATTTTGGGGTCCCAAGATTTATTTTCCTTTCACAACTCCCATCTGATATATTTAAGGGGGAATTCTTTTGTGCCTACAGCATTGTTAGTGGAATGTGGAGCGACAGCAAGGGATGGGCCTAGCTGGAATTTACCACCAGGGGGCTTGGACTCTTTCTCATGCGTCAACACCAATCACTGCCAATAGGGGGCAGCAACAATTTGCCTACAGCCTTTAGGCTTTGGTTTTAGACTCAAGGAGCTCAGGGTGTGGAATCTCCATTGTTTTTCCTCTGAAACTTGGCTTCTTATCTGCCTGCGGACTCAAATCCTCCTCCTGCCAATACTACAACAGCCACAGAACAAATGCATTGAAACTGAGAGAACTGGTAAGAGGCTAGATCTAGTGTAAATCAGAGAATGGGCCTCATAAAAGGAGCAGTTTGGAGGAACCTAATCCTTCACAGTTTGTCTAGCAATTTCTAGGTTCAATCAATTGAGGGCTTAACTGGTAAACTCAAGTGGAAATTTTTTATTGGCTCCTGGTGATGTCACTCCTGGTGAGTGTGGGAGAACTGGTTTTCTAGGTGTGGGGATTCTTTATTCTCTGAAACACCCACTAGGAAACGCCCTGAGGCCTTTTCACCTTCTGTGGTGTCAGGACCTCTCATGTAACTGGATACAGTGCTTTTCCCAAACAGACTATACACAACAGAAACTCAAAAAATAGAAACGCTAAGTGGGAATAAGGGAAATAAACTACAAGAGTAGTGGTTCTCGACCTTGGCTGCACATGGGAATCACCTGGGAGCTTCAATCCGCAAGGACCAATGCCAGGGACCCCCCTACCCCCTGCCCCCGAGATTTGGATTAACTGGTCTGCATGCAACCAGGGCAGCTGGCGTTTTGAAAGGTCCCCAGGTGGTTCCCATGTACAGCCAAACTGAGAACCATTGTCAGATGTGCAGTCTTTGCTCCTGGGTCAATTAATTCCTCACGCCCACTAACTACTTTAGATGTCTTATGCTTTGAGCACATTTAAAATAAAACCCAAAACTTAATAAAACAAAGTTAGTACACAGAGAAATAGGAACCTGATTAAAATAGAACATGAAGTCAAGTCAGTTTGGTTTTGTTTTAAATCTCCAATTGCCACCATTAATTCTGCTCCCAAAGGTCAATAATGCTAGCCTGCTATTTGCTTTGTTCACTTCTGAATGAAGCACTTGTGTTTGCTGACCTTCAAACACTTCCAGGTTGTCTAAGAGGAAGCCATGTGGCACTTTGACTTTTGTGTGACCTGGCAATTTGTTTACATCAAATCCCTTTTAACCCTCTGCAGTTGACAGTGGAGAATTCAGTATTTTCATATGCTGCCTAACCTCTAGGGTGGAAGGCTTTAAACTTGATTTAGGTCAAGTTGGCAGTGACCCAGGTGAGCCCCCAGGAAACTGCACTTCCACAGCCAAAACGTGGCCATCCACCAACTTAGGCATGACAGTTACAGTTTTGAACCTGCTATTAAGTCCCACAATTCTCTTGGTTAGTTAGAGTAATCAAACCTGTCAAGGGTAGGCAGAACTGGAGGAGTGAAGAATGGTTTTGAGGGTACAGTGGAAAAATCAACTTTGGAGTATGACAAGCCAGCCTCAACACTCAGTCACTCTTACCAGCTGTGAGATCTTAGGTGGGTTTATCACTGGCTGTGAGCTTGACTTGCCTATCTATACTATAAAGGAATAAAAGCCCCTTCAGGTGGTTTTTCTTAAATAAATGGAATAGACCTGTCATGTGCTGGTAAATGTTTAACAACTGGTTCTCAAGGTGGTGGGGGCAGCCCTGATTTGGAGTATTTCCATGGTGTAAATACTGTCACCATGGCAGATCTCAAGACACCAGTGTGACAGCTCTGAATGTGGAATTGGGAAGAGGTATGCGCCATCTGGGATAAACCATCTCCTAGTACCTACCTAGAATGCAGCAGACACTCAGGATGTTATCCCCTGCCCTTCCCCCTCATAGGAACATCTATGCTGACAGAGACCTTTGCCATTATTAAAGCATTTTTACAAACACTATCTCATTACATTCTCAGGTGAGATGGGCAGGGCGGGTCTTATTTCTACTTTTTACAGACAAGAAGCCTCAGGCTCAGAGAGACTGGACAAAATTGCTCAGGGGCACACAGCAAGTAATCTACAAAATGAGCATAGCAGGCAGAGTAGCAGCCCCAAAACATGTCTGCATCCTAATCCCTGGAACCTATGAATATTTGGTTACATGGCAAAAGGGAATTTTGACTGCAGACGGATTTAATATTGCTAGTCAGGTGACCTCCAAGTAGGGAGATCATCCTAGATTATCCGGGTGGGCCTAGTGTAGTGACAAGGGCCCTTAAAAGTGAAGGAGGGCAGCTCAAGAGGAGAGTCAGGGGGAAATGTGACTATGCAGGACTGGTCAGAGAGATGTGACATTGCCAGCTTTGAAGATGGAGGAAGCAAGGAATCTAGAAGGCCTCTAGAAGCTGGAAAGGCAGGGAAGCAGCTTCTCCCCCAGAACCTCCATGAAAAGATGTAGCCTACCAGGTACGTTGATTTTGGCCCAGTGAGACTTCTGACCTCCAGAACTTTAAGATGATCAATTTGTGTTGTTTAAGCTGCTGGATCTGTGGTCCTTTGCTACTACAGGGATAGGAAATGAATTCAACGGGACTGGCAATCAGATCTCCTTATCCCTCAAATCTCAGCTCAAATTTCACCTCTTGAGGGAGCCATGTTTTTCCTGCCTTTTCTAGGCCTCTGGTTTTACCCGAGTTCTGATAATATCTGGCTTTAGGCACTCACCAGATGGTTGTGAATCTTTGCATACTTGCTGGTTTTCTCCCTAATCCCCAAGTGGCAAGAATATTCTTTTCACTTTGCATCACTTTCCACTAGCACAGCTCCTTCCCCAAGACCACAGCATAATAACTGCATTCAGAATGTGTGAGTGTGAAAATAGAGGAATGAATGAATGGGAGCTGACATTAACAATAGTACTGCACCCCAGCACCACCAGGAATCACGATGCTGAGCTGTCACTGTTGCAGAACAATTAAAAGCATCTCCTGCTAGTATCCTGAGCTACCTACCCCCTTCCTGCAGGAAAGACTTCCCGTCTTCCCACTGGCTCACAGAAGTGGCCTTTTCCTCCGGAAACCAGCGTGCATCTGTTAGCATCTTTTGTCTTTTGTGGGAAAGGGAGGATTCTGGCTCCAGACTGAAGAGGGACAGGCATGGTGTGTGGGTTCACAGAGCCCCAGACTCCAGACTCTGATGCCAGCATCTTTGTCTCAGCAAAGGTCATAATTGGATTTGGATGTTTAAGGCAGTCACTGATTTACTGTTCTCATTTTTCAAGTGTGAGAAATACTAACTCTGTGCTTTGCTTACTTCTAAAGGAACAAAGGCAGTATGAGCAGCCTTTAAATACTGCCACATAATACACTGAGAGCAGACATGACCACGTGCTACAAAGAGTCAGGGCTACGTAGGAAAGTTCACATCGGCGTGGGAAGTGAAAGTAAGCCACGTCACCGTTTCTGTCACGTGACAGCTGTGGGGTGTGGAGCAACTCACTGAGCCTCTTTCCTGGTGTGTAAGATGGGGATAATGATAGCTCCCATTCACTGACCGCTTCCAAAGTGCCTGACCCTGTTCTAAGCCTTCACTGTCATCCTGATTTTATAGTTAGACAGTTTGTCAGTGTCAGAAGCAGAATTGGCTACATAGTTTGCAAGTCCAGTGCCCTGGTTCAAAAATGATTAAGAATTTCAAGATGGTGGTAGCAGAGCAAAAAACCAAGCCCGGAGCCCTCCTTAGTGTGGCTCTTATGTGACTGCACAGGCTGCACACCCTGGGCAGAATTAGTATACAAATCCTGCAGCCTGACTCCAGAACCTTCCATCTTAACATCTATGCCACAAGAGCTGTCTCCTAAGGTGGCCGTGAGGTTGGAAATGAGACTAAGGCATTCCTGGCAGAGGGCACAGTGTGAATGATCTGGAAATACAGGCGTGGACAGGAAGATGAGGAAGGAATGATAAACTCTCATGGCTAAAGCTTTGGTGAGCTGAAGGAAACAGAAGTGTGCTGGTAGGCAGTACTGGCTGCAAACTGTGCCCTCCCTGAAGGCCAACTATAAAGTGCAAGGCCCTTGTACTTTATAGGCGACTGGTGTTGAGGATCGCTGGAAGGTTTAGAAGCAGGGGGTAGCATGGACGCAGGCAGAGAACTGCCCCTAGGGGGAAGTGTGGAGCAGAGCAGACTGGGGCCTGGGCACCCGCTAGAGGAGGCCGTTACAACCACACTCTAGGGATCTCATAGTGAGAGGCTCAGGGAGTAGAGGAAGGAAACAGGGAAAACTGAAGGTCTTCAAGGTAAGTAGAAATTATAGCTTTGGAATACGATCTGGAAACAGGAAACTGGGGGAAAGGAAAAGCTTCTGATGCCTGCTGGCCTGGCCTTCTGTTTGAGCGCCATCAGGCCCGTATGGAGTATCATGATGTACACAGACTGCCTTTGCACCCATAGAAAACAGGGTACATCTCTTCAGGAAGTAGAAACTCTTTGAGCAAAAGAAATCGATTTAACTTCCTAAAAACAACAGCTGTTACTGGCTATAAACTCAGTCATTTCTCAATTTGGGTTTTTCCCCCAAAATATTCCCTTCCAATTTTCAGAGGCATAATCAGTTCTGTGATTATGTTGCTTGCACATAATTAGATCACACAGTAATAATAATAACTGTAAACTCTGGAGGAAACAGAGTGCAATTAAAACCAGAAAGAAAAAAATCTCCCAAACCTCTCCCAGATTCTTCTCTCAAACTTGGGAGTGGGGCACCTCAAGCCCAGTGAAGGAATCAACATATTTTACCCCAAAATATATTTCTTTGACATATTTTGAGATGGCTGTTCACAGGGCCCGCAAACAGAAGCAGCCCTACAAAACTGTCTCATGTGGCGAAGATTTGCATCTGCAGAGAAAAACTACGTTGATACAGCCAGGCTTTCTCTGAGGCTCTCTCTTGTCCATATCTAGGAAAAACTGAGAGTCTGATACCTTTAAAGGTCTGAAAGAAACATTTACTATCTATTCTGTCTGAGAGCGGCTACCTCTGAGATTTCTCCTATGTAACAAGAACGCCTTTGCCAGCCAGGCCTCCTCTTCTCCCCATGCCATAATCTCTTTGCCAAGATCCAAGCCTCCAGTCTTTCTGTAACCTCAAGGCTTCTGTACCCCACTGCGGGGATTGGTAATCACTCTATGGTTCTCCTCCATGTGCACAATAAATTTGTATGCTTTTTCTCCAATTAATCTGCCTTTTAATTTATTATTATTATAAATTTTTTTTGAGACGGAGTCTTGCTCTGTTGCCCAGGCTGGAGTGCAGTGGTGTGATCTCAGCTCACTGCAACCTCCGCCTCCCAGGTTCAAGCAATTCTCCTGCCTCAGCCTCCCGAGTAGCTGGGATTACAGGTGCACGCCACCAAGCCTGGCTAATTTTTGTATTTTTAGTAGAGACAGGGTTTCACCATGTTGGCCAGGCTGGTCTCAAACTCCTGACCTTGTGATCCGCCTGCCTTGGCCTCCCAAAGTGCTGGGATTACAGGCGTGAGCCACCATGCCCGGCCTATTATATATATTTTAATGCTCTCTCTCAGCAGAGTCAAGAGGATTAGTTATCGGTGTGTTGGACATACTGAGTATAGGGGGTCTGTGGGATATGTAAGAAGAAATGACTACTGGGCTGTTGCATATGTGGTTCTTCATCTCATTTTGTTTTAGAGCCAGAGTCTCACTCTGTCACTTAGACTGGAGTTCAGTGGCGAGGCTTTTTTTTTTTTAGACAGGGTCTTAACTCTGTTGTTTAGGCTGGAGTGCAGTGGCACAATCATAGCTCACTGTAACCTTGAACTCCTGGGCTCAAGCAACCCTCCCACTTCAGCCTCCTGAGTAGCTGAGATGACAGGCACGTACCACCACTCCTGAATTTTTTAAAAAATGTTTTAGGCATGTACCACCACAACTAAAAATTAGGCGTGTGCCACCACACCTAGTATTTAAAAAAATGTTTTCGTAGAGACGGTGATCTCGTTATGTTGCCCAGGCTAGTCTCAAACTCCTGGACCCATGTGATCCTCTGGCCTCAAGCGATCCTCCAGCCTCAGCCTCAGCCTCCCAAAGTGCTCAGATTATACCCAGTGTGCCCAGTCTATTAATCTGCCTTTTTTGAGTTGATTTTTCAGTAAACCTTCAGAGGGCGAAGGGGAGGTTTTCCCTTGGCCCCTACCCTGGATTCAAATCCTAGCTCCCACTTCCCAACAATGTGACTTTGGGCAAGTCAGGTAACCTGGTTCTCTTCTATAATGTGAGGGAACCATTCTAGCACTTAACCTCAATCATACTGCATTACCTTGTTCTGAAGTTTAAATGAGAAATTCTTAGACTAGCCTTCAGCATGTAGTAAAGCAGGCCATAAATGTCAGATATTATCATAATCTCCAGATTTTCTACAGTGATTCTTGAATGACATTTAAGATCAGAAACATCCATGTAATTCTCATATTACTATCATTGTTATGTATTCTTTCTCTCCGAATGAAGAATGAAGGTACCATCCACTGACACCACAGTCACGAGGTTGGGTCAAGCCTTATGACCACCCTAGAAGCCTAGACAGAAGGGTTCAAAGGCTCTTCCTCTCATATGGGCTAGTAATAAACAGGGTCTCTAACAGAATAGCGGAAACCTGAGTTGAGCATGTTCATGAGGGAGGGGAAGCTGACGCCCACATCAGCACTTGTTTTCGAAGAGGAGCTGTCTTGGCCCAGAGCCGTGGCTCACGCCTGTAATCCCAGTATTTTGGGAGGCCAAAGTGGGAGAATTGCTTGAGCCCAAGAGTTCAAGTCTAGCCTGGGCAACATAGTGAGACCGTGTCTCTAGAAAAAATTTAAAAAATTAGACAGGCATGGTGGTGTGTGCCTGTGATCCCAGCTACTCGGGAGGCTGAGGTGGGAAGATTGCTTGAGCCTAGGAGGTCGAGGCTACAGTGAGCTATGATCACACCACTGCACTCCAGCCTGAGCAACAGAGCAAGACCCCGTCTTAAAAAAAAAAAAAAAAAAAAAAAGAGGAGCTCTCCAGATTAATAACAATCTCCCCAGTTTTCATGATTCAGGCGTCAAATCCTGCTGCCCCATATGGTTCTCACCACTCAACGAGTATTATTTACAGAGGGCCGTCGTTGCTATGTCCTGGAGATACAGAGACAAATAGGACCCAGGCCGACCACTGAGGAGATCCAACCTGATGGGGAAAGAAGACAGAGAACACACAAGTGGGGCTAGACACGGTGGCTCACACCTGTAATCCCAGCACTTTGGGAGGCTGAGGCGAGTGGATCACCAGAGATCAGGAGTTCAAGACTGGCATGGCCAACATGGTGAAACCCTGTCGCTACTACAAATACAAAAATTAGCCGAGTATGGTCCTGTAGTCCCAGCTACTGGGGAGGCTGAGGCAAGAGAATCGCTTGAACCCAGGAGGGAGGGGTTGTAGTGAGCCGGGATTGCGCCACTGTACTCCAGCCTGGGCGACAGAGAGAGACTCCATCTCTAAATAAATAAAAATAAAAAGAGAACACACAGGTGGCAGCAATTGGGACAAATGTCACTGCAGAAGACCTTCCAAGGGGGTATTGGGGGGTGAGGACCACATTTTGCCTTAGGGTGACAAAGAAGGTTCACACAGTGGGCCACTTTCCGGGGTGTTGGTGATCTGAATCTTGATGGGGAGGGTGGTTACATGCGCGTACATGGTTGTCTAGCACTCATCGAGGTACATTCAAGATGAATTTTATGTCAATTAAACCTCAGTCAGGTTGATAGTAAAGAGTCTGAAACATCGTGTTAGCACTTAGTGGGCTCTTGGGAATTCTTGCAGAATGAGAACGTGAGGGGTATGGAGGGTGGGAGTACTGGCACTTTCTGCATCCCCAGGAGCTGGCTCCACATTGCTCCTGGCTCTGCATCCTGCTTTTGGGTGGCCACGGGGAGAAGACAGGGCTGAAGCCAGCCTCCACAGCGGAGGGTCCTCTAGCAAGGCCCAGCAGGGCCTCAGGGAGTTCAGAGGGAGGCTTGCTTTTGCTTGCTTGTCTCAACACAGGCCCACCTTGACTAAACACAGGCTTCTTGCTGGGCGGGCCAGCTCTGAGCCTTGCAGGCCACTTTATCACGTTGGTGGCTCCCATCTGTTCTTAGAGTCCACATTTCCACTGGGTTGAGCTCTCAGCCACCTCTGCCTAGGCTGCTCTCTTCTGAAACTTTCTTCTTCCTCTGCCTCCCCTACTTCCCCTCACCCCTTCCTCACCCCTCCCATTCTCTCTCCCCTAGGGCAGAGGACCCAGCTGGAGCAGGGCTGACAGGAGCCCCTGAGAGGAGAACTTAGAGGCCTGAGACCCGTTGAGGGTGTGTGTGTGTGTGTGTGTGTGTGTGTGTGTCTATGTTTGGGAGAATTTGGATAAAGAGACAGGCTGGTAGCGGTGGCTCCCACCTGTAATCCCAGCACTTTGGGAAGCCGAGGTGGGCTGATCACTTGAGGTCAGGAGTTCAAAATCAACCATGCCAAATGGTGAAACCCCGTCTCTACTAAAAATACAAAAATTAGCTGGGCGTGGTGGCACGCACCTGTAATCCCAGCTACTTGGGAGGCTGAGGCACGAGAATCACTTGAACCCGGGAGGCAGTAGCTGCAGCGAGCCGAGATCATGCCACTGTACTCCAGCCTGGGCAACAGAGCGAGACTCCGTCTCAAAAATAAAAAATAAAAAATAAAAAAAAAACAGAGACAGCCAAAGTAGCAATGTGCCTGTGAGAGGGCCTAAGTTTTCCCCCTCAGGGTAGTCTTGTCAGATGAAATACAGGATGCCCAGTTAAATTGGAATTTCACAGAAATAAAATAATTTCTATGGTCTCAAATATTGCATGGGACATATTCATACTAAAAAGCTATTTGTTATTTACCTGAAATTCCCATTTAAATTTGAGGGCGTCTTCCATTTTTATTGGCTAAATCTGGCCACCCTCCCTCAGGGTGTGACGGCAGGAAGCGGGAGAGAACACAGATGTCCCCTGTTATCTCCCTGGGCCCTGCGTGGCCCTCTCAGGGAACCACAAGCCAGGGCCAAGCCCATCCAATCCTCCTGCACCAGGAGCAGCAGAAGCCATGCCGCTAATGGCAGTCACCTCGGTGGAAGTAGAGCGGGCCTGTGGCGGCGTGAGGCTTTTCTGCTCTGCTTCTGTGGAAGTGATTATCCAATAACTAGTAGGAATCGGGCAGTTGGCAGACGCCTCCCATGCTATAAAGCCACACAAGGCAGGCAAGTGTGGGCACAGATGAGAGGCTGAGAGCGGAGGTAGGATGTCACCCCTGCCCTCGCCAGCCTCATCTGTTTTCCCAGGCGTCCCCCAACCACTACCCACGTGGATTCTCCCTCGAAGAGCCCCCTTTCAGGGCCCCATTGGCACTTCACTCTTGAGGGAGGCCTAGGAGAAGCTAGTGGAAAGTTACTTCCACATAAACGGTCAGACAGACGGATGATGAAACCACAGGAAACCACAGCTCCTCCCCTGCCGGGGCACCAGGCCAGAAGCCGACCTGCTAGGCTTGGGGACCCCTTCTGGTCTTGCTAGGGGCTCAGAGACCCTGGGGAAGTCCCTTACTGTGTGTCTCATGTCTTCACTTATGGATGGGATGCCAGCTGCCCTCTCATGCCCTCACAGGGCTGTTGGGAGGCAAGGGTGAGCTAGCAGATGCAAAATAATGGCAAAATTAAGAAACCAAGTACCTGTACAAATGTACACCTTTATAGTGGTTCAATTTGGCCACACGTGCTTCTACTTAGAGAAACACCATACATGAATATTCAGGCACATATACATATCACTATATGATCCTACGAGCAACTTCCCTACCTCACTGAAAATATGATTCACTTCACCAAAATGTAATGCTATGGTCACATTCTACAAGGAAAACATCCAAAGCACAGCCACTGTAAGTGAGGATAGTTCTCAACTGGGCCTATGGTGGGCTGGCTGACTACACTTGCAGTCTAGAACGGGGCCTACTGCAGACTGGTCTGCAGTTAGTTTGATCTAGGGTTATGACAGCAGTTGACTTGAAAATAACTTTCCTCCTGCCCCTTTAAGAACACGGGTTCCTTCCCTTGCAGATAAGCAGGAAGTCCCCCTCCCTCTGTCTTGGTGCTTGGTGGTGTGTTTCACTTCCTTTCAAAGGTGTTTTCTTACTAAAGAAACCCTAAGCCCAGGGTCACATTCTGTTTCTTTCACAGGCATACTCAACTGCGTGTTGTTGATTCTGTGACAAGTTTCTTGAGCAAGAAAATACACAGAAAAAATGTTAAATGTATAAAATATGAAAGTAAAACATCAATAATGTTTTAAATATTTAAAATATAAAAGTAATGCATGCTTCTGGTAAAAATGTAAATGGTAGAGGTTTCTCTATTTCCTTTCCCCAGAGGTAAGCTCTTAAAATTCCCTTCCGGAAATGGTCTCTCTACACCTCACTTTTTTATTGCACAGAAGGGATCAGACACTATTTATGAGGCTCTTTATTTTCCACTTAAGAGTATTCTGGCTGGGCGCGGTGGCTCACACCTGTAATCCTAGCACTTTGGGAGGCCGAGGTGGGTGGATCACGAAGTCAGGAGTTGGAGACCAGCCTGGCCAACATGGTGAAACCCCATTTCTACTAAAAATACAAAAAGTAGCTGGTGTGGTGGTGGGTGCCTCTAATCCCAGCTACTCGGGAGGCTGAGGCAGGAGAATTGTTTGAACCCAGGAGGCAGAGGTTGCAGTGAGCCAAGATCGCGCCACTGCACTCCAGCCTGGGTGACAGAGCGAGACTCTGTCTCGGGGGAAAAAAAAAAAGAGTATTCTTTGGACATCCTTCCACAGCATATCATGAATAAATCTGCCTCAATCTTTTTTTAACAGCTGCATAGTTTTCCATTGTTTGGGTACTCTATCATGTATTTAATTAATCTCCCAATTAATATACACTTAGGTTGATTGTAGCTTTTACTCTTATCTACAATGCTATGGGGGAAAGATCTAGATGTTTGTGCATGTGTATGTATATGTATATGTAAGTGTGTTAGTATGGCTATAGAATGAGAGTCCTGTCACTGGACTTAAACTGGAAATGCTGGGTTCAACTGGAAATGCTGTTTTAATTGTGACAGCCACCGGTGCCTCTGAAAAGTCCCTACGAATTGACCCTTCCAACAACAGCATATAAGAGCTTTCACTTTTCTTTCCCTGCATTCTGGCCAACTGGAGCCACTACTCAACCTTTTCATTTTTGTCAGTCTGAAATGAGCAGAGAGGTCCTCATTGTTTGATTTGCATTTGAAAGCCTACCATACACGGGCATCTTCTCATGTTGTTCTTAGCTCAGTGAGGAGGGCCTTAGAGACCAGACTTTGGAACCAGATAGAGCTGGATACCGTCCCAGCTCAGCCACTTGCCAACTGTGATCTCTGGAGCCTCGGTTTATCCATCTGTAAAATGAGCATCCTTAGACTAAATTCATGGGATTTACTGAGAAGGTGCAACAAAGCAACAAAAAATGTTTATCACTACAAATGTTAGTGTGTTTCTCATCCAAACAAACAAAAAAACATATATATATATATATATATATATATACATATTTACATATAGTCATGCATCGCTTAACAATGGGGATACGTTCTAGGCGATTTCCTCATTGTGCGAAGATCACAGAGTGTACTTACACAAACCTAGATGGTACAGCCTACTACATACCTAGGTTATATGGTACAGCCCATTGTTCCTAGCTTGCAAACCTGTACAGCATGTCACTGCACTAAATACTGTAGGCAACTGTAACACAATGCTAAGTATTTGTGTATCTAAAATTAGAAAAGGTACAGTAAAAAATACAGTATTATTTTATGGGATCACTGAAATGTCATCACACAGTACATGACTGTGTGTGTGTGTATATATATATATATATATACACATACATATATGCACATACACACAGTCTTATACTGTATATGTATACAGATGTGTGTATATATATAGTCTTATACCATATATGTATATAGCGTATGTGTGTGTGTGTGTGTGTGTATATATATATATATATATACAGTGTGTGTATATATATATATATATATACACACACACACACACACACACACACACACACATACACAGGGATATATATATACTTTTTTGACCTAGTCAATGGCCAATTTAACCGTCTCTACAGCATCTGAGATCTCACCTTCTCCTCACTGCTGCCCCTGCTTGAGGGTAGAAAATGTAAATAAAATGCTGAAAAATAAAACTTAAAACTGTCACATTCAATGGTTGGTCTTACTAGCTGAGCAACCTTGGCCATGGTACTTCTCGGAGCTCCAGTTTCTTTCTCTGTAAAATGGGGTGTTCACTCTACCTACCCCACAATGTCACTGGGAGAATGAAGAGGCGCTTAAGGCAGTGCCTGGCTCTGGCAAGCACTCGATAAATGATCCTTGTGGTTGTTCTTCTTGGCCAGGGATCCCCTTAAGTGCTCAGGCCACTTTCCCCAGTGGGATAGGAGGAAAATAGTCACCTCAACTAACAGAGGGTAATCTATCAAACACCTACTGGGCTAGTTGAAGACCCTTTGGGCCTATAAACACTGCAGTAGGGTGTGGTGGAAGGGCATCTCCAACTCTCTGGTCCAGTCTTTGAGACACAATTAGATCCTGCCATGCTCAGCAAGCAGGTTGAGCCATCAGACCCTGTTTTTTTTGTTTGTTGTTTTGTTTTGTTTTGTTTTTTCTTTCTTTCTCTCTCTCTTTCTCTCTTTCCTTCCTTTCTTTCTTTCGACGGGGTCTTGCTCTGTGACCCAGGCTGGAGTGCAGTGGTGCCAAGGCTACAGCTCACTGCAGCCTTGACCTCACGTGCTCAAGCCACCCTTCCATCTCAGCCTGCCAAGTAGCTGGGACTACAGGCATGTACTACAATGCCTAGCTAATTTTTCTATTTTTTGTAGAGACAGGGTTTTGCCGTGTTGCCCAGGCTGGTCTCGAACTCCTGGGCTCAAGCGATCCTCCCACCTCAGCCTCCCAAAGTGCTGGGATTACAGGCATGAACCACCTCGCCCGGCCTCACTCCTCCATTGTCTTTTAATCTCCTTTGTAGAGGTCATCAACAACCCCATTCGTTAGCGTTTAACAAGAAAAGAACTTCTTGGGGTGGGGCGGGGAGTGGGAAGTTATTGTGAATCTCCTTTGTGAGAAACAAATGCCATTTTCTGAATGATTTTTGCCACGTTTTATTTTTTAAAAATTTTCTCCTTTGGAAGCAGGGTGCACTGTGTATACTGTCATGTTGCTCAGATGACAGGTAAGTTACCCGTGAGTAGGCATAAGTGCTGATGTCGTTTCTGGGTCCTTCAATACCACACAGAATCTCCTTGGGTTTATGCATGGTGAGGAGAGTAATTCGCCCTCATCAAGGCTATGATTTATCCCGCCATAACTGAGCTAAGGTTTTTGTGAAGACAGCTGAAATATCCACACCATGCAGGGAACAGAGACACATTAAACAACAACACATCTCAAAAAATACTACTTTTGCAGTGGAGAAACCTGAGTGGTAACACATTAATCAATTGATCCAAGTTAACATCCCAATAACGGAACATACCAACTTCATGGGCCCCCGGCTGTGAGACACCGAGAAGGTCACAGTGTCCCTCGCTCGAGTAGCATTCCTGCCAAAAAGGCAAGCCCAAATCTAATCCCGAGGAAACATCAGTCAAACTTAAATCAAGGGAAATTCCACAAAATAAGCGGCCAGTCTTCTTCAAAAATAGTGTCATGGAATACAGACAGGCTGAGAAAGTTCTAAATTAAAAGATACTAGTGGGGCATATCAATTACATGCCATGCATGATCCTGGATTGGAACATGGACCGGAAAAAGCTGTTATAAGAATGTTATTGGGCTAATAGACAAAATTTGAATAAGGTCTGCACATCAGATAATAGTCTTGTAGCAATGTGACATTTCCTGGTACTGACAATTGTACTGTGGCTATGTTGGAGAATGACCTTATTAGAAAATGCATACCTAGTATTTGTGGGTAAAAAGGTGTCATATTCACAACTTATTCTCACATGGTCTAGAAAAAATAAGTAAGTAGGTAGACAGAAAGAACGATAGGTAGATAGAAAAATAGATATAGATAGATAGATAGATAGTAAAATATTGATAAAGCAAGTATGGCCAATTATTAACAACTGGTGAATCTGGGTTAAGGGTATACCACAGTTCTTTACTGTCTTTTTGCAGCTTTTCTGTAAGTTTGAAATTATTCTAAAGTGAAAAATTTTAAACATTCTAGTAACTGCAACCATGGTGCATGTTACAAACTAAATAATAAATAAGTCCTAATTAATAAAGGAAGCGAAACATTAACGTTGCAGAAATGTAAAACCAAAAACAAATGACAAAGCACTCTCCCTCTGCTGGCAGTTTTAGCATTCTTGTACACAGAATGATCATTGATTTTGTTTTGTTTTGTTTTTCAAGTTCCTCTTAGTACAAAATTTAAATCTCTTTCATTTAACATGCCTGCACAAAGTACTCAGTAGGTGCCAAGCAATGACTCACAACAAAGCCAGTTCCCAATGGCTCTTGTTCTCATTGGAAGTGAAGGCCATATTCTATATGTATGTATCCTCTCTGCCTTCAGTAGAGAAGGCAGGAACACTGGGAGGAAGGAAGAAGGTAAAAAAATCTTTATTAAAATGCCTCCTGACATGTCCACTTGGACTCTACTAGGCAAATCAAATGTCCTACATTCCATCCGAGCTCCTGATCATCTATCCTAAAACCTGAGCACACTGCGCCTCCCCATCCCCTGCCCAGTTAAGTTTCTCCACTTCAGTGGATGGCCACTCCATCCTTCCAGTTGCTCAGACCAAAATCTTTGCATCAGCCTGGACTCCTCACTTTCTCTCCCCCTCCATACCCTGTAGATCAGCAAATCCTATTGGCTCTACCTTCAAAATACATCCAGCATCTGTCCACTCATCACCACTCCACTTTCCCATCCTGGTCTGTCCTCCACCTGAATTGTTGCAATGGCCTGTAAAGCAGCCTCCCTGCTCCTAGTCTAGTCTCAACCCAGGAGCCAGAGTGGCTGTGGTCCCTTTCAAACCTGAATCAGGTCATGGGACTTCTCTGATGGCAAACTGCCAGTGGCTTCCTAACTCATGCAAAAAAAGGAAGGCCAAAGTTCTTAAAATGGCCTGGGAAGCTCCTCATGTTTGGCACCATCCATCCCACACTCCCATAAGGGTGATTTGACCTATTTGGCTTCACGTTGTACGACTCCAGGGAACACTGCTGCTCTCCTGCTTCAGCCATGCTGGCTTTCGTGTGTGGTCATGGTCCCTGCTCAGGGCCTTGGAGTTGGCTGTGACCTCTCCCTGGAGCACCTCCCCCAGGCATCTGCGTGGCTCACTTCCTCTTTCCCTTGAAGTCTTGCCTCTGATGGCTTACCTGGACCATCCCTCCTACACACTCCCTGTTCATTTCCCTTACCCTACTCTCACTTTCCATGGTCATCTTCTAGTATACTATGCACACTACTTATTTTTAAAAATATGTATTCTCGATTCCACACAAAAGTCCCTCTCCCTCTCCCTCTCCCTTTCCCTCTCCCCTCTTTCCACGGTCTCCCTCTCCCTCTCTTTCCACGGTCTCCCTCTCCCTCTCTTTGTCTCCCTCTCCCTCTCTTTCCACGGTCTCCCTCTGATGCCAAGCCGAAGCTGGACTCTACTGCTGCCATCTCGGCTCACTGCAACCTCCCTGCCTGATTCTCCTGCCTCAGCCTGCCGAGTGCCTGCGATTACAGGCGCGCGCCCCCACGCCTGACTGGTTTTCCTACTTTTTTGGTGGAGACGGGGTTTCGCTGTGTTGGCCAGGCTGGTCTCCAGCTCCTAACCGCGAGTGATCCGCCAGCCTCGGCCTCCCGAGGTGCCGGGTTTGCAGACGGAGTCTGGTTCACTCAGTGCTCAATGGTGCCCAGGCTGGAGTGCAGTGGCGTGATCGCGGCTCGCTACAACCTCCACCTCCCAGCCGCCTGCCTTGGCCTCCCAAAGTGCCGAGATTGCAGCCTCTGCCCGGCCGCCACCCCATCTGGGAAGTGAAGTGAGGAGCGTCTCTGCCCGGCCGCCCATCGTCTGGGACGTGAGGAGCCCCTCTGCCTGGCTGCCCAGTCTGGAAAGTGAGGAGCGTCTCTGCCCGGCCGCCATCCCATCTAGGAAGTGAGGAGCGCCTCTTCCCGGCCGCCATCCCATCTAGGAAGTGAGGAGCGTCTCTGCCGGGCCGCCCATCGTCTGAGATGTGGGGAGCACCTCTGCCCCGCCGCCCCGTCTGGGATGTGAGGAGCGCCTCTGCCCGGCCGCGACCCCGTCTGGGAGATGAGGAGCGTCTCTGCCCGGCTGCCCCATCTGGGAAGCGAGGAGACCCTCCGCCTGGCAACCGCCCCGTCTGGGAAGTGAGGAGCATCTCCGCCCGGCAGCCACCCCATCCGGGAGGGAGGTGGGGGTCAGCCCCCACCAGGCCAGCCGCCCCGTCCGGGAGGGAGGTGGGGGGGGTCAGCCCCCCGCCCGGCCAGCCGCCCCGTCCGGGAGGGAGGTGGGGGGGTCAGCCCCCCGCCCGGCCAGCCGCCCCGTCCGGGAGGTGAGGGGTGCCTCTTCCCAGCCGCCCCTACTGGGAAGGGAGGAGCCCCTCTGCCTGGCCAGCCGCCCCATCCGGGAGGGAGGTGGGGGGGTCAGCCCCCTGCCCGGCCAGCCGCCCCGTCCGGGAGGGAGGTGGGGGGGTCAGCCCCCCACCCGGCCAGCCTTCCCGTCCGGGAGGGAGGTGGGGGTTCAGCCCCCCGCCCGGCCAGCCGCCCCGTCCGGGAGGTGAGGGGCGCCTCTGCCCGGCCGCCCCTACTGGGATGTGAGGAGCCCCTCTGCCCGGCCACCACCCCGTCTGGGAGGTGTACCCAACAGCTCATTGAGAACGGGCCGGGATGACAATGGCGGTTTTGTGGAATAGAAACGGGGCAAAGGTGGGGAAAAGATTGAGAAATCGGATGGTTGCCGTGTCTGTGTAGAAAGAAGTAGACATGGGAGACTTTTCATTTTGTTCTGTACTAAGAAAAATTCTTCTGCCTTGGGATCCTGCTAATCGGTGACCTTACCCCCAACCCTGTACTCTCTGAAACATGTGCTGTGTCCACTCAGAGTTGAATGGATTAAGGGCGGTGCAAGATGTGCTTTGTTAAACAGATGCTTGAAGGCAGCATGCTCGTTAAGAATCATCACCACTCCCTAATCTCAAGTACCCAGGGACACAAACACTGCGGAAGGCCGCAGGGTCCTCTGCCTAGGAAAACCAGAGACCTTTGTTCACTTGTTTATCTGCTGACCTTCCCTCCACTATTGTCCTATGACCCTGCCAAATCCCCCTCTGCGAGAAACACCCAAGAATGATCAATAAAAAAAAATAATAAAAAATAAAAAATAAAAAAAAAAAATATGTATTCTCTCTTTCTGGCCCGCTAGAAAGTAAACTCCTTAAAGGCAGAAGTTTTGTTTATTGAGATATCCTTGGCTCCTACAACAATGCTTGCCACACAGTAGTAACTCAATAAAAATTGGTTGAACAAATAAAGACTATTTCAAAAATTAAGCATGGGAGATCAATGTAGTTGCATATTAAAATGATTTCTATAAAAATAAACATGATCAGTCGAGATCTTTTTTTTTTTTTTTTTTTTGAGACGGAGTTTCGCTCCTGTGTCCCAGGCTAGAGTGCAATGGTACAATCTCGGCTCACTGCAACCTCCGCCTCCCGGGTTCAAGCGATTCTCTCCTCCCTCAGCCTCCCAGTAGCTGGGATTGCAGGCGCCTGCTACCACACCCGGCTAATTTTTGTATTTTTAGTAGAGATGCGGGTTTCGCCATGTTGGCCAGGCTGGTCTCGAACTCCTGACCTGAGGTGATCCACCGCCTCGGCCTCCCAAAGTGCTGGGATTACAGGCATGAGCCACCGCGCCCGGCCCAGTCAAGATTTTTTAACAAAATTTTTAAATTATGTCTTTCAACAAAGGTGTTTATTCTGGGTTTTGGAGTTTGCATTCAAAATTTTGCATTCAAATCTGAATTTAGCTTTGTGATTCCTGAGTTTCAGTTTCCTTCCAGCAAAACCAAAAATAGAAGGACTTGGCTTGAAGGGTTTTAACTGAGGATTAAATTAGATGATACACCTGGCACTGGTTTAATAAATGAGAGTACAAGCTTTTTCTCATTTTGTCATTCTGTAAATCTACCCAGAGTTAAGCCAAACTTCACAAGTTAAATTCTCTACAAGACAGCCCTCACTTCAGACACCAGTCCCCAGGGTCACTCACTCTTCCAACCAACTGGCTAAAATTGAGGGATTCCCGTGACCACCCTCTGGCTCAATAATTTGCTAGAACGATTCACAGAACTCAGGGAAGTGCTATACTTACAGTTTTATTACAGTAAAAGGATACAGCCCAAAGAAGAAATGCGCAGGGCAACATCTGTCAGGGTTCCAAGTGCAATGCTTCTGTCATCCTTAAGGACGTGTTATCCTCCCAGCCTGAAAGTGTGACAATACTCAAGGAGTAATGTCAGTCAAGGAGGCTCACTTGAGCTTTGGTGTACTAAAATGTTTACTGAGGCCTACTGAGGCCTCATACAGGCATGATTGATAGAACCACTGGTCACATGGTTCATTCTCCAGCTCCCCTTTTCCCCTCCAGAGGTTGGGCTTATATCTCATGGCTTAAAGCCCCAACCCTCTAATCACATATTTGATCTTTCCGGCCTGGCCAGCCCCTATTCTGAATCGTTTCATTAGCATAAACTGTCCAGTGTGAGCCACCTCATTATCATAAACAATCAAGCCTGGTCCAAGGGGCCCACCATGAATAACAAAGACACTCCAATCACTCAGGAAATTCTAAGGGTTTAGAAGCTACATCTCAGGAACTAGAGATAATGGCCAGCCAAATTCTTCATTACACAAAACCAAACACAGTGTTCTAGCTAAAAAGTAAGGCATTTATGCAAACATAACCACAGAGTACAAAATATAAAATTCAGACATTAAAATACCTCCTCCTGGCCCAAACTAAAATTGTGTTCCTGTCTGTGTATACATAGAAAAATAGAAAAATTTAAGTGCAAATGTATGCTCACTCTTTGTGCCAAGGACCTTAAGTAGTAAAAAAAAAAAAAAAAAAAAAAAGACTAGGAAGCCATTTTCATGAATGAGTAAATTTAGGTCTTTAGAAGCCACGTGTGTAATTTCAAATCTGAGAAATGGATGCTTGTATGACAAAAACTAACAATATACACCACCATCACCACCACTGCCACTACCAAAACAAAATCAGGTCTATTATTGTTTGGTTAGCACTGGGAACAATTCCAGTATTGGTGAACCATCCTATGTTTAGGTAAAATACACATTCTGAGTTGACTGAGTTTCATATATGACTGAATCTGAATTTGGCTCCTTCTCATCTTAGATATACAATCTTCCTCCTAAAGTATGGATTCTATGAGATCTAGCACCTAAAATTATGCCTAAAGGACTATGGGCCCACAGTTGAATACAAGGAGTTTTGGTTTATGGTCTTGGCTCTGCAAACCAACTGAATACCCTTGAATGGGTGGCTTAACCTCTCTGTGCTGAATTCCATCCTCTGCAAAATATTGATACGAATATCTAGTCCCTTTATCTGCCTACAAGTACTTTAAGGATAAAATGACACAAAAGGTGAGAGAATATTTTGATGAAGTTCACTAAAACTAGATAAATATGAGTTGCATTACATAAGGAATTACTAAACACCAAAATGTAAGGTGACACCTATAAGCTGGTCTTCCCCCCGCCCCCACCAGCTGTTGTCCAATTTGTTGCTTTCTCTGAGCTGGTGCCCAAACCCTTTCAGGTAAGCTGCTGGTATAGATGGTGAAATTTAGATCAAGCAGAGAATATTCAGAGGTAAATGGTAAATTAAATTTCAAAAGCAGGGTTATTGGTTTATCACATTCATCGGTAGCCACGCCATCACTTCCATTTTTTTCTCAAAAAACGCTGTTGGTGGCCGGGCGCAGTGGCTCACACCTGTAATCCCAGCACTTTGGGAGGCCAAGGCAGGCAGATCACGAGGTCAGGAGATTGAGAACATCCTGGCTAACACAGGTGAAACCCCGTCTCTACTAAAAATACAAAAAAAAATTAGCCGGGCGTGGTGGCGGGCGCCTGTGGTCCCAGCTACTCCGGAGGCTGAGGCAGGAGGATGGTGTGAACCCGGGAGGCGGAGCTTGCAGTGAGCCGAGATCGCGCCACTGCACTCCAGCCTGGGCGACAGAGCAAGACTCTGTCTCAAAAAACAAAACGAAACAAAAAAAACAAAAACGCTGTTGGTGACTTTCTCTAGTTTAAGAAACCGTTCCTTTAGTTTGGGGTCCACGGACACCCAAGAGATTTTTGAAGAGAATCTAGGGAACTTAGAAGGAAAAAAACCCATCTTTATTTTCATTAACCTCTGAATGTTAGCGGTTTCTTCAAATACGCATGTAGTCAAGAAACCTCTGAAATCTTAGCAGTTCCTGTGCTTGTATCAACAAAAGAAATTACAGATATTTTTATATCTGTTAACGTTGTGTAGATATCAAACACTGATCACTATTTTGAATTTATAGTGGATATGAGACTGACTGCTAGACTGTGTTCTTTAATATATAAAGAAGCACATATATTACATCACAATTATTAAAAACTTTTGGTAACTGTATGTAAATATAATTTTCATTTGTGATCCCAGGTTTTTGTTTTAAGCATTGACATAATTCTGAGAAAGGATCCATGAGGGGGTGGGGTGGTCCCCAACCCCCTGCTGTGCAGTTAGGAACCGGGCCACACAGCAGGAAGTGAGACGCCAGTGATCGAGCATTACCACATGACCGCCTGAGCTATGCCTCCTGTGAGATCAGGGCGGCATTAGATTTTCATAGGATCGCCAACCCTATTTCAAACTGCACATACGAGGGATCCAGGTTGTGCACTCCTTATGAGAAGCTAATGCCTAATGATCTCAGGTGGAACAGTTTCATCCTGAAACCAGCACCCTCCCGACCCTGTCCATGGAAAGATTGTCTTCCACGAAACCGGTCTCTGGTGCCAAAAAGGTTAGGAACCGCTGATCTATGGGACTATTGGGTCAGTTTCAATTCTCCTTCATTGGCCTTGGTACATGCAAGTCAATTCTGAGGCACAAGTAAGCTGAAAGTTGCAGCCATCCCTCAGACAGGAAAAAATAACCCGGCAGAAAGGAAGAGAACAGAACTGGTGTGTGCACCTCACAGAGGCCTAGAAAACGGTGGCGGCTGCTCCAAAACACCAGCTCCAAGGGCACCTAGGCTCAGATCGAAGCATTGCAGGTGGCAAAGAGGCTGGAGCATCCTGTGTACACACTCAGACTGATCCACCAGTGAAAGGAAGGGGTTAAAGAGGAGGAGCATGGAAAACTTCCAGGAGAGCTGACAAACTTAGCTGCAAAGTCAGGATAAAACAGTCCAAGAACCCCAACAAGGAACTACTGGAGGTGATGTCGGAGAGTTCCTCTCTCTCATAAAGATCAAAGATTTCTTGGGATTGTCTGCTGTGCACAAGCGTGGCCCGGCCCTGGGTCAACAAGAATGTCCCTCAACTGGAAAGAAAATAGAGGGATGAAGAATTCCAATTCTGGCACTGGTGCCACCAGCTCTACTGGTGCCAGCAGTCTGAGAACCTTGGTCTGGTATCCGCACCTCCTCCCAGGTGCTCTGGGAATGGGTAAGGGAACTAAGATGCTGTGGCCCTTAAGCTCTGCCGGTCAAATCAACCTATGATGAAGCTCTATAGCATTGTTAAGAAGCCCATTGTTTTGTACTTTAAAATTTGTTTTCCTCTAGTTTCCTAATAAAAAGTTTTTTTTTTTTTCCTAAATTGGCACCACTTTCTCAGCTCAAGAAGAACAGGGAGTTTCCACACCTGAGAAGTGTTAATGGGCATGACCTGAGAGGGCATTATAGGCAGAGGAAGAGGCACGTGTGTAAGGGCCCATTCCTGGGTCCAGGAAAAGACAGTAGCACTGGAGGCACTCAAAGAATGAGAATCTAAAAAGGGCAGGACTGGCTTCAGAATTTGGGGGACACAGTACAAAATAGAAATGTGGGGTAAGAATTTCAAAATGGCGGCAGCAGTACATTAAGCCAAGCACCAGGGACTTCTGAGCGTAAGGCCCAGTGCAGCTGCACAGCTGTGCACCTGTGAAGCCAGTCCTGGAGAGGCCAAATCGTCAGGGTCAGCCAAGGAAGTTGATCTTGGCCTATGTGGGTTTTCCCCTCAGATTTGAGCCAGTGCTCCATTACCTACACTCCATTTTCCTCACCATAAAGCTATTAACCATCTTCTGCTGATGATCTGGGAACTATATTTTATATAAAGCTTTGGCACCCACAGAAAAAACACATTAAAAAATACAAACACTTGTTACTTGCTAAGCATAATTCTGCTTCACAATGGAATCAAAGGTTTGTCATTTTTAACACAGAAAGCCATTGGGAGTGTGTAATGCCTCCCCTTTCAATATGCTATTGAACCTACTAATTTTTTTAGCCATTGTAATATGAATGACTTCTTAGAAAAATATTGTAGTAAGGCCAGGCTCACGCCTGTAATCCCAGCACTTTGGGAGGCCGAGGCGGGTAGATCACGAGGTCAGGAGATCAAGACCATTCTGGCCAACACGGTGAAACCCTGTCTCTACTAAAATACAAAAAATTAGCTGGGAGTGGTGGTGTGCACCTGTAACCCCAGCTACTCAGGAGGCTGAGGCAGGGGAATCGCTTGAACCTGGGAGGCGGGGGTTGCAGTAAGCCGAGATTGCACCACTGCACTCCAGCCTGGTGACAGAGCAAGACTCCGACTCAAAAAAAAAAAAAAAGAAAAGAAAAAGAAAAAGAAAAATATTTAAGTAGTGAAAAGCTGAGGAAAACTACTAACGTTCAGGATACAAATTCTCTTTATTGCCAGTGCCTTGGCCATGCAGGAGGAGGAAAAAGAGCAGATTGAATTTCTGTAATGAAATAATTTGAAAATTGGGGCAGGGAAAATTTTAATGTATATGACATTATTACGATATCTATGTTTAAATGTCTTCATGATGTAGGCTGGGTGCGGTGGCTCACGCCTGTAATCCCAGCACTTTGGGAGGCCGAGGTGGAAGGATTGCTTGAGCCCAGGAACTTGAGACCAGCCTGGGCAACATAGAGAGAACCTGTTTCTTAAAAAAAAAAAAGAAAAAAAGAGAAAAAACATCTACATGATGAAAAAGCTAGACAGCTGATTGAGACAGAATATAACTTTACCCTTATCTGGCGTATGGAACAAAGCCTTTAAAAGGCCTTAGGATTCTAGAGAAGAGTAGTGTTTAAATGAGGCGGCTTCTGAGCCAGCCAGTCTGAGTTCAAATCCTGCCTTTGGCTTTCGTTGTGTTTTCTTGGGGAAGTTATTTAATCCCTCTAGAATTCTCTCATCTGCAAAATGAGGAGAATAATGGTGCCACTGTCATAGGATTGTGTGAGGATTCGGGAAATACTACATGGAAAGCTTCCCAGTATATGGAAAGCACTCAGAAAGCACTTGCTGTTATTACTGCTATGGGTACAGCCATGATTGTTACTATCATTATTCTACAACCTGGCCCCTGCCTGGTTCCCAGCGTTATTTCCTGTCACTTTCTCTCATTTTACGCAAGTGCCTGCCAAGCTAAGCTACTCATTGCCCCCTGCGTTAACTCGAAGATTCTCTGCTTCCGTATTGTTCCCTGGCTGTGTGGAGGCTGAGTAACCACTTGGAGGGGATGTTGTAGAGGAAAATTCAAGCCACAGAAGGGAAACTGGGTTGAATGAGATCCCCTTTTACATTTCTTTTGGCTCTAAAGTTTCCATCGGATCAATAAAGCAAACAGGACAATTAGCAGCACGGCACTCAGCACTGAGCACAGGCGAGGGTGTTCTTTCACTCCTCTTTGCTTTCCTGCCACCCCCTGCTCGCCTTCCTCTTTGCACCATGTGGGTCCGCTCTGGGTGGGAGTCCTGGAGAAAGATACTTCAACTAAAGATAAGGCAGAGATAGGCCTCGGTGGAAAGACTTGGTAGACAGACCTGGGCATTTGATTAAGAGCAAATTGCTTAAATTCTCGGAGCCTCAATTTCTTTAGTAGTAAAATGGGGATATTAGTACTCACTCCATAGGGTAAGAATGGAATCAGATATTGTTTAAAAGGGCTTATAGCTGAGGTTACAAGATATAGCTAGTCTACTAAATATCCTTTCTCTTTTCATTTTCCTGTTATTCACAGGGGGGACTTAGGCTGTGTCTTTAAGGGGTTTTAGATTCCAATCAGTGGAAGGAGGGCTCTGCTGTGAGGGAGACCAGATGGAGACTGCAGGGGCCACAGGGGAACGTGGGGTGCAGGCAGGTGGGGCAGATGGTAGGAGGCCCTGAAACTCAGACAAAGGGATCTGGGCTTGAGAAAGCAAGAGCTGGGAGCTCAGCTTTGTTCCTGTTCTTCCGTTCCTCCCTCCTCTTCCTTCTTCTCTTCTTCTGGTAAGTTTTTGGCACAAAATTAAATAGGTTCAAACTAATAGAACTCATTTTCATGAATTCAGACTTCTAGCCAACTTCTCCATGGTTAGAAATAGCCACGACTCTATCCCAGGCCCGCCCTGGAAAGCAAAATAAAACTGCGTCCCCTGCCACCTTTTCCGGGTTCCACCAGACACAGGGTTGGAGGGGAACCGCCCTTCAACGCAGGCAATGTTGGCACATTTTTCATTGGGCGCTGTGGCCCGTGAGATGAGGAAGGCAGGACAGGCGCAAAGTGGACTCTACTTATCTTTCACCAGAGAGCCCCAAGGCCAGAGTGCACCATACAACCCGGAGTCACCCAAGGCCTTTTTTTTTGGGGGGGGGTCTCACTGGGAACAATGTCTGCACCCATTGTAAGCAGTTCCTTTGCCCCTGTGTGCCTCTGTCTTTTTAATTGGGATCGAAAACTGCTACCTCAATGGTAGTTGTGCCCGGCACATACTAACAGACTTATAAATGTAGCTGCCTGGGGCAGGGATGATCCTGGAACATTCTGACATCTAGAACATTAAGACTAAATGGATTTAATTATCTGGGGAGAAGAAAGCAAGACAATTAGAGTCACAGGTTCAACACCTGAGTTCAAGTACCTCCCTCATTTAAGAAAATCAATTCATGGAAGGCTGAGGCAGAGAATGGCTTGAATCCGGGAGGTGGAGGTTGCAGTGAGCCGAGATCACATCACTGCACTCCAGCCTGGGTGACAGAGCGAGACTGTCTCAAAAAAAGAAAAGAAAAGAAAATCAATTCAATGCAGTGGGAGAACTGTTATTGAGCAATTACTATCCACCAGACGCTGTGGAAAGCACAACTGCCTAGCTCCTCACACTCTTCCTGGTGATTCTCGGGTACAGACTAAGAGGATGTGGGGAGGACTTTTACATGCTCTTGGCATATATAACAGAGTGGCTACCAGCTGAGGTAACCCAATGATGGCTCTCTAAGCCTCAGTTTCCCCATCTGGAAATTTCTTATGGAAAGGCGGTGGGAAAGAAAGGAAAAAACAAATGTAAAACTTACGTTACAATGCCTGACTCTTAGAAAATATCAACCGACAGGAGTTGTCATGTTTTATTTGCTGTAAAACTACCAAAAGATCTTCTATCAACATTTTGTAAGTGAAAATAATAATATATATTCATATGTATTAATTATATAGAAATAATATATAATAATATATAAATGTCTCTATAGGAGAAATAATATCAAGACACCTAAAATTTTTAATTAATTCTAAACACTAAGACAATTATTTTATTATTTTTCCTCAACCTTCCATCCTAAATCATACGAATAATAACAATAGAAAGAGCTTACTAATTGTCATGCACTGTCCGAAGCATTTACTCCTCCCAACAACCCTGTGAGGTCGGTGTTGCAATGAACCCATTTTACAGATGAGAAAACTCCAGCACAGAAAGATTCATTCACATGGCCAGAGTCATGCAACTTTTAAGAATATTCCTTTGGTTTGCATTTCCTTGTATCTGCACCACCCTTCCCTTTCCTGTCTCTCTAGGTCTCCTGACCGGTTGGCAGGTCAGTCCCAATCATGGGAACTCTTTTCCTTTAAGCAGTCGTCTCTCTTTCTCTTCCTCTCTGTTTCCACCTGCCCTCCATCAGTGTCTCAGCACAGTGGAAGGCTGCTTGCTACCGCACTGGAAAACTTCTCCAGACATTTCCAAGTTTGCATTCGTCCATCTCCTTTGGAGAATTGCTTCAGTGAGGCCTAACCCTTTCTGAGGAAAGGCCCTTGGGAGAAGAAGCCAGGAGAAGGTAGTGGCACTCCTTTGTCATCAGGAGACATTGGGAGGAAAGAAATGATTTTCGACAGCAGCTGGGTGAGGGGAAACAGAATCACAGAACCTGCGGAAACGGTGTCGGTACAACGGCAGCTGCCAGCTAAACGGGCGAAAAGGCACCCTGCAAGATCTTTTCTGTGTTTCAACGATGAAGTAGACTCCCAACATGGAACAGGGGCGGGGGGGCTGTTACCAGACAGGTGACATTTGGTGCATGCACGAACAGGTCCAGTGCCCCATTCGGAGGCCAGGAAGGCAGCCACCCAGCAGAGCATTAACTAGGGGACCAGACGGTCACCTGCCCCTGCTCACCCCCACCTCCTTCCTCCCCAGGAAAAAGGAAGTCAAGTAGATGGAGAAACGGGGAAGTCCAAGCTGCTGGCAGTGGCATTCAAGGGTCTATATATAAGGTTGACTCTAATCCCCAGCGAGACAAAAGCCTGTGCCATAAAAATGATTAGCAAGGGGTTTCTAAAAACATTTCCCCAGGCCACGGAAAAGGAGAAGGAATATTTTGCACACTGCCTTGTCTCTTAGAAATAATCACAGCTAGGCCTCTTTATAACCGGCGAGTCTTTTTCCTTTCACACGCCATTTGCAGGCGCGTGGCATGGTATTTGTAACTAATTTTCAGTAGCAAGTGGGTCACTGGTATTCACAGAGTCAGGTGCCATTTTGAAAACTGCTTCCCTCTACCCGAATCTCTTATATTTCCAGATGCAGATGCACTTCAGCGATGTCCTAGTGCTGGAAACGCTCCCTTGAAAATATAATTTGATTTTTGAATTTCATCTTAAGACATTAGAGATAATGTAACTGTAGTCTTTGGAATTCAACGCTGGCCTCCTTAGCCATCACTTTTAAAATTTATGAAAATAAGGAAGAGGAAGGTAAAGAACTTCCTCATTGTCCGGCAGTAAAGTCAATGGCAGAGCTTGAGCTTGACTTATTTTGCTAAGAGGGAGGTGTTTTACCCTATAAACTCCAAATTACCTTACACCCAGCAAATACTACTGTTGAGTGCTCACAAAAATTATGCTGATGAAACAATATGGATGTTTCAGTGATGAAACTTTCTCTTTTAAAATCACTTAAGGGTGCTTTACGTCCCACCCAAGGCAAGAGGAACGCCAGCGAGGAAGACAAAGAGGCCCGGGGTGGGGCGCATGCCCGCCACTGGACTGAAAGCTGAGTCACAGGAATCGTACCCCTGCAGCGGGCCAGGCCCTCCAGGGAGGGACACCGCGCCCTTGTGTGGAGATGTCCACAGTAGACAAAGGCAGTTTCGAAATAAAAGAATGCCTGTCACCCCAGGTGCCACCCCGACCCTTAGTTATTATGCACTGGTCCCCAAGAGCAATTTCTGCGCTGCTGTTGCAAAAATTCATCGTAATGAAATAAACGTAAAAGGGGAAAATGTGTTATGAAGTGTTGGAGGGTGCTTTGCTCATTTTTTTCGCCATCGTTGTGGTTAGGGTGCATGCACTAGTGGACCCCGGGTGGGGGTGGGGCTCCCCTCCCCAAAAGCCCGGCAGGCCTCCGGATGCCGTTCCGAGACGCGGCGCGAAGGAGTTAAGCGGGCCGGCGGGTGACATCACCTCATTTACATAGGAGCGCCCATAAAGCTGCGCCCGCCGCACCCCGCCCGACAACTCGGTGGTGGCCACTGCGCAGACCAGACTTCGCTCGTACTCGTGCGCCTCGCTTCGGTGAGCCCCAGGGCCCCTGCCTCCTTCCTCCTGCCGTCCTGCCTCCGTCCCCGCCCTTTCATCATCCGCGTCCCTGTGAAGGCATTCCCTAAATCCGAGCCCGAGTGGTTCTCCCCGGGAAGGCTACTTTGGGGAGCTGGGGGGATGCGAAACACCCTAGATACTGGATAATGGGGTGGGGAAATCGATGATTTAAGAACAAAACCGAAAAACTGGCGTTTTGCCGTGCCGCTCGGAGGGGACATTAAAAAATTTCTTAGTGTTTGCCCGCAAAGGTATTGTGCGTTGCCTTGGAGGCTGAGATATGGGGGAATAGACAAGTCCTTTGTTCTGAGGTTCATCTTCCGAGCCCCGAGCCTCCTCCCAGCCTCGGACGGCTGCGCGGGCTGCATCTGTGCAGCCTGGCGGCGGCGGGGCTGTGCTATGACATCTTTACAGTCCTTCTTGCAGAGACATGTGTGCCAGGGATGCCGAATTGCCGGGAGAGCAGGCAAGACCGGCTTCGGGGCGCGCGGCGGCCGCTTTGTGTGCGGGGCTGCATTGTGACGCGGGCGATGAAGCCGGTAGGGCGGTGGTCGGAAGCTCCAGCCGCGGCCGCCGCCTTTGTGAGAGGACTAGAAAGCCGGATCCGGCCCGCATCCTTGCGGAGAGGCCGCGGCTAGGAAATGGAAACGCTTTTCCTACCTGGGCTCCATTTTAGGAATTCTTGCCGATTTTTCCCACTTGAATTTGGAAGTGGCTTTCCTCTTCTTTCCTTGTCCTAGCCAGCCTTTAATTTTAAACGCTGTAATTAACAATTCGCAGTGGTCAATTTCCTTTATTCTGCAAGATTCGGCTTTGAGAGGCATCCGCCCTCTTTGGTCCACAGCGTTTTGAAATATGGGGAGGAGGGGCGCGGGGGGTGTCGCCTCTTTTTCTGTAGAAAGAGGAAGCTCGTGAGCGCGGAACGGCAGCAGTAGGAGAGCGAGAAGGGTTTTTTTCAGGCTGCGGGTCGGAGGGCAGAAGTGCAGTTCCCAGCCCAGAGACAGCGGGGCGGGTGGCTCTTCCTCACGCTCGCTCTTGGCTTGCTCCCTGCAGCTTTTCCTCCGCAACCATGTCTGACAAACCCGATATGGCTGAGATCGAGAAATTCGATAAGTCGAAACTGAAGAAGACAGAGACGCAAGAGAAAAATCCACTGCCTTCCAAAGAAAGTGAGCTCCGACCCACCCCCATCTTTAGAAAGGCTGGGTGGGAGCGGCCGGTGGGAGGGCGGGAGGCTGGGAGCGGCCGCGGGAAGAATTCGGGAGGGGGGAGTGCGGGGGAAGAGCCGACAGTTGATGAATGTGGCTTGCAAAGGTTAATTAAAAATGGTTTTGCAGCCAACAAACACGGGGCTTTAGTAATTTAGTAATGGAATATTTAATATGCCATATTAATATACAAACATTTATCCATTAAAATGTATTTCTATTTAGTATATTCAATATACATATTTTATTCCATTGTGGAATACCGTGTAGAATGTTTATGATTTGAAAAGATGCTTTAAATGAAAGCCCTTTAGTCTGTACTGAATCCTTTAATCATCTCCCTCCATCTTTTTTTTTTTTTTTTTTCTGGTCACAGCGATTGAACAGGAGAAGCAAGCAGGCGAATCGTAATGAGGCGTGCGCCGCCAATATGCACTGTACATTCCACAAGCATTGCCTTCTTATTTTACTTCTTTTAGCTGTTTAACTTTGTAAGATGCAAAGAGGTTGGATCAAGTTTAAATGACTGTGCTGCCCCTTTCACATCAAAGAACTACTGACAACGAAGGCCGCGCCTGCCTTTCCCATCTGTCTATCTATCTGGCTGGCAGGGAAGGAAAGAACTTGCATGTTGGTGAAGGAAGAAGTGGGGTGGAAGAAGTGGGGTGGGACGACAGTGAAATCTAGAGTAAAACCAAGCTGGCCCAAGGTGTCCTGCAGGCTGTAATGCAGTTTAATCAGAGTGCCATTTTTTTTTTTGTTCAAATGATTTTAATTATTGGAATGCACAATTTTTTTAATATGCAAATAAAAAGTTTAAAAACTTAGCTGGTGTGTCTGTTTGGTTTCTGGAAGGATCGCGGATGAAACCTTTGCAAAGAGGCCTACCTCTTGGTCCATTGGGGAGGGACAAGCATCTGGTGACTGGATAAATTCCCTTATGGCATAGAAATGGGTTTCACCCAGGTATGCAAAATACCTTGTCTATACTAGGAGATCATTTTCTCAGGCTGATTGAATTCCTAGTATGAATTGTGTGAGAGCTTTAATAAAAATATCTTTGCAGTTCTTACGGGTTTTGATAAGCTGACATTGCACGTGCTCAAGAAAATGAAGGTGATAATTTACAGCACAGTATCTTATTTCAGGGTATCAAATTGAACTTGGTTATTTAACCAAGTGCTAGCATTAACATAGATGAGTAAAAATTACATTTTTAGCAGCTGCGTTAAGAAGGAATTTAGGACTTGAGCTTACTCATTTTCTAATGGCCGGTTTCTAATCAGAGTTCAATATTTACAATTGCTTTAATGAATACAGTTAAGATTAGTGAACATGATTTTAAATTTATTGGGTCCTCTTCATTTGAATAATCTTTGGATTTAAAAGATACTTATTCGATCTTTTGGGTTTAAAGGACACTAGCAGGACACAGGTGAGATTTGTACTAAGTTTAAATCCAGCGGGAATTAATTGACTCACATTTAGGTCTTTGAGTCCTTGATAACTTCTCAATCATCGGAAGTAGTTATTTTCACTGATGGGTAAAAGCAAAGTCCTTGGTGCGGGAAGACGGAAACAACGTCAATTTTTTAAGAGTTAAAAAAAGATTTGCCATTCTATAAGGTCCTTAATGGATTCCTCGGTTCTGTAGGGAAGGGTGGAGACTTTTTTTTTTAAATAAGCACCAGTTTTATTAAGCCGAAACAACAGCATTTAAGAAGGCTCTTAGTTCACTGAATGTTCTGCAAAGCTAAATTTTACAACGCAAATGTCCAAGAAGTTAAACATTTTTCTCTCAAAACCGATTTATGAAAATACCCTTTTTGAAGCGGAGGGGTAGGGAAAATTGTTGATCACTATTAAATTGGTTGCTTTCATTTCCTTTGCTCAACGCTTATTTTGAGAAATGCACAGGAAACCATTTACCTGTGGTTTAGACAATCAAGTAGACCATCAGGCTAGAAGCCTTGCTCTGCGTTGCAAGGGAAGGGGTGTGTACAGGCTGCTGCAGAGGCTGCTACAAAACCTGAAGCGCCACAGCCCGCTTAGCTCCGTGAAGAGAGGAGTAAGCACAAAGGTTCTGGAGCCATCTCAAGATGGAGACGGGCCTGGAGCCCTGTAGTTTTCTTGCCTATAGGGAAGGGTGTGGGCACAGTGCAAATGCCCAAGGCACAAAGAGAAACCATTCCCACGTGGGCTTTTGCTGTGTGCCTTTTTCAAACAATGCAAAGACGAAAGAAGATTTTAAGAAATTAACACAGCTCCAGTGTTCCTCAGTTGAAGAAGGAACATTTAGGAAAAGGGATAATTCATGGACTAAAAGACCTTTCTCCCCTAGAGGGACGAAGCTAAAACATAGCACAAAAAAAAAAAAGTAAAATGGTAATGATTGAATTCAGGCTGCTTGACGTGTGGAATGGGGAAATTCAGAAGCTTCTGCCCATATCACACTCTGTACACTTAACTGCTGCACACGGGGATGGGAGAGAATTTATTTTTTTAATTTTGATGGGGGATTCTTTGTTTTTCCCAAGAGAGATTCTTCCCAGAAGGGCTGGGGGTATTTATGAGTCAGTGTGGGGATATATGTTCCTGCTATGTAGGACTTGGGAGTCGACAGTATTTTTCACAGATACAAAGAGGACATTAGGTTTACCCTTAGAATGAGAGAACGTTGGGATTGAAGGAGACCCTATGACTGTTTCTCTTCCCCCCAGGACAAAACAGGCCAAGGTAGCTTAAGTAAGCCCCGAAGGTCACACAGTTTAGTCTGGGATTTCTGCAAATTTTGAATTGACCAAGACAAATAAAGCAAAAATAAAGGAAATAAAAAGAGACTCACTAAAGGACCTTTGAGATTGAGCTGGCTTCATTTTGAAATCTCGCAAATTTGTCAACCATCACAGCCACATTTGCAGCCTTCCAGTGGTTGGAATTTTAAAGCTATTTTATTCTTTCAGGAGAACAACACAGCTTTTGGGCTGTGTATGCAAAGATTGAGTGTGTATGGGGGGGAGGTGGGGTTCAAAATCTTCACAAACTTTGAGTCTCTCGGCTGTGTAAGAGACCCATTATAGTCAGAATCAGGTATTGTCTCCTTTAAATGCACAAGGAAGGTCTGTTTATTTTCCCCCAAAGAAGCATCTAATTCCTCAAGAGACAAAAAGAAAATATTTTTGCATTTTTTTTTTCTAAACATATGGGGTCAATTTTGTGCTAACGAGAAAGAACAGAGCGTTTTGGAGACAATATTACAGACAAAGAGTAAAAATAAAAAATCTTGAGTCTTTCTTTGTTCAAGAATGGAAACTTCAAACGTTGTTTAAAAACGTTGAAAGCACTCAATGCTTCATTTACCCTAGTAGCCTTCACTAGCCTAGCAAGAAAATAAGAAAAAACCACCCTCCGCACTCCACACTCCCCAAATCCTTTCTTTTCGATTACACTTTCAAGAGTGGCTTACACTGCAATCTAAGAGAATCAAACACACCAATTTGGGACTCAACTAGGTTTTCTCTGCATGTAATGAGAAGGGGTGAAATTACAAATGTAAGGCAGAGATATACAACAAAGCAAGCTAGGAAGAAAATATGTTTCTAAGACCTGTATTTACCTAGTTTATATTTTCCTTGGACACTTGCATAGCATTTTATTTCTGTAATCACATTGTCGTGCTAATACCATCTTTGCCCCTGGCTTCTGAGACTTTTGTAGGCAGGGCTGGTGCATGCCACATTCACTGTGTGCATACACCACGCACTCTTCCTTCTGTGCCTCAAAGCACACTTCTCCCCTTACTTGATGGAGACTTCATTTTTTTTTATTTTTATTTTTTTTGAGATGGGGTCTCTCTCTGTCACAGGCAGGAGGGCAGTGGCGCAATCTCGGCTCACTGCAACCTCCGCCTCCCAGGCTCAAGGGATCCTCCCACCTCAGCCTTCCGAGTAGCTGGGACCACAGGCATGCGCCACCATGCCTGGCTAATTTTTTTTTTTTTATTTTTTATTTCGCCATGTTGCCCAGGCTCGTCTCAAACTCCCGAGCTCAAGCAATCCAACTGCCTCAGCCTCCCAAAGAGCTGGGGTTACAGGTGTGAGCGACCACGCCCAGTCGAGACTTCATTTAACATGCTGGTTTGGGGGTCCCTTTGAACATGTGAATGTCATGTTAGACATCACAATTTTAAATATGTTTTTAACAAATATATTTAAAGAGCTTTGAACAGCAATTTGCCTGACTTTGGTTGTGCTGAGTTTTTTGTTTTTGTTTTTGTTTTTTGAGATGGAGTCTCACTCTGTCGCCAGGCTGGAGTGCAGTGGCACAATCTCGGCTCACTGCAACCTCCACCTCCTGGGTTCAAGCAATTCTCCTGCCTCAGCCTCCCAAGTAGCTGGGACTACAGACGCATGCTGCCATGCTGGGCTAATTTTTTTTTTTTTTCTGTATTTTAACAGAGACGGGGGTTTCACCATGTTGCCTAGGCTGGTCTCGAACTCCTGAGCTCAGGCAATCCGCCCGCCTCGGCCTCCCAAAGTGCTAGGATTACAGGCTTGAGCCAACGCGCCTGGCCGGCTGTGCTGATTTGAATCAATACTTATAGCCAACTCCATATTATGAAGCCAGAGCACTGGATCATTAGTTCACTCCACCAGTTCATGCCAGGTAATTCATTTGCCACAGAGACACGGTTGTAAATAAGATGTAGTCCCTGCCCTCCTGTGCCCTCCATTAGTTAAATGCATTTTTCATCTGACTCCAAGTGGAAAATACTAAGAAATTATTCTTTTCCATTTTTAGGGTACATGATGAGTCTAAGGGCTTTGGATTTCTAAATGAGGTTTAATACCTATTCTTTGCTTTACAGTGGCCATTTTTCCAAATGTATCTAGAATGATTAATTCAAATCCCTCCAAAAGTTCAATGGTGAGTGAATTTTGAAGGAAACTGATTCTTCACCTTGCAATCAAATATTCTATTAGCATAGAAAGATTGGGCATGATAACTCTTGCCTGTTATTTTTTGAGAATCCTTGCTGAGGAATGCCCAAGGTCTAAAAATGGACTGAATGAATAGCGTTTTGTTGTTGTTGTTGTTTTTCTGGGCAGGGTCTTGCTCTATTGCCCAGGCTGGAGTGCAGTGGCCCTATTATAGCTGCACTATAGCCTCAAACTCCTGGGCTCAAGTGATCCTCCCACCTCAGCCTCCTGAGTAGCTAGGACTACAGGCATGTGCCACCAGCCCTGGCTAATTTAAAAAAAATTTTTTTTTTTCTTTTTGTAGAGACAGAGTTTTGTTATGTTGTTCAGGCTGGTCTCAAGCTCATGGCCTCAAGTGATCCCCCTGCCTCCACCTCCCAAAGTGCTGGGATTACAGGTGTGAGCCACCACACCCAACCTGGATAGATAGCATTTTAAAATCTATCTTTTGCTAGGATTTTGTGGCTTAGATGTTGAATCTCCAGAGAAACACTTCTTACTGCTAAATCCTTCCCCTTCCTCTGTTTGCCTTCTCTTTCCAATTCAACTGTATGATTACTGGGGGCTGAAATGGTTGCTCAAATTTTGAAATCCCTCAGAGAACCAAGCAACATGATGACCACGTGTATCCATAAGCACAGCACCTGGCTGGCTGAGGGCTGGTCACATTTGTTTAGTAGGATTCCACAGTTTGGAACTTCAATGGAGGGGGACAATAATCTATTCAAAGCAGTTGGAGCTATTCCTGTCACGTTATTGTCAAACCACAGGAAATTATGCCTTTCCTCATTACCACATTGAGCGCTGTAAGTGGCTGATACCTTTGACCACACAGAGACTTTGTGATAGCATTTTCTTAATCTAGAAACAAAAATATTTCAAAAGATTAAAAAATATATATGGAATGCCACATGGTTGTTTCTACTTAAAATGACTTGCTTACTTGGAGGGTAGAGTCATTCTTTTTTTTTTTGAGGCAGGGTCTCACTCTGTCACCCAGGCTGTAGTGTAAGTGCAGTGGCACGATCATGGCTCATTGCAGCCTCGACCTCCCAGACTCAAGCAATCCTCCCACCTCAGCCTCCTGAGTAGCTGGGACCACAGGTGTGTACCACCATGCCTGGCTAATTAGAAAGAGTCATTCTTTACTCAACAAACGTTTACTGAGCACCTAGTGTCTGCCTGGCTCTTTCCAAGTTGCTGGAATAGGAAGTTGAATAAGGCCCGGGCCTACTCTTGGTCTATGGGAGAGGAAAACCTGTGCGAATGAACAGCCGTATCCGGCCTGAGCCAGATATCCATTCATTTATCCAACTACGATTCACCCAGCTTCTGTTTTTGCCAGGTAAGACACTGAGCCAGGAGATAGCCTGGAACCAGATTGTGAAGGGCCCCTGAGCCAGGCTAAGGAGTTTGAAAATTACCCTTAGGTAATTGGGAGATATTAGAAGTAAAATCATTTCATCCACATGAGGCAGTCTGTAGACCCTTCTTGTTTAGAAATGTAGCTATAGGGAAGGAGGGCGAAGAAGAGACTGTCCATACTTGTCACTGAAAAAGCATATTGACATCATCAGTGTTGCAGCAACGTCATACAAGAAGGTGCTAAATCTTACTTTTATTGGTATTTCTTGGTCCACATTTCGAAAAGATGGGCTTGTAACACCTCTATATTATGAACACTTCATGGTCATTTGGTATCAACTTTTATACTGGAGCGGAAAGAAGTTTAATCAATTTGAAATGGTTAAAATTACATTTTTGTGTGGAGATCTCTGAGGTTTGCAGTGCCTTGTACTAGGGTTTGTACATTAAAAGCTGGTCTTCAATCATGTATTATGTTCCTGGGGCAGCTGTAACCAATCCCTACAAACTTGGGGGCTGAAAACAACAGAAATATATGCTCTCATGTTTTGGAAGCCAGCAGCCCGATATCAAGGTGTCGGCAGAGCCGGATTCTCTCCAAAGGCTCAAGGAGAGAATCCTTCCTTGCATCTTTCAGCTTCCAGTGGCTCCAGGTATTCCTTGGTTTGTGACTGCGTCACTTCAATGTCCACTTCCATTTTCACGTCGCCTTCTCTGCGTCTGTGTCTTCTCCTCGTCTTTCTCTTATAGGGGCACTTCTCATTGGATTTAGGGCCCACCTGGGTCATCCAGGATGATCTCATCTCAAGATCCTTAATTACATCTGCAAAAAAAACTCTTTCCCAAGTAAGTTAGCATTCACAGGTTCCAGGGATTTGATATGGACAGATCTTTGGTGGGGGGAGGGCTGCTATTTAACCCACTATAAATCGTCATTAGTGGGTTGTCTAGTAGAGGCACTGTAGTGCGATGGTTGAAATGATCAGTCGGTCAGCACTGTGGGCAGGGACATTTTACCGAATGAGTGGGTCTGTGGAAGGAGAGAGGATAACTGAAGATTTTCGACATTAATCAGAACATTATCCAGTGATTTAAGGACCAATATGGAAAAACTTATAGGACCCATAAGTGGGTGAAGAGAAAGGGGTATGGAAGGAAGGAAAATGAAAGGTTTGTAATTGGTTATTTGTTTCCTGTGATTACAGGGATGAATAACACAGGTGGTCATGGCAGAAAACAGTTGTGCTTCCTCAAGAGCAGTGAAAAATACCATGTGGGAAAAGAAGTGCATATACTACCCTAAGTAATTAGAGAGGTCAGTCACAAAATTTAAAAGAAAAGAAAGTAAAAAAGAATATAATCTGAATGGGTTTTTTTTGAAGAAAGGATAGTAATTATATAACCCTGAATTTGTCATTTCAAATATCATTGATAACTTGAGCTAGGAAGGTGAGAGCACCGTGAGTTCATATATGCAAATGTAAATTCTCAAAGCCATACGTGCATGCCTAAGGCATTCCTCTAAGGTTCCACTGACTTTCTCTGTATAAGCTCCGTGTTATAACAGGTGTATAAATATACATGCAACATGCATCGAGAACAAACATATTGGCATCTAATGTTTGGAACCTTCCGCCTATCAGGGCTTCTTTTCTGAAATAAGTCATGAAGTTTCCCAACAGGAGAGATGGATACCAAAAATAAAATCCATTTAAGTCCTCAACCCATTCAAATAATAAATCCTTCAGATTAGAAAGAGGTGAGGTCAATTGAATCTAACATAGACATTAAGAACTATCTGCCCCAAAGAAGGCTACTCCACACTTTTGACCATATTCCTTTGAAACAGGGAGGATTCATGTTCTCTCTCCTCTCCTGGAAGCTGACAGATACCCATGTATGATGTTGACATTTATGTATGTCTAGAATGCCTAAGGCATTTGGCTTGGCCAAGGCCGGTTGTGACTTGGCCCCCTGCCACCATTCTTTGTACCACAGGTGTTTCCAAGTAGGATCTCATTCGAGTTGGGAGGGTGAGTTAGGGCTTTAGACCACAGGAGCAGCTGAGGGAAAACTGTAAGGGGCCAGGCTTAGCCAAGAAAAGAAGGCTGAGAAAGATCCAAACCAGACAGCTGGCTACCATTCTAACCTCTATCCCCACCCCAGCGCTACCACACTTCAGGCCACACCCTACCCAGAGTGTGGTTTTCAAACCACAGGCTGTGTCGTAGGAAATCAATTTATTGATTCTTGCCAGCATTGAAAACAAAAATTAAAAAAAAAAAAAGACAAAATAAATCACTAAAAAGAAATCAAGCAAGAATTTTCAGAACTCCCCAGCATGGTAAGGGTAACTATTGTTTATCAAACTTCTGTTTGAGTTATTTATGAGGGGGAGAGATGACTGATCTGTGATGTACAATGTTTCTTTCAGTGTGAGTCAGACTCACACTTGTCAAGACTTCCATCCCCCAGCCTCCTGCCTGCTTATGGCCTCAATTCCTTTCTTTTCTCTGTCTAGCTTCGACTCCTAATCACTCACTTCAGATTGATTTTAAACCCTTTCCTCCCCATGTCCAGCTGAAGTCTTCCTTCATGCCCCAGTCCTGAATCCACTCCAAGAACCTGTTTGCCATTTTTTCACCCAGGCTCCCAAGTACTAACAGATAAAATATACACTTTGCCATGCTGTCACCTCAAAATTTGTCACTTGTTCCTGGTCAACTTACTATTAGCTGTGCCACCTTCAGAAACTTCGTAACTTCTATGAGCTTCACTCTTCTCACCTGCCTAATGTGGAAGGGGATGGCCATGACACATGGGGTTGCTGTGAGAGTTGAAGGAAATATGTACATTGTAGGTGCTCAGTATATGGTCTCCTTTATTATTACAACAGCCTCTTAGTTCACAAATCAATGCACTATTATTACATGAAATACTTCTTGACCTCTTTGTAGCCTTGTGTGTGTGTGTGTGTGTATGTGTGTGTGTGTGTGTGTGTGTGTGTGTGACAGGGTCTCACTCTGTCACTCAGGCTGGAGTGCAGTGGTGCAATCTTGGTTCATTGCAGCCTCTCCAACTCCCAGGCTCAGATGATCCTCCTGCCTCAGCCTCCCAAGTAGCTGGGACTACAGGTACATGCCACCATACCCCAGCTAATTTTTTCTCTGGGTAGCTGTGATGGTTAATACTGAGTGTCAACTTGATTGGATTGAAGGATGCAAAGTATTGATCCTGGGTGTGTCTGTGAGGGTGTTGCCAAAAAAGATTAACATTTGAGTCAGTGGGCTGGGAAAGGCAGACCCACCCTTAATCTGGGTGGGCACCTTTAATCAGCTGCCAGCATGGCTAGAATATAAAGCAGGCAGAAAAACATGAGAAGACTAGACTGGCCTAGCCTCCCAGCCTACATCTTTCTTCTGTGCTGGATGCTTCCTGCCCTCGAACATCAGACTCCAGGTTCTTCAGTTTTGGGACTTGGACTGGCTTTCCTTGCTCCTCAGCTTGCAGATGGCCTACTGTGGGACATTGTGATTATGTGAGTTAATACTTAATAAACTCAGTTCTGTCCCTCTAGAGAACCCTGACTAATAAAGTAGCTTTTGACAATGCTGACCACACTCTACTTTCTGAAACCCTCTCCTCTCTCACCATTTTTAGTCTCTGGCTTCTCTATTCCACCAACATCTCTGATTGCCTTTTCTCTCTTACCCCGTAAGTGTTGTTGCTCCCTGGTTTGAATCTTTTGCTTACCTCTTTTGGTGTCTGACTTCACTCTACAGACTAGAGGCTAGGTCTTTAGTTTCTAGATTTCTTTTGAGTTCTGAGCTTCACCTCGTCTTATCTCTGCAAACAGAAACCCCAGATAGCTGCTCATTCCTGCTCCAACTCTTGCTTCTGTTTCAGGGCCCAGTGTCTCAGCAAAGACTTAGAACATGGTGCTACTTTCTTCCTCTCCCAAGAAGTCATGTGAGTCACTGTGTTAACTTTAAAAAAAAATCGTAATTTCAAATTTACAGAAGAGTTGCAAGAATAGTTAAAAGAATTCCCTATATCCTTTACTCAGATTCACTAATTGTTAACATTTTACCACATTTACTTTCTCTCTCACCTCTTTTTTTTCTGAACCATTTTCTGAACCCTTTGAAGGTCCCTCAGCTTATATTTCCTAAGAACAAGAATATTATCTTACATAACCACAGTGCAATGATTAAATTCAGGAATTTTAACATCAATGCTGTGATATTGTTATCTAACATAAAGTCCATATTTAAATGTTGCCAGTTGCTCCATTGTCCTTTACAGCCCTTTTCTTCCTCCTCATCTGGGATCCAATCCAGGATCATGCATCACATTGAGCTGTCATGTCTCTTTAACCAGGAACAATTCCTCAGCTGCTCTTTTTCTTTCAAGACAGTCACATTTTTGAAGAATATGAACCAACTGGTTTGTAGAATTTCTATCATTTTGGGTTTGCCTGTTGTTTTTTTCATGATTAGAGTCAGATAATTCGGGGTAGGAAAACCGATAAAGGATGTTGTGTCCTTCCTGGTGCCTCACATCAGGACGCACGTGATGCCGATTTGTCCCATTCATTGATAACTTGGATCACTTGTCTAGATGGTTGCCACCAGATTTCTGCATTGTAAGGCTATCATTTTTCCCACTGTAATTAGTAAGTAACCTGGGGGAGGATAGTTGGAGGCTCAGGCTCAAGTCTCCTGTTCTTCCTCAAACTTCCACCAAGTAGTTTTGGCACTTATTGATGATTCCTGCCTGAATTGATTTTTTCTATGATGTCAGCAAAAACGGTGAATTTATGACACTATCATTTCTTTTTTTTTTTTTTTTTTGAGACGGAGTTTCACTTTGTCACCCAGGCTGGAGTGCAATGGCGTGATCTCGGCTCACTGCAACCTCCGCCCCTCAGGTTCAAGCAATTATCCTGCCTCAGCCTCCTAGGTAGCTGGGACTACAGGTGTGTGCCACCACGCCCTGCTAATTTTTGTAGTTTTATTAGAGATGGGGTTTCACCATGTTGGCCAGGCTGATCTTGAACCCCTGACCTCAGGTGATCCGCCTGCATTGGCTTCCCAAAGTGCTGGGATTATAGGCATGAACTACTGCGCCTGGCCCCTATCATTTCTTCTAATGTGACTTACCATTTTCTTATGTTCTAACCTGTATGTATAAACCAACAAAAATGCAATTTCAAAATTTATATGCTAACAATAATAAAAATAACAGTAGCTTCTATATGTTGGCCCATGGGCTTGTCCTGCCTGACTAGACACAACATTATAGAGGTGCAATGTTGCAAGGAACATTTTCAAAGACTTTGAGAATGTGGCTGATGCAAGCTTGTGCTGTCATTTCAGTCTTTAAGAGTCGGCTTAGGGCTTGTTTGCAACTGACATCCTCGTGTGTTATGGCTGTGATTTTAAAAGAGAATAGAGATACATGTATGTAAACCACATTCATGTTCAGTTCATACTAGATCTTTAACATTAATTTTGATTGACCAAAAATATTATTCAGTTCTCGTAATCTGGCAGAGAAATGTCTGTCATTAGTTCTGTGGGGCTACAACAAAGGCTTGAGGTGTCGAGGAATCAGGCAGAGGCAAATCCTTTTCAGGTTCCTGCTAGATAACAGATGTTTGCATTATAAAGGAAAACTAAACACAACTGGAATAATTGGGCGCGGCATTCAGAACTGTCACTTCTGCAAGTGCACCATAGGAAGAAGGCCTCTGCTCTTCCTCTGAGAATCAAGAGGTGGTCTCAAAATTGCGAGCTTGGCCAAGCGTGGTGGCTCACACTTGTAATCCCAGCACTTTGGGAGGCTGAGGCAGACAGATCACCTGAGGTCAGGAGTTTGAGACCAGCCTGAGCAACATGGAGAAACCCTGTCTCTACTAAAAATACAAAATTAGCCGGGCATGGTGGTGCACAACTGTAATCCCAACTACTCGGGAAGCTGAGGGAGGAGAATCGCTTGAACCTGGGAGTTGGAGGTTGCAGTGAGCCGAGGTTGCAGCATTGCACTCCAGCCTGGGCAAAAAGAGTGAAACTCCATCTAAAAAAAAAAAAAAAATTGCGAGATTGATTTTGGTCAGGTGCCTACGTTTCCGTAAGCCTTAAACAAACATCACCCATTCTACTGGTCAAACACACCTTCCTAACACCAGCGTGAGAGGAATGAAAAGGTAGAGCGCTTCAAGGGTGTCTGGCCCTCTTCCATTTTCTACCTGGAAAAAATATCTTCATCCACGTACTGCTGTTTGCTTATAACAATTGTGCCCTGTATTATCTGAGTCTCGAGGCCAGTGCTAACACAGCTGCATACCTGAACAATGACTCACCCCTAAAGTCATTTTCAAGACACCCTGACCATGAGTTTGTTATGGAAATAAAGAAAAAGTTTATGATTTCAGGGAGACTTGTCCTCCAAAGAGGCAGAGTCCTCAATATGTAATAATAATTAATAGAAATTTCTCTTGTGTTTTTTTAGGGTGGAGCAGCAGATGATCTTTTTAAAGTGTTTTTAATTGTTAAACTTTTTGGAACACATCCATTTATGTGGTTCAAATATCAAAAGAATATGAAAAATACAGTCCCATTCGACTGATTGCCCTCACTCTCTTGGGATAATGCTTTTTATTAGTTTCTTGTTTAACCTCCGATATATATGCAAAAACAAATATATAGTTGTAATGTCCCCTCCTCTTACACAGTTGGTATTATAAATCATCTTCCTAATATAATATTCTTAAACTTAACATTGTTATTACAAGAATAATGCATATTTATTTGTTTCAAATAAATCAAACAGTATAGAATGGACTGAAAGAGAAAGGGAAAGTTCCTCTTTCAACTCATTTTCCAGAGATAGCTACTGTGAACAGTTTTATGTGAATCATTCCAGATGTTTTCTAATAATAGTGTTAGTGGCAAGAGCTGCTTGTGAAAGTTTTTGGAAAATTGAGAGCCGGTTGTTAAACGAAGTCACTATTAAATGATATAAACTTACAATAAAATAAATTATATGAAAAGTAAAGGTAATAAATGCTTAAAATGCATCACCGCCTAATTATTTTACACATTTTACTATTACTATGCTCTTAGGGTTACTTACATCTACTATATCTGTATGGTGGAAATACTATAAAATGCTGGCTGCAGGCATCTCTTCCCAACTCCTCTTGACGACTTTACACCTCTACTGATGCTATGGTTTAAATGTTTGTCCCCTCTAAAACTCATGTTGAAACTTAATCCCCAATGTGGCGGAATTGAGAGGAGGGGCCATTAAGAATTGATTGAATCATAGGGCCCTACCCTCAAGAACGGACTAATTCATTCACAGATTAATGAATTAATGGGTTGTGATGTGAGGGGACTGGTGGCTTTATAAGAAGAGGAAGAGAGACCTCAGCTAGCATGCTCAGCCCCCTTGCCATGTGATGCCCTGTACCGCCTCAGGACTCTGCAGAGAGTCCCCACTGACAAGAAGGCCCTCACCCCAGATGTGGCCCTTCAACCTGGGACCAGCCTCCATAACTGTAAGAAATAAATTCTGTCCGGGCATGGTGGCTCATGCCTGTAATCCCAGTGCTTTGGGAGGAAAAGGTGGGAGGATTACTGGAGGCTAGGAGTTGGAGACCAGCCTAAGCAACACAGCAAGATCCCGTTTCTAAAAAAAAAAAAAAAAAAAAAAAAAATTTTAATTAGCTGGGCATGATGGCATGCACCAGTGGTCCTAGCTACTCAGGAGGCTGAGCCCAGTAGTTTGAGGGTGCAGTGAGCTATCATGCACCACTGCATTCCAGCCTGAGTGACAGAGAGAGACCCTGTATCTAAGGAATAATAATAGCAAATAAATAGAAAAAAATCATTTTCTCTATAAATTATCCAGTTTCAAGTATTCTGTCATAAGCCACAGAAAATGGGCTAAGACAATTGACATAGTATATAAAATATAACCCCCCAAAATGACTCAAAAATAAGAAACGTAAAGGTGCAACTAAAATGCCAATACAATACTTTTAAATTTAAAGAAAATTAGCATTACAGTAAATGGCATTGCTTAGTCAGGAAAAAACGTGGCTAACTCTCATGGATGTACAAATGCCCTTTTCCTTTTTTTATTCAAATACCCAAGTAGACAAGACCTGTCTTCCCTCATCCTGGAAAGCCCCCTCTTTGATTTGACAAATATTCTATGTAGATGCTCTCTCCTCTAGGAGGGAGAGATTAATCTCCCCAACATTCACACTTGAAGGCGGGCTAGATTTAGTAACTTACTGACAAAAATCCTTGTATGGAACCAGAAGGGAAAAACAGTAATATTACAGTAGAGAAATTTGGCAAACACCCCTTTAACTAACTGATGAAGACTAACATCACGAGTGATGTCATGCAGACATCATGTACCCTCCAATATGTTGTGATGAGAAGGGCACTTCACTGACTCCAAAAACCCATATCCCCAGTGTACAAGAGGAAAAGTTTCCTCAGTGCTCCTAGGGTTCATGGCTAGGTCTGAAATAAAACTGACAAAGACAGATTAACAGGAAAAAACGTACACATTTATTTAATCAAAGTTTTACGTGACACAAGAGCCTTCAGAAATGAAGAGCCAAAGACCCAGGGAAAACTTTCCATTTCATGCTTAGGTTCAACGAAGAATGGACAGCCATGCAGCAATGTGATTGGACAAAAGGGTATCATCTAATGGTAACAGACTAAGGTGGGAAACCCAGTAAGGCCTCTCTATTCCAATTCTTCTTGGTCTCTCTGTGTAGCTTTCCTTCCTCCTGAGTATGGAGCAGGACCCCTCTGGAGTGAGGGTCTTATGACCTACAGTCAGACAAGGTAGGTCAGAGAATTTCTTTATGATCAGCTCCTACACAGAAAGGCGAAGACATTTAATACTTCCAGGCTCTGTGGCTTGATCTGAAGAACAGGAGTTCTAGTTTCTATGGCTTCCTTTGGGGGAGAAAGAGGAACAGGAGAAAGAAGAGTAGGAGAAGGTCAGAGAGAGATCTTGTTTCTGAGGCCCTGTCAATCTCCTTCAGTTCAAAGTATTCGTTGTGACAAGGCACCATATTTTGCGGTATTGTGTCTGAGCTCTGACATCAGTCTAATGGAGAAAACATCAGGCAAACCCAAATTGAGGGACATTCTACAATATAGCTTACTGGTACTGCTGAAAATTGTCAAGGTCATGAAAAGACAAAAAAAAAAAAAAAAACTCACAGAGGAGAGAAGACCAAGGGGACATGACAACTAAATGCAATGTGCTATTCTATGAACAGCAAGAACAGAACAGAGAGAAGAAAGAAGTATTTAAGGAAGATATTTAACAGAAAATCTGATGAAATTGGAATAAAGTCTTGAGTTTTGTTAATAATTTCATACTTTTTTTTTTTTTTTTTGAGACAGGGTCTTACTCTGTTGCCCAGACCGTAGTGCAGTGGCACAATCTTGGCTCACCCACAACCTCCACCTCCCAGGATCAAGCGATTCTCCTGCCTCAGCCTCCCGAGTAGCTGGGACTACAGGCATGCACCACCATGCCCAGCTAATTTGTGTACTTTTAGTAGAGACAGGGTTTCACCATGTTGGCCAGGCTGGTCTTGAACTCCTGACCTGAAACGATCCACCTTCTTCGACCTCCCAAAGTGTTGGGATTACAGGCATGAGCCAATGAGCCCAGCCAACAATTTTGTACTATGGTTAATTTCTTAGTTGTGACAAGTATACCATGCCATAAGAGTTTAACAATGGAGAAATTGGATGAGGAATAAATGGGAACTCTGTTCTTAAAGTTTATTTCATAAAGCCAAACAACAAAAAGATAACATCTTTTTATTGGATATCGAGTATTCAACATAAATTTGTTTTTTATAATTCAATACTCCTCATGTACTGTTCTTGTGCAGACCAAACGTTAACGTGGTAAAGACCTGTTTTCTATTTGCAGCAGGATATGACAGGTTGTTTAGTGTATAATGCAGCTAAAATCAAGACTATAGGTTTGACAAGGGCTTCTTAATTCTGTTTGATTCCATATTCATAGTCTCAGTCCTAGCTTTGTCCAGAGAGACCTTGTACAAATGTATACTGTTTGAATCGGAGTGGGTAAATGCTCTCTGTCCTCTCCTCCCCAGCCTCCCAGAAAATAACTGAAAGCACATGTTCTCTTGAAGGAGAGCCAGCAGTGCTATCTTTTTGTATGAAGACTTGCTTGATTATAATTAAAACTTTCATTTGACTATTAAAAGTAAAGAACAGCTATAAATTAAGGTAGCAATATTAAAACCTCTGGAGGTAAGTCTAAAAAGCCTCTCTGTAATTAGAGAACTACAAAACTTAAGGAACACTAATTCTTTTCGGCGTCAAGGTCTCATTTTGCCAGGAAGCTGGTATTTTGTAAATTGCAGCTCTTCCAGGGCTGAGGACAGATTTTGATTCTTGCTTATAACTGTTACCTGAAATTTTTTGCCCTTTATGAACTGGGCTATGAATTAGAAGACTGATTTCTTATCCTGATTGAATATGTGAGGATTTGGGTGGCCTAGGTTATGTCATGACCCCTGTAGATTAGAGTTTCCAAATTTGTCTAGCTAGATGTTGGCCTATTAACCTTCTTTGGCTCTTCCAGTTCAAAAGAGTTGAAGTTTTTGTATTAATGAAAATAATACTTCCTAACACCACTTCTCCTTAAAAATAGAAGGCATTAGTTAACCTTGGGCAGTGGATTTGGTTAGTAATAGTTTGTATATTCTTCCCTGCACTTTACCTTTCCAAATGCATGTGTGTATATCTAAATATAAATGTATGTGTGTATACATATATATACATACACATCATACATGTGAACACATACACACATATATAGTCATTTCACTTTAATATGATGAAAAATAAAATAAAAATTTGTATTTGAAACCACAATAAGGACATATACCAATAGATTTCTTATTAAGTCTTACTAAGTTAAACTAGGGAATTGTGGTCTGATGGGCCTTATCCTTCACTTTAAGGAGAATTTTGCCAGGACAATCTGAAAAGTCTAAATTGGCCTTGAGTTCATTCCCTGTCTTTTTCCATTTGACAGTCTTAATATTTGTACTTTCTCTTTATAGATCTTACTCCTTAGTTTTTATCTCTTTTTTTCTCCACTGGATTAAAACAAACAATGAGCTTTAAAAAGAACACTTCTTCTGGTAGATATCTCCAGAGAGCTTATATTTACTTTAAACTGAATTCTTGCCAGACCGCCCAAGTGGATACTCCTGATTTTTCATTATCCATCAACATATTACACCATAATGGATACAATGGCATACAAATTGTGTAGCCAAGCACCAAGCAAAGCCTTGACAGTCCACTAGGACAAGACAGAATTTTGAGAACATTTTTCTGTTTAGTTCTAGAAAAATGGTCCACATCTTTCTCTCTTTCTCTCCCTCCCTCTTTCTTTCCTTTCTCTTCTTTTTGATGTTTGTAAAAGGCAATATTACACCTATAGTAATTTAACACCTAAGAATTTGGACTCTGAGAAATGGGACTGACACTTGCCATGTTTCCCATTGGCTAAGGAGATACCTTTTCTAAGAATATGCAAACACTGGTAATCCAATCCTTTACGTCTTTTAAAGCTACGCTTGTTTGTTTTATAACATAATGCCAGCAGGACGTTAAGGTCAGCTATATCAGAGATTAAACTGTATATTTGCACTCAAAGCAATAGATGAGGAAGTGGAAAAACCAGACGTATGAGTTTGTCCATGATTATCTTAAGTTGGCAGTGATCTGAATATGGCTGGGTCACTTGATTATCTTGGTTGATTGCCACCAATCATATTTAAGGATTCTGCCATCACATGGCCATTTTTCATAATACTGACTTGTGTATGTTAAAGAGTATAAAGGAGCCAGGCCTGATAGTGCATGCCTGTAGTCTCAGTTGCTTGGGAGGCTGAGGTAGGAGAATTGCTTGAGTCCAGGAGATTGAGACCAGCCTAGGCAACATAGTAAGGCCCCGTCTCTAAAAAAAAATTAATTAAATTATTAAAAAATAGTCTAAAGGACTCTGGTAATTTTAATAGACTATCTGGATCTTCAGTTGTAAGAACCACAAGACATATTTCAGTTTCTTGAGTTTATTGTGCAGAATGAAATGCACATGTAGAACCAGTTCCATTAGCAAAAGTCAAATCAGTCTCCTCTTTGAAGATGTAGCATGATTTGTGGACCTGACCATTATAAGGGCATCTTTTGCTAATTTAATACATATCTATATACCTACTGCTACTTTTGTATCCATAACATTTTTTATTCCATAAAGAGAAATACCTTCCACAATGATTAAGTCATTAACTCTGATAGCATCTCATTATAAATCAGGAGTCAGCAATCTCTGGCCCAAGAGCACAAAACGGTTAGCTACCTGTTTTTCTACAACCTGAGAGCTGAGAACAGTATTTACATTTTTAAAGGACTGGAAAACAAATGAAAAGAAGAATACTATTTCTTGGCATGCAGAAATTATATGACATTCTCCTACCATTTGATCCAGCAATCCCATTATTGGGTATATGCCCAAAGGAATATAAATCATTCTATTATAAAGATACATGCACGCATATGTTCACTGCAGCACTATTCACAATATCAAAAATGTGGACTCAACCTAAATGTCCATCAATGGTAGACTGGATAAAGAAAATGTGGTACATATGCACCATGGAATACTATGCAGCCATAGAAAAGAACGAGATCATATCCTTTGTAGGGACATGGATGGAGCTGGAAGCCATTATCCTTAGCAAACTAATGCAGTAACAAAAAACCAAGTACCGTGTGTTCTCACTTATAAGTGGGAGCTAAATGATGAGAACACGTGGACACATAGAGGGGAACAACACACACTGGGGCCTATTGAAGGGTGGAGGATGGGAGGAGGGAGAGGATCTGGAAAAATCATTATTGGGTACTAGGTTAATACCTGGATGACAAAATAATCTGGATGACAAAGCCCTGAGACACAAGTTCATCTGTATAACAAACCTGCCCATGTAGCCCTGAACTTAAAAGTTAAAAAAAAAAAGCATATGAAATTCTCATTTTAGCATCCGTAAGTAAAGCTTTCTTGGCCCACAGCTGTACTCATTTATTTACAGTTTATCTACAGCTGCTTTCCTCTTAAAATGGCAGAGTTGAGTAGCTGCCTCCAAACAGAAAATATTTACTATATGGCCCACTTCAGAAAGTTTGCTGCCCCCTGGTATCAACAAAGTGGTTTTCAGAAGGAACCCTGAGGCGCAGCATGGAATGTGTAGACACGTAAAAATTATGACAATGGACTGACGTGGATTTACAAGCCTAACTTCTCACAGGATGTAATTCCTAGTGGAACACCTTACATGAGCAGAAAAAACAAAAATCTGGAGGAAAAAAAAACAAAGATGGAAAACCTGAACTTTGTGAACTTTTGGAGAGTAGAGCGTGAAGACTGAAGAAATATTGTACATATTGCCAAGATGTGCCCTTTCTCCATAGCACACTTTCCTTCTTAAAGTGGAGCTGGGCAGTCTGGAGGTAAACACTAACCCTGTGCTGATTGACTGATGTATGATGGACATATAACTGTGATTCTAGTCTGAGTAGGAAGTGATGAGAATGGCCTTTGAATGTCTAGTATCTGAAAGCAAACATACATTAGGGGTCCCGTGAGAAGGCTGAGTATCTATCCCTCCATCAATGGCCCCTTAGAAATACTACGGTCACGCTTTAAAAAAGCCTGCCTCCACCTTTGATTTTATAGATATTTTAGTCCATTTGGAAGGGGATAACTAAGATTTAAGTTTCAATACTTGTTGTGACCCCTCCATCAGGGAAGAGATTGGCAGTAGCAGAAGAGGGATGTGGCTAAGAACAACGGTCATCCTTTCTCATTTCCAGAGTGTGTGTGTGTGTCGTGTGTCTCATGTTTTATTTTGGGATATTCTCTTGGTATGGTAGTTCATGTGCATAATTTATAAATATGTAATACATTTTGGTATATATTTGTGTATTCACACTTTTTATGGATACTTCTGTTTGTGTTATCAGTTTACACGTGTCTTGACTTAATTTTCTGTTCCTGTATAACAGATTAGCACATATTCAGTGGCTTCAAAAAACACATTTGTTATTTCATTGTTTCTTCCATTAGAAGTCTGGAAATGGCTTAGCTGGATCCTTAGCTCAGGGTCACACATGGCTGAAATCAAGGTGTCAGCCTGGGCTGGATTCTTATCTGGAAGCTTGGGGTCATCTTCCAAGCTCAAGTGGTTGTTGGCAGAATTCTTTGTCTTGAAGTTGTACAACTCGTGATGACTTGCATCTTCAAGGTCAGCAGAAGAGAGTCTCTATGATTCAGAGAAGGCCTAAGCCCTCTTTTAAAGAATGTCCAACTGATTAAGTCAGGCCCACCCTGGATAATTTTCCATTTGATTCCTTAAAGCTGACTGATTTGGGACCTTAATCACATTTGCAAAACTCCTTCAATTTTGCCATAAAACCTAACATAATCAGGGAGTGACATCGATCACCTTTGTCAAATAACATAACCGAAGAATCATGGTGTAACACCACAGGGCTGAGATTATAGGCACCTGTTGAGCAAGACAAGAGTCAGAGAAATCCAGCTTTAGATCTTAGCTCTCCCACTTTCTAGCCATGTAATTGCACAAGTGACTTAACCTCTCCATGCCTCAGTACTTTCAACTGTAAACTGGAGATCATTCTAGCAACGTGCTAGCATTCTAACACCTACCAGTTTGGGCTGGCTTTGGAATTAAGATTATACTTACAAGAGGTCTAACAGTGTGACTGACAAATAGCAAGTGGTCAATAGGCATCAGATATTTCATTAGATATTCATTTTCATGCATACATATATTTTATTCATAAAACAGAAAAATAATATGAACCGGAATACATGTCACTGGGTCTCCAAGAAAGCAAGACAAAAAAGGCGAAATTAGAATGCAAACTGTCTCATTTCATATTACTTTTGTGGTAAGAACAAGCTAGTTCAATAAGTGGCACTTTAACACAAAGTGAGATACTGTAAAAGCATGTGCATTCAATAACTCTCAGTTGAATTTAAATCTGGACAGAAGTACTTGCTTCTAAATTGTTAGTGGATTCATTGACTTATTTTCCTAGGCTCAAATCATTTATTTAACCAAATTATTCCTTTCCCTTTAGTGTTACCCACAGAAGTATTTTCACATAACAAACATTAGTTTGCCCAGGCGGCCCCTCCCTTCTTCCCCACTCTAAGATAAAGTCTGTTAATATGAAACCAATAAAGTCAACGTGGAAGTACACTTGCCAAAGATCTTGATAAAGTGCTGTGTAGCAAATGGACAAATATGAATAACAAATCCAGGACCTGCAGTTTCTGTACTGAAAAGTAGTTCTGATCCACCTCCTAGTTTCAAGTTAAAAGCCTGCACTAAGCTCTTCTTCTATGAAAGGGAGGAGGAAAAAACAAACACAAACCCCCCAAACAAGAAATCCCTCCCCAAAACACTGCTCTAAATTTGCTCATGTCCTTGGAAGTAAAAAGAAACAATTTCCCCTGATTACAGATTTCCTGATACGCAGAGAATGCACAACCCCAAGTTGCCTCGTGCTCACAACAATGGGGCAGACAGAAATGCACACAGAGCAGGCTTTTGTCCTCTCGGTTATTGTCATCTTATTCCCCAGAATGGCTTCTTGCCTGGTGATGGGCAGAGGGCCTGATTGCTGAGAAACTCTCTTCAGAGGGACTGGTGTGTGGCTGTGGGTGGTGTTTGGGGACACTGGGAAAGGAAAATTCCTGGGAGCAGGGGCTGTACAGTAGCTGCAGTAACTCAGTTGCCCTGGAATTCCTGAAAAGGCTGGGGCTTTGGGCTCTCTTCTATTTCTATCAGAGTGAATAAAAGAGCTAGTTATTCTAAAGCTTTATGGAAAAGGCAAGATAAAGAGGGGGGAGAGAGGGTGAGAGAGAGAGAACTGCATCAATATACAGCAACATTCTGAGTCTCATTGTCAAGTATTGGCAAACTATCCTAAGTGACATATCCAGATGTGGCTCAATTTCTCATAGAAATTTTTTTAGAGGGCAGTAGGAACCAAGAGACTATGGGGTAGGTAGATCATGTCTTGCCTTGCCTGAGGATCCCTGTATATAATCTATTTTTATCATTAAATAATAATAGAAAATAGAATCGTAGAGGCAACCATCCAGAAGTTTCCAAACATCCAAGTGTTTGACATTATGGAAATATATAGATACAGACTTTCTGGGCTTTACATGGGCTTGTTATCTATCCTTATTTTTATTTATTTGTTTATTTATAGGTATTTACATGGAGAGGGTGGGATAGGTGCATCATGAACCAACTTAATTCATTCAACACTCATTTATGAAGCATCTATTGTGTGTAGGATACTGTGAATGTCACACAAACGAAACACAGGAGCCCTCTGGCTTTATTTGCAATCCTATCCCAGAGACTATAAAGCTTGGAAGAAGCATCATTCAAAGCCATATTGACATCCATCCACATCACTCAGCTTCTGGAAAAGTGGGTCAAAAATATTCAATGAGTTACCCAATTCTCGAAGAGAACAAGAGTGAGATAGAATTCGTTGGTAATTCAATAGATTTCGTTAACTCAATTTCCAGTTTACCAACAGCCAAACCAAAGGCTTCTAAAAGGAGTAAGTCAGCTCTCTGACCTACTCTGATCATTTCTGTGTCTTTTGGAGGAAAAAACAACCAGCCCAACTGCTCTTAGTAAGGAAAACTGCAACCCGCCAGTCAGATGCAGATTTCACCTCTGAACCGAGTGTTTGGTTTCACCTACACACTTCCTGCCGGGTGCTTTGCTCATTCAACGTTCAACAGCTGTATCTTTCCCAATTCGATTCATCTCACTTTCTTTTTGGTCATCAGTGGCAAAACAGTATAAAATACCTTTATTACTATCTGACGCTCAGCGTTATACCCAAGATTTATCTTTTTAAAAGCCAAGAGACCATTGCATTTATCAAAAGGAGAGTAGTGGGTGCCACTGGGGGCTCATATTGCCAGTGGATATTGTGAATTACATTAAGAAGATCTGAGAACAAATGTCTTCTGATATCACCTTCTCATATTTGATTACCACTATTTCATGAGTGCCTTTTATTTTCCTTCTAAACATTTGTGGCATTGTTTTTTTTTTTAAGCAACAGCCAACCTAATATATATTATTTGTGCCACGTGTGGTATTATTGCTAAGACACTCTATGCGGGTTCTGGTGCAATTTTAGTCTTATATTTCTGAGTTGTTAGAGCCATTTAAGTAGCTTGCCTATGGGGGAATCCTTAAAACAGCTCTGAATACCTTAGAGAGGTACATTTTAAGTAAGGCTGCATCATCATTTTGGCTATGAGAGTTCCTGGGATGTGGGGGAAAGGATGTTAAATCAGAACCCTCACATTATTTAAATGTTTTCATGAAGGATATAATCAAGTGTGCCTCTTGATTCTATTTGAAGATGTGCCAAGCGGCAGGGGCCCTCTTGACAAAAGCGGCCAGGAAGTGACTTTTTACTCCCCAGCGACAGCATTTTCAAATTGCTCTTTTCTGCTCAATAAAGGCTAAAAAGGAAGTGAAACCTTTTGTCATATTCTGCACCACTGATTTTTTCCAGACGAGCAGAAATGCCTGCCTGTATATCCTTCTAAGGACTGGCTAAGAAAGGGTGGAAAATAACAGGCAAGAAATGTATCTGTTTGAGTGTCTGTTCTTTGGTTTGGCTATGAAGTAAAACCCAAAAACGACATTGAATTTGGCATTGGAAACTGCAGTGCCATTGTTGCTTTGGGACTGGCTTAACAAGCCCACAATATTCTAGAAGCATGTGCCCGTCCCAGGAGCCGACTCAGCCATTTCTCAAACATGAAGAGGACTGGGCCGTGCAGTCCTGTTTCCTCTTCCTGATCTTTGTAGTAGTTACAAGCTGAACAGAAACATGCAAATAAAAATCGAGAACCCTAAAGAGTAAGAAAATCATTTCCAGAAAGACTGATAATAAATTTCAAGCCATCAGCTCAAATATCACTGATTTAAGTGCATTTGTTCCAGCTCTTTTATAGAATGTGAGGTTAAATACACAAACTTGATATTAGAGTTGTCCCTGTACTAATTCCCGCATGCGATTCTTTTAAAAAGAAAAATAAAATAGAATGATTTTTAAAAATCTCATCTAGAATGAGAAAACATAAAGTGCTTTTGGCTTTCCTTTCCCTGATTTTGAAGGGCTTTTTTTTCCGCTTTTCCTTTACTTCCCTACCTTAAAGATGTTTAAATTTAAGCCAGGTGTGAGCTCTGAGAGAGATCGAAGCTGCATTTTATTTACCTTTGTAGCTCAGACAACCAGAAATGGTAGCGTTAGTATTTGTGGAATGAGTCTTCACCTGACTTATCCTGAAGGGATGCATCTTCTACTTAGGATAATGTTAGATTTGAATTTTACAAGATCCTGAGTCAGTAGTCTGTCATCCAGGCTGCAGTGCAGTGGCACAATCATGGCTCACTGCAGCCTGGACCTCCCAGGCTCAAGTGATCCTCCTACCTCAGCCTCCCAAGTAGCTGGGACTATACGTGTGCACCACCATGCTCGGCTAATTTTTACATTTTTTGTAGAGAACAGGTCTCACTACGTTGCTCAGACTGATCTGGAACCCCTGGCTTCAAGTGACCCTCTCACCTCAGCCTCCCAAAGCGCTGGGATTACAGGTATGAGCCACTGCACCCCACCATTATCATTATTTTAGAGTGTACTCCTACATATAGATATAAAGTTAAGTGTAAAACAGCCTCACGCAGGTCCTTCAGGAGGTATCCAGAAGAAGGCATTGTTATCATAGGAGATGACAGCTCCATGCCTGTTACTTCCCCTGAGGACCTTCCAGTGGGACAAGCTGTGGAGGTGGAAGACAGTGAGATTGACAATCCTGAGCCTGTGTAGGCCTAGGCTAATGTCTGTGTTTGTGTAAAAACACACACAAAAATAAAATAAAAAGTTTGAAAATAGAAAAAAGTTTACAGAATAAGGATATAAAGAAAGAAAACATTTCTGTACAGCTGTACAATGTATATTTTAAGCTGTTATTACAAAAGAGTCAAAAAGCTAAAAAAATTCGAAGGTGTATAAAGTAAAAACGTTACAGTAAGCTAAGGTTAATTTATTATTGAAGAAAGAAAAATATTTTAAACATAAATTTAATGTAGCCTAAGTGTACAGTGTTTATAAAGTCTACTGTAGTATACAGTCATGCCCTGTGCCTTCACATTCACTCACCACTCACTGACTCACCCAGAGCAACTTCCAGTTTTGCAAGCTCCATTTGTGGTAAGTGCCCTATACAGGTGAACCATTTTTTATCTTTTATACCATATATTTACTATACTTTTTCTATGTTTAGATATACAAATACTCACCATTGTATTACAGTTGCCTACAGTATTCAGTACAGGAACATGCTATACAGGTTTGTAGACTAGGAGCAATAGGTTATACCATCTAGACTAGGTGTGCAGGAGGCTACACCAACTAGGTGTGTGTAAGTACCTCTATGATCGAACAATGATGAAATCACCAAACGATGCATTGCTCAGAACATAGCCCCATTGTTAAGTGATGTGTGACTATAATTACACTACTGGGATTACATTTGGGAGAAGTAAGGTCTTCCTTTCTCTTTTTATGAGTTGGAAGATGTATTGAGAAAATCTGCCTTCAGCTGCTATAGTGGTGAGGTGGTGGTAGTTCTCTCTTGCTTCCTGTTAATCATTTACATTTATATGGCCTATTACAACAAAACATTTCAAAGAACCTCATAAACGTGAGGATTGATTCAATTAAACTGTACTTCTGGTCTCTGGGATGAATATGACAATGTTTTGTTCATCTCAGAACTGGAAAATTAAGGCCCAGAAGTTGTAAAGATATTTCTCATTCCAAATTCTGCATATATATATATTATATGAATAAATAATTCAAGAGAGTGAGGAAAAATCATATTTTTTTCTCCTTTGAGCTGGAAACAAAAACCCTTTGTACAGATTTTGATGATTCTTACTTCCTCCAAACCTTAGCTTTATTCATATGTTCTGCAAACTAAACCACCATTATGAAACCAACTGAAACTGTGATCACAGGAGGCCATAAATAAATTAGCTAAAGAATTAAAATCCTCCTGGTCAGGGATTAAGCCTTTTATGATCTTTCTCCTCTATGAAAATACCTTAATCTCTCCTCCTCTGAATTTTCCATTTATATTGCTTATATCAACGGTTCTTAATTTTAAAAACGTGACCCCTCTTCTTGCACTCTGAATTTTTATGTCCTCGCAAAAGATATCATAATTCTTTTTTAGAAATTACAACTGTATCTAATAGGAAAGCTAAGGAATGGCATTCATGTGATTTTTTTTTCTTTTCTTTTGAGGCAGAGTCTTGCTCTGTTGCCCAGGCTGGAATACAGTGTTGCGATCTCAGCTCACTGCAATCTCCGTCCCCCGAGTTCAAGCGGTTCTCCTGCCTCAGCCTCCTGAGCAGCTGGGATTATAGGCACCTGCCACCACGCCCAGCTGATTTTTGTATTTTTATTAGAGACAGGGTTTCACCATGATGGACAGGATGGCCTCGAACTCTTGATCTTAAGTGATCCGCCCGCCTCGGCCGCCCAAAGTGCTGGGATTACAGGCGTGAGCCATTGTGCCTGGCCGGGAAAAATACATTTTTGATATCGAATATCTCAGTCCCTTTTATAACTCTGTAAGCCCCGGGGAGTCTGAAATGCACAAGCAAAAATCTCTGGCTGATTTCAGTCAGCCATTTGGGGGCTTATTTGCTTTGTTTTCTAATTGCTTCTCAACATTTAGTTTGAGAGGATAGAAATTAGGCCATTTTTTTCATCTGTTATAGGACTGGCCACACAGTAGTGCTTCAGAAACTAGTTGCTCATTTATTGCTTGGTCCATTCTCTTGATTTTCTTTTGCCTGGGAGGAAACACTGCACTGACCTTTCAACCAAATATTTGGGTGCTGCAATTTTTTTTTTTTTTTTTTTGAGACGGAGTCTCGCTCTATTGCCCAGGCTGGAGTGCAGTGGCGCGATCTTGGCTCACCACAACCTCTGCCTGCTGGGTTCAAGCAATTCTCCTGCCTCAGCCTCCCGAGTAGCTGGGACTACAGGTATGTGCCACTATGCCCGACTAAGTTTTTGTATTTTTAGTAGAGACGGGGTTTCACCATGCTGGCCAGGCTGGTCTTGAACTCCTGACCTTGTGATCCACCCGACTCAGCCTCCCAAAGTGCTGGGATTACAGGCTTGAGCCACCACGCCCAGCCGCAGGCTGTTGCAATAATTTTTTTTTTTTTTTTTTTTTTTTTTTTGCGACGGAGTCTCGCTCTGTCACCCAGGCTGGAGTGCAGTGGCGCGATCTCAGCTCACTGCAAACTCCGCCTCCCAAGTTCAAGCAATTCTCCTGCCTCAGCCTCCTGAGTAGCTGGGATTGCAGGCGCCCGCCACCACGCCCAGCTAATTTTTGTATTTTTAGTAGAGACAGGGTTTCACCATGTTGGTCAGGCTGGTCTTGAACCCCTGACCTCGTGATCCACCGACCTCGGCCTCCCAAAGTGCTGGGATTACAGGCATGAGCTATCACGCCCAGCTGCAATATTTTAAATATATTTTAGTATAAAGTGAAGGGCCTCTGACGTCCATCTAGTAAGAATCGGGCCACATATTCATAGACTGACAGTTTCAATCTTTGCAGACTTTGTCCTTTGAAGTTTGCTTTGCTTTCTCTTTTCACACTTTGGTAGCATCTTTCAGTTCTCTGCTGCTCCAGAGAGGAACATTATGGCCTCTTGATTGGATGGATAAAGGGTCCAGCCCTGACCCATTGGCTGCTAGAAGGGCCAGGGGCAAAAAGATGACCCCATTAACCACCTTTTCCACCTGTACTTCAGTCTTACTTGCAAATTGTTTTTTCTCATGTCTTTTCATCATAGTCTATACAATCATCTTGTCAACAAGTTATCGTAAAAATTGTTGAAAAGGATCTATTAATTCTCAGCCCAGAGGCTGTCCTTTGGATTTCTTTGTGACTATTGCTTTGGTCTTACATGTGGCTGATATCAGCTTGTTTTGAAAATCCAAACACTAGTCCACATTTTCACCTAGTAAAGTCATTGATGCCTTCTTTGTGGCCAGTTATAAGGAGCTTTTTCATCTAATTCATGATGACCCAGGAACCTTACCTCCATGACAAAAATGTTCCTGGAACTCAGCTTCCCAACGTCATCTCTACTTCAGTTCTTTAGGTTGCCAGATGTTGAAGATAAATCACTTTAACTGTGGTTGCATAGAATTGGTTGGGAATCACATGAGTTTCTTCATGTAAAAACTACCAAGACCTCTGCTTTGGGTCTAGATCCTGGTTTATGCTGCCTTCTTCAAAACTAAGGGGAGATGCTGGGACTTGCTGTTAGCTCCATTTTTTTTTTTAATTGCATGATTCTCTGACTTTGCTGAGGAGTTGTAGATCCAAGTTCAAACATACATTGGCAACTACACCCAAATGCAGCCAAGATACAAGGGTCTACATGTGATACAGGGTCTAATTAGCCATGTGACTTTGGACAGGTCATTCTCTCTGGCTTTGATTTTCTCATTTGTAAAATGATGTATTAAATTGGGGCAAAAGTAATTGCAGTTTTTGCCATTAAAAGTAATGAATTCGGTTCTTCCTAATAATTGAATTAGGTTCTTTCCAGGCCCTTTTCTGGTTCTTTCCATTTCTAAAGGTCTATGATGAATAGGCCAACCATGTCATCATGGGTTCCAGCGCAGCACCCTAGAGCCCCACACCTCATTCCTGGCAGGCACGCACATCTCCAAATAGGGCTCCTTAGTTTTTAAAGAAGGGAAAACGGATAAGGAGAACTGAAACCCACATACTTTCAGTTCTGACTTTGTGAGTTTTGAATTTAAATGCTTTCTCATATGAAACAGTGAGTGGGCAGAAGCATTCTACAAGAAGAGAGCCCTGAAGTTAGATGAGCAATGAGCAATCCCTTTCTGTTGGTGATTCTCTTTTGAAACAAAACGCATCACTGCTCAAAGCTCAACTGCCAAAAAAAAGAAAGAAAGAAAGAGGGAGAGAGAGAGAGAGAGAGAAAGAAAGAAAGAAAGAAAGAAAAGAAAGAAAGAGAGAGAAAGAAAAGCTAAGAGTAAGGAGAAAAAAGAAAAAGAGAGAGAGAACCCACCACCCTGTGCGAACAGCACAGCTGAACAAAGGGAAATAGAAGGTAGTGGCATGTGAATCCACGTGGCCCTTTGCCAACCCACTTGCCTCTCACGCTGCCACACTTGCATATATCAGGGTAATTTCTGGGATGGAGGTTTTTACTGAGCACTTGTTGGCAGAGAGATTTTCTCCCAGTCTCATGACGTTCACAAAAAGCTAGTACTGAGAGGAAAAAACTGCTGGGACTTACATGTAATAGCATCTTCCAAGCAGCTCTATAAGATGACTAACATTTCAGCTGGACACGAGACAAAACTTGGCACCAGAAATGGTGGATGATGGTGCACCACCACTGCTTCATGCAGCCCACTATCGAGGCAAGGGGGTCTGAGCACATTGCCTGCAAATAATATGTTTGCAACTTTTCAATTCATTTGAGTCCTGACTTAAAAAAAAGCGTGCCAGGCAAATGATCATCTGCATGACTTTTCAGAAGGTTTTGCCCTGCTAGCCCTTAAATGATATGTGAAAACAAATCAGGGAGTTGGGGCCATCTGAAATGTAGCTTGAGAGGGTAAGAGAAGATGGAGAGACATGCTAAGGGTTTAAATAGGAGGAACCAATGAGGAAAAGCACATGACACTATTATAGTGGAATTTTGCCTTTTTTTGGCCATTCCTGTATTTCCATAGTTGTAACCATTTGTTACAAGCTATTCCTCTGATTTTTTTTTTTTTTGCATCTTATAAAAGTGAGGAGTCTATAAAAGACAACATTTTGTAGGCCTGCAGCCTTTGCATCTAGTTTTTGGAAATAAGTTGTTACTTATCTGCCTATGAATGCCTTCTCCCAGCTTTCCTCGAATTTTTTGAGGGATGAGGAAAAATTAGTTTCCTTTTAAAATACGGAACCCCTGGAGAACATTTGTTTCTCAGAGAATGATAAACAAGGAAAGGGGATGTGATGCATACAGCAAATTTAAAAACATTATCAGGCTGGATGCAGTGGCTCATGAAGCTTGCATTTTAGTGCAAAAAAACAAATAAATATATAATGTGGCAAGTGTATTGCTAAGCATTTTAGAGAAAAGTGAAATAGGATAAAAGGATTAGAGAAGAAATGGGAGGGTGGAGGGTCCATGCTATGTTGTAGGTCATGATTGTAAATACCATTAAGTCTAGTTTCCATTCTCCCTCTGTGCAGATGAAGAAACTGAGGCACTAAAGGAAGACATGACTGCCCAGGGTCTCCCAGCTGGCTAGGCACCCACTGGGAATGAAACCCAGCTCTCCTGACCCAAGACAAGCCCTCTTTTCTCCCATCTCGACACCCGCACTTGGAAATGGGTTGCTGCAGTAGGAATTTGAAGTCTAGCATTTTTTCCCCTTGCAATCAATTGATACTGATTTTCTTATGAGTACAAAATGAATTGTCCAACACCATTCGCATATCAGCTTGTGGCAGCAGTAATAGTCACTAACATTTAGAAAGGGGTGGCATGGAATTCACCTAGAGTTGACTCCCCACTGTGTGGTCAGTTCATGAGCATCTGCCCTGTGCTCAGCACCTTTCACACTGATGTGACAAATTCAGGATGCATCTCCAACTTTAATATGTACATGAGTCACCTGGGAATCTTGTTAAAGTGCGGATTCTGATTCAAGAGGTCTAGGTGGGACCTGAGACTCTAATAAGCTCCCAGGTGATCCTGGGGTTGCCAGTTCACAGACCACATTTTGGGTATTGAAAGTCTAGGTACCTCTGCTAGTTTGCTGAATGCAACTGAGAAAGAAACCTCAGGGTTAATGCTTGCATTTTTCTGTCTTCATTTCTCCATTGTCCTACTCTCCTCCCTTGGAAGGCTCCAGCTTAGAAAAAGAAAACATTATGAAATAGCAGTGCCAAACCTGAATTACAATGTTAGGCATGTAATTATCTGGGCAAAAGCCAGATGTCTCAGACTAGGGTTTAGTACAGCTTGCCAGGGCTGGGTAAAGTTCCTAGATTGAAGACACAGTTGAGACTACATGACATATGCAAGAGAAAAGGGGTACCTGTGCCTGAAACTCTGGGAGGTGAGAAGTGGACAAGGGTTACTGCTGCATAAGTAATTGAGGAAGCTTCTCCTTCCCCACCAGACTGCAAACTGAGATGTTTGCATATTAATCTTGGCCACAGGGGTGACTCGGTCTGTGTCTGCAAATGAAAGGTTTCATCCTTGGCTGTGAAATAAAAATAGCAAATAGCATGTGGCATGCAGGGGCTTTTCCTCTATAAGGGGCTGTCACTGTCCACTGTTTAAAGCCTCTGCTTGAGCCATCTTCAAGGAAGGAGGGTTGTGAATGAGTGGGGGCAGATTGCAGAGCCAGTTCGTAGACAGCAGAGATGCTCCAGGGAAAACCTCCCTTCTCTTGCTGTTTACATTTGCACATACTTACCAGTTTGCCAGAACTTCTTGGTGTCAACAACTTTGACTGAGACTGCGCCACGTGAATGTATCTCCTGGGGACTCAGAAGATAGCTCAGGAGGTAAAGGCAAGGCCCCCGCACTGTGATCTGACTGAGCTTAGGAGAATTGGGCTCCTCAAATCTTTTTGCAAACTCAGTTTCTTCTCAGAGGAAAATGGTAACAGTGACAATAAGAAAAAAATAAAACCGTATCTCTAAAGTGGAAAAGGCTATAACAGTTCCCATTACTCTTCTGGAGGGAAAACCAGTTCCAGTGGGCCTAGGGTTCCACAGCTATGTAGGGCTTCTTTACAACTGAAGACTTTAGACCATTTGGTTTGTATTCAGTAGGACCAGGTGGAAGATGTGAGGATGGGATGGTGAATGGGAGGTAGATATCTGACTTTAGATTTCTAGGCATTTGCCAAAATATTCCTCCTCCAGTCAAGACTTGTTGCCATCGGTGAAAATGGTTAGTCACCTTATAACAGTTGTGATCTTCCTAAATGCGCTCAGCAAAGGCAAATGGAATGTTCTGGATTACCAACCAATGGCCCAGAAGGTTGTACATCACACTGGGAATTGTTGCTGGTCTCTTTTGTTCGAAGTTGAACTAGAGAGGTGGCAAGCAGAGGTGGAACACTCTCATCAGTTACTAGAAAGATTTCCCACCACCCAGATAAGCCATAAACCATCTGAGGGAAAGAAAGACTAATTCCCTCAGCCAATATCAGCTCTAGCTCGATAATAATTCCCATCTTGGAGATGGGAATAGGGAAGGCAAATGCCCTCTTCTTCAACAAGTCTCAGAGCTTACTGTAGTGTCTCAAGGATAAGGCTCCTATGACCCAAGAGCTGCTGGGCAACCTGTGTGTGTCTCAGCAGAGTCGAGGGTTTGGAGGACTGCCTGGGGCAACCCAGCTGTCACTGGCTGGCCCAGGGTTTCTGTATGAGGCCATGATCTTGGCTTGGCAAACAGCAAGGGAGATTCCAGGAAAACAAAGAAAAAAAAATCCTTTTCACTTTTAATTCAAGTGGCCCTTCTTGCTGCCACTTTGAATGGCTAAGACATTTGTACTTTTTTTTTTCTTTTTTTTTGAGACGGTGTCTCACTCTGTCGCCTAGGCTGGAGTCCAGTAGCACATTCTCGGCTCACTGCAAGCTCCGCCTCCCGGGTTCACGCCATTCTCCTGCCTCAGCCTCCCCAGCAGCTGAGACTACAGGCACCCGCCACCACGCCTGGCTAATTTTTTTGTATTTTTAGTAGAGACAGGGTTTCACCGTGTTAGCCAGGGTGGTCTCCATCTCCTGACCTCGTGATCTGCCTGCCTCAGCCTCCCAAAGTGCTGGGATTCAGGCGTGAGCCACCGCGCCCTGCCGGCAACATTTGTACTTTTTAGTGGCCCCCACTTCCAGACGTGGAGTATACAAGTGGATGCCCACTGATGGGGCCACTCTGTAGCTCTCCGGAGTGAGTCAACCCCAGGATATTGGAGGAGCAGGGAGGGGCAGAGAAAAGCTTAATTCATTTTTCTTATTGTACGACTCATCTTAAAACATTGCAATTTCTTTCAAGCAAAATAGCAAGCCTTTTTTGTTTGAATAAACATTTTACTTTGGGATAATTTTAAATTTGCAGAAAAGTTGCAAAGATAGTACAAAGAATTGCCATATACCCAGCTTCTGCCAATGGTAACGTCTTACATTTCTACCGTACATTTGTCAAAACTAAGAAACTGACACAGGTGCAATACTATTACCTAAACTCCAGACTTAATTTCAGTTTTGCCAGTTTGCTATTTAATGTGCTTTTTCTATTCCAAGAGACAATCCAGGGGACCATATTGCATTGAGTAACATGCTCTTTTCTAACAAATCTCTGCTTGAGCTAATCTAGCTGATCTTTTAACCAACCTAACTGAGCACCTGTTCTGTACAGGGCCCTGGCTAAGCCAAGTGGGAGGGATAAATAAGTCCTGACATAGTTCGCTGTCTACTTGGAGAGGCTGATGCATAAATAACACTGTAAGATGCATGTAATCAGAGTGGTTTGCAAACAGTGCCCCAAGATTGTGGAGGACAGGCATAGTTCTCTCCACCTGGGGCCTCACTGGGGCCACATTTGCTATGAGTCCAGGAGAATCAGAAGGGCGTTCCTAGATAGGGAAGTGAGCTGGAGAGGGAAATCTGGGAAGGTGATACAGAGTTCCACCCAATTTGACTTTGATAGGAAAGGGAAAGTACTGCAGGGTACTGAGCTGACTATTTAAGATGTGGACGCTTAGAACTAGGAAATGTCCTGGTTTCTAAAAACAATGAAGAGAAGTACTCTAATACTGGGAAAAATGTGTGAGCATGTTAGTTGGGGGGGCTTTTCAACTGGGGCTCATTAGGAAGAAACCCCAGCGATCTTTCTTTCATTATGTGGCAGCTAGTTGAACTATTTGATTTTACAGCAAAGAACTCACAAAAAGAGGGCCTTTGTTCCCAGGTTGAAAGCACAAGAAAATACCAAAAACTTGAATCATACCAGCATCCAGGTAGAAAATCATTCATATCATTTGCCAGTTGTTAATTTTGTTGGTGGCGATCATCTATGCTCTTCCCTCACCCTAGGGGTGCTGACCCTCATCTTAGGAGAGGCTCGACTTGTAGAGCGAGGACTCATTTCCCCCACCCAAGCCAAACAGGTGCAGGGGAATGGAGCAGTTTGACACCAGCCGCAGCTCTGTCCTAGGAGAAGATCATGATGTGACCTGGGGATAAAGACTGAAAACAAAGCTCAAAGCAGTGCTCTCTAAAAGCAGGGTGTCCCTTGATGTCTGAAGAAATGACAATGTTGACCTATAGGCTTCTAGGTAAGGTTCCAAAAATGTACCCTCAGGGTCCATCTTCCATACTCAAAGCTTAACTTCAGTTCCCCCACAAAGATTTGCTTTCTCGACGCAAAGAAGGCCAAGATGTAGGATCCATGCTCTTCTAATGTGGTCTTCTACAAAATTCTCAATGGGCCCACACTCCCCAGCAATCCCAGACTTATGAGTCCATATTCCAGCTGTTTAGCTCAAGGGCTCACAAGGCAGGTGGGTTTCACTTAAAGGCAAAAGAAGAGGACAAGAGTCGTGGGGGTAGCTCCCCACAGGTGAGGGCTGGCGGTTGAGAAGGCAGGAGAAAGTGTCAGTTTCATGGCTGACGGGAATCCAGTGTGACTTCAATAGCTGAATTGAGGCCGGGCGCGGTGGCTCGTGCCTGTAACCCCAACCCTTTGGGAGGCCGAGGCAAGAGGATCATTTGAGCCCAGGAGTTCAAAACCAGCCTGGGTAATGTAGTGAGACTTCGTCTTTACAAAAAATAATGATAATAATAATAATAACAACTTGAGTGAGCCTTCATCTTTCTGAGCCTCAGATTTTCCATCTGTAGATGAGAATCTTATCACCTGCCCTGCCTATCTTGCAAGGTTCCAGTAAGAATTCGAAAAACAAATGAATGCAGAATACATTGCCTGGTATAATAATACTCAATAAAGGGCAGCTATTGTTCATATTACTTCATGTATAATAAAAAAGTTATTTCTTATAATTGAATTCCTAGTAAATATGAGAGTCTCCCTGCAGTAAAGAAGAGAACAAACTTTATGCTACTAGAAAAAATATGTGGCTATTTGCCTATTGTGGTGGAGAGAATTATCACTCTCCAATTCAGGACAGGGTCCACGTCCTGTACGTCACATGGGAAAGGGGAATTTAGGTGGCAGATGGAATTAAGGTTGCTAAGCAGATGACTTTAAAATAGGGTGACTATCCTGAAGTTTTGGGATGGACTTAATGTAATCACAAGAGTCCTTAAAAGCAAAAAAGGAAGATGGGACTATGCAAGGGAGGACCAGCGGGATGGCAGCCTGAGAAGGACTTGGCCGGGCACTGCTGGCTTTGAAGATAGAGGGAGGGAGTCCTAAGCCAAGGAATGTAGAAACCTCTAGAAGCTGGAGAAGGTGAGGAAATGGATTCTCACCAAGAGCCTACAGACAGGAATGCAGTCCCGCCGACACCTTGCTCTTAGTCCAGTAAGATTCATGTCAGACTTCCGATCTACAAAACTGTAAGATAAAAAGCATGTGTGGGCTGGGCGCAGTGGCTCACGCCTGTAATCTCAGCACTGTGGGAGGCCAAGGTGGGCAGATCATCAGAGGTCGGGAGTTCAAGACCAGCCTGACCAACATGGTGAAACCCCATCTCTACTAAAAATGCAAAATTAGCCTGGCGTGGTGGCGCATCCCTGTAGTCCCAGCTACTTGGGAGGCTGAGGCAGGAGAATTGCTTGAACCCGGAAGTTGGAGGTTGCAGTGAGCTGAGATCACGCCACTGCACTCCAGCCTGGACAACAAGAGCGAAACTCTGTCTCAAAAAAAAACAACAAAAAGAAACGTGTGGCCATGGACACAAACAAGGGAACAATAGACACTGGGGCCTATTCGAGAGTGGAGGGTGCGGGGGAGTGAGGATTGAAAAACTACCTATGGCTACTATGCTGATTACCTGGGTGACAAAATAATCTGCACACCAAACCCCTGCAACATGTAGTTTATCTATAGGACAAACCTGCACATGTATCCCTGAACCTAAAATAAAAGTTTAAAAAATGTGTGTGTTGTTTTAAGCCACTTCGTTTGTGATCATTGGTTACAGCAGCAATAGAAAACGGACACACCTGTCAACAGAAATTCTGGAGTAATGGCACATTCTTGGATGTAGGAATGATATGTTATTAGCTGCACAGTTTTTTGGAAACTCCTTTACTCCTCTTCTCATGATGAATTAGTCACAGATGAATTAGTATTTTTCCCCCCATTTATCTGGCATGGATTGTAGTTGCTGAACTAAGGCAGCTATTTACAGCGCTCTTCTTATACCTCCGACTATGTTTGCAGAAACTTACATACAAAATACTGTTGCCTGATTCAGGCTGCCTGGTTTGGTTTTGAACAGGGTGTGTCAAGGTACATTCAAAGAGAAACTCTGACTCAAGGGCAAAGTGATGTTGATAGAGTCCAACTCAAAATATTTAGAGAAAAAGATGGGTATAGTCAGACAGTGGGCTTTCTCCCTTGTGTTTTCAAGGTTTTCCTGAGAACAACAGACATATTGTGGCTTTCCCCTTAGCTTACTATTAACATGAAGCGAGAGGTCAATGACACTGTCTGGCTCCTCAAAGGAGCTAAGAGAAGGGAAGAAAAATCCAAATTCCCAGGTAAACATCTGTAAAAGGATTTGGAACTAAGGATAAGGAAGTTCCGAGGCTTACTGAAAGGGAAGGGAAGGCAGCATTATTTACTGGCCATGGATCGTACTTCCTGTTGTGAAGCTCAGCACTGTTTCATAACAGCTGGGGGCTGCTGTCTCTTCTGCTGTAATGAGGAAGCAGCGTTCTTGGTTCCTCCATATTACACAAGTTAATGACCTCTACTGCACGGTGAAATTGGCATAGGGAGAAGAATGGGACGCTTGCCCCTGTAAATACAATAAAGCTTTTTTTAAAAAAATTGTGGGAATATCTTTTCATAGATAATGTTATTGAGTATGTCACATGTCCTTTACCCCTCTGTAGGCTCTTGACTTGTCTGGAGATTAAAACAGGTTAAAGAGATAAGTACTCACCAGGGACTGCCCCTTAGCATGCATTTGTTGTCACTACACAGCCAGGGGCTACAAAAACCAGCATAGTCCTTTAAAAAAGGAATTCGGTTCGTGTCCTTCTTATCATATAATTTTGCTACAAACCCCACAAAAACTGTTTTTGCAGCAAATTTGCCTGGAAGGTCGGCCAGGGAATTGTGAAACAACATTTTTACCTTGACAGGAGACATGATAACTTGCCCTTATCCTTCTGCAGATAAGTCATACTGTGGCTAGGTTCACACATGTGAGATACAGTGAAAAACTGAAGAGACTTCTTGGATATCTCATTGGATAAATGCTCAAAAATCTAGATTTTTTTTGGCAAAAAGGTCTTTCAGGTTAGCAGACAGAGGTTGGCTTTCCTTATCACACCGTGTGAGTTCAAATTCAGATTGGGCTATTAACAAACTGTGTGGCCTTGACTAAGTTAATTAACATCTCTGTGCTTCAGTGTTCTCAACTTTAACGGAGAGAGTAGTAATACATATGCCATATTCTTGGTGTGAGAATTAAGTAAGGCAACATATGAAGCCCACAGAACAGTGCCTGATACTATAAAATGCTCCATCAATGTTAGCTATTTTAATTAGACAGAATGGATGTAAATTCGTGATTGAGGAATAGAAGGTACAGAAACAGATGAGTCATCAAAGGGAAGGAATGCTTGAAAGCCCAGGAAACACTGCCCACCCGCATGTATGCTATCATTTGCACCCAGCATTCAGGGTTCTCCTGACTGAAGAAGCTTCTCTTCCTGCCTTCTTCTCTCCTTTCCTTGTTTCCCATGACAATCCTTCTGGAAGTGTCTGCACCAGCCACACAGGTCTCCAGGGCTTTCCTATCTTCTTCCCCTCAGTCTCACACATTCACAAGGTTTTTGTTTTTTTTAAAAAAAATTATTTTAAGTGACTTTAGATATCTTGCTTGTGTTATAACTTTAAAAAATCTTGGGCTGGGCGCAGTGGCTCACGCCTGTACTCCCAGCACTTTGGGAGGCCAAGGCGGGTGAATCACGAGGTCAGGAGTTCAAGACCAGCCTAGCCAACATGGTGAAACCCCGTCTCTGCTAAAAATACAAAAATTAGCTGGGTGTGGAGGTGCACACCTGTAATCCCAGCTACTCTGGAGGCTGAGGCAGGAGAATAGCTTGAACCCGGGAGGCAGAGGTTGCAGTGAGCCAAGATCGTGCCATTGCACTCTAGCCTGGGCGACAGGGTGAGACTCCATCTCAAAAAAAAAAAAAAAAAAAAAAATCTGGACCAGAAACATTGCATGGTTTTACAAACTTATTCCATTTTGTACTTAGGAAATATAGACTAAATCCCAGGTTTTCAATTTCCTTACCATTGTGCCATACTAAATATTGGGGATTCTACTCTTCTAGCAGTGCAAATCTGTGCTACTCTATTCATTCTCCATCATTGCTTAAGCTTCCAGGTTTGGTTTCTTATCTCTCCATTAGATTCTAAGCATTCCAGGGCAGGGATCAAATGTAAGCTTTGTATTCTCAAAGGTATCTCAAGTTCAAATCTCAAGTCTGACACTGGTGAGAATCTTCAGTAAATATCTAATGACTTTTGCATTGCTTCAGTGATTAAATGGCTATAAAAGGCAGATTGTTTCCCTCCTACTGAAGGCACTGTGGATAGGTGCACCCATATCGAATGGCCCCTCACTATTGTGAGTGCTGGCTGTTTTCATCACAGTGGGTGGCATTCTAGGCTCTTTCCCCAGGCTTGGAGTCTCTCTCAATGCCATGATCTTAGCATTCTGCCCGTTGACCACACTGGAAGTGAAACTACATGCTTATTTCTCATGGTGGGACACAGTGCACAAGGAAGTAAAAAAAAAAAAAAAAAAGGGAAAAAGAGAACAGACCTACTTTGTTCCCCTTAATCTCAGGATTGGTGAATTACTGAGTTTGGGGCAGGCTTTAGAGGCTGGTAAATGACATGACATTGCCTCCTTTGTGGCTACTGAGTTCCTTTTGCGGGGGGATGGAAGACAGTTTCAAAGTTTTAACTTTGATCATCTTACCTGGGAAATGTAAGAAAGGCAGGACCCTCACCTGTTATGATGGAGTGCAGGGCCCAGGCAGGGGACACTGCAGGGACTTGTGGTGGCAACTAGTGCATTATCTTCTTGTGTCTTCATTTCTTCTGGATGAAGTTCATGCCGAAGACTTCTTAGGAAACCCATTCGTTAAGGGGAAGGTACTCCATTGCCTCACTTAGTTACATATTATCCTGGCCTTTCACAGCCTGGATTAAAGTCTGAGGCCTCTCTAATGCAAGCTCATGGTAGGATAGAATATCACTCTTGTCAGGCCATTCATATTGACTGGTCTTTGACATACTCCGGATACTCTGAAAATACTGCTCTGCAGTTGTCAGCATTTTAAAGGGGGAAAACCATGGTTAAAACAAACTAAATATGGCCTGAGAAGAACTCCATACTTCTATATTTGAGTCCTTGTGGACAAACTATAGCCTAGCTTAATAGGCAGACAAAATTGAAAACCTAACTTAGTAGTATGCACCTGTAACAATAGCTAAGTCTTGGCCAATCCCAGTGGCCATACTTCAACCATTCATACACCGCTGAGTGTTCAAACTGTGTTCAAATAAGGCATATGCCGAGCTGTAACCAGCCCAGTCGTTCTGGACCTCATTTCCCATTTCTGTACATAATTTCCCTTTTTTTGGTCTATAAATCTTCTTCCATCACGTGGCTGCACTGAAGTCTCTGTGAATCTGCTGTGATTCTGGGGGCCGCCCGATTCAGGAATTGTTCATTGCTCAATTAAATACCTTTACATTTAATTTGGCTAAAGTTTTTCTTTTATCACCATTGCCAGGCCTCCTTGGAACACCTATCTCCCACCATTCATTGCCTTTCATGGACTAAGTCAGGTACCACTTTCTGTTTCAGCCTAGAAAAAGTATTTCCTCCTCAACCTTAGAGAGAGGAGGCTAGACGAGATGGCAAGTACCTTCCAGTCCCAACATCCTAAGCATCTCCTTTCTCTTGGTGTGAAGTGATATAGGGAAAAGAAAGTAGGAGTTGGAGTCAGATTTGGATTCCAAAGGCAGTATTCCTGCTTCCTGGCTGTATAGAGTTAAGTGAGTCCATTTCTTCAAGGCTCAATTTTCTCATCTCTAAAATGGGAATGACGATACTAGTCTCAAAGTGCTGTTGGGAGCACTACTGACGTCCTGCTTGCAAAGCATCTAGTACAATGCCTGGCCCACAGTAAGCATTGAATGCATTTAGCTATTATTATTATTATTATTAATAGAACTGTGTAAATAACATTAGTATCTTTTATGGGACTAAAAAACAAAACAAAAAAAGAACTGGTCAGGTGAATCCTCACATGTTATGTTAAAACTCTAGGGACCAGGCCAGATGTGGTGGCACATGCCTGTAATCCCAGCACTTTGGGAGGCCGAGGTGGGAGGATCTTTTGAGCCCAAGAGTTTAAGACCAGCCTGGTCAACATAGCAAAGCCACATCTCCACTAAAAAAAAAAAAAAAAAAAAAAAATTCTGCCTGGTGTGGTGGTGTACACCTGTGGTGCCAGCTACTCGGGAGGCTGACGTGGGAGGATCGCTCAAGCCTGAGGGGGCCAAGGCTGCAGTGAGCCGTGATCATGCTACTGCACTCAGCCGGGGTTACAGAGTGAGACCTTGTCTCAAAATAAAATAAACAGACAAAAAACAAAATTATAGGAAATAATAAATGCCAGTCTTTCTCCTTCATTTCAGGGCCCAAATCACATCTTGCTGTTGTTGTATGACTATTTTCTTTTTGGTCTTCTTTCTACTATATTTAACTTTTGCATGTATTCCAGAGTATCTGACAAAGTGCAGTATGCATGGTAGTGTATTACAAAACATCTAAGATATAGAATTGATCATCTGTTTCTTAGCTGGCCAGTCTATCATGGCAAATAATAATGAACTTCTACCATTCTGACCAGTGCTCAGAGTGATTTGATAAAGCAGAGATGGACTGGAATTGTTCACAACCACACATTCAGCGACATCCAAGTTTTTCATTGGCCATGCTGAGGAGCAAAGCTATTTAGGGGCTGGTGGGAATTGGACCTGGATGAGGACAGAGGTTGGGCATAAATAAACAGGTCCTTCACTCTGTCACTCAGGCTAGAGTGCAGTGGCGTGATCTCAGCTCACTGCAACCTCCACCTCCCAGGTTTAAGCGACTCTCGTGCCTCAGCCTCCCAAGTAGCTGGGATTACAGGCATGTGCCACCATACCCGGCTAATTTTTGCATTCTTGGTAGACACGGGGTTTCAACATGTTGGCCAGGCTAGTCTCGAACTCCTGAGCTCAAGTGATCCGCCCGCCTTGGCCTCCCGAAGTGCTGGGACCACAGGCGTGAGCCACTGGGCCCAGCCTCGGTCCCTCTTATTGACCAGCTACTTCAGACTAACACTGGCCACACACTGTATCTCATAATCCTTTCAGTCATCTTTAAAATAGAGATTTTTGTCTTCCATTTTACAAATGAGGAAACTGACAGCCAGAGAGATTAAGTAAGCTTCTCAGAGTGGAGCGAGGACTTGCAACTTCACAGCCGTGTGCTTCTCTGCAGTATTGCCTGGATTTAGCAAAGTGGGATTTAAGGATTGCTTCCTTTGTCTTTACCTGTACTTAGGAAGTAGGCTTAGTTCTCTGAATAATCCACTTCTTGGACCATCAGACAACTATTTTCACACATACTTTCATCTTTCCCTAGCCTCCCTGAGTAGGTTAGGTAGTTATTCTTTGCGTGTTTTCCAAAATGGTAAGGCTTCAGGTAGACTTTCAAATTGTAAGAGTCATTTCAACAGAATTAAAATGTTCCACCTAAAGCCTTATACAGACAGTGCTTTGAATACGTCTCCAAAAAGTATCTGACTGAATCTAATTTTTTTTAATGTGCTTTTGCTTAACTTACATTCAGTAAGCCCACCCCGTCTCAGACATTTTTACTTCTGAAGATCACTGGGGCCGAGCGCAGTGGCTCACCCCTGTAATCCCAGCACTTTGGGAAGCCAAGGCAGGGGGATCGCTTGAGGCTAGGAGTTTGAGACCAGCCTGAGCCACATAGTGAGACCCCCATCTCTACAAAAAAAAAAAAAATTAAAATTGACTGCTTGTGGCGACACATGCTTATAGTTCCAGCTACATGGGAGGCTGAGGTGTGAGGATGAATTGAGCCCAGGAGTTCAAGGCTGCAGTGAGCCATGATCACACCATTGCACTCCAGCCTGGGCCACAGAGCTGTCTCTCTAAAAAATAATAATAATAAAAATAAAAAAGAGAGAGAGAGAAATCAGAAATAGCTCCTTATAGCAAATACATTCAGAATTTCCCCATAAACATAGACTCCCATGACAACCAAACAAAAAGAGACAAGGAAGGAGAAACTCACTCTCTTAAAGCCACCAGCTGTAAATCCTTTCTGCTAAAAGCTGTAGGATAGTATAGATTCTGTTTAAATTTTTATTTTTATGACTGATGTAAAGAATGATCCTTTGTTTAAAAGCCCTTTCTACTACTCTCTCTATGTTATATCTAAACTGGTACAGAGATATTGGTATAAAATATCTCTCCAATGGATAAATTGATTAATTGACTTGATAAGTTTGACTTAACGTGTATATGTCAAAAATCATTTTGAGTATTTCCACACACTTTGGGCTTCCAACGATCTGCATCCTTTCCCCCCACTGAGATTCTCTATGCTGGCATGTTTTTCTATGGCACAGTGAGGGAGCAGTTGACACAGTATAGGCCAAACGACCCATCTATTTCTGTTTTCTCCCTTAATTTACAATATCACTGATTACACCTAATAATTCCATTCTAAAATACATTTTTACACTAATTTTGCTACTCACAGGTCCTAGAAACACCATCACCAGGGTATACTATGGATTCAATTTTGGGGACATAAACATGTTCAAACGTCTATGATGAAAAAGAAAGGTTTACTATTACTTGTCATCCTCAGTTCCATTTGTCTTATTAGAACCTTGCTGGGCACAGTGGCTCAAACCTCTAATCCCAGCACTTTGAAAGGCCAAGACGGGAGGATTGCCTGAGGCCAGGAGTTTGAGACCAGCCTGGACAACATAGTGACACTCCGTCTCTACAAAAAATAATAATAAAAAAAATTAGTCAGGCATGGTGGCATGCACCTGTTCTCCCAACAACTCTGGAGGCTGAAAAGAGAGGATCACTTTAACCCAGGAGTTTGAGCTTGCAGTGAGCTATGATCACACCACTACATTCCAGCCTAGGCAACAGAACAAGACTCTGTCTCAAAAAAAAAGAAAGAAAGAAAAAAAAATAGAATCCAACAATCCCCCCACCCAACATTACGTTTCCTTTTTCTGTACCCTGGGCAAAGAATATCAGAATTTTCATACACAGTAAATTCTCTATATGTGCTTGTCACTGGGGTAGTTTAAAAACCAGTGCTGTGGGGTACAGGTTTCTCTCCACAAATCACCACCGAATCAGCTTCTGACAGATCTGCAGCTAGAATGACTCTTGGCCAATCCTAGGATGATTCCTTTATTCATTAGTGGCTTTCAATGCCTTGGGGCTACTCTTTCTGTTATTTGAGGACACCATGCAGCATGCAGCGGTTTTTTATTAACTCACTAATTGTGCCATTTCTTTCACTCTTCGGGTGATGTTGTATGTGTTCTAATATAAGATATACAACTCTTCATCATTTTTCCCTGTTCAGATAATCTATTCTGCACGAGGACTCCCTGTAAGAATATTCATAGTATTCAACTGTAGTAAGAGAAAGTTTGAAATAAACTGAATAGCCAAGTGAAAGGACATTGGTCAGATAAGTTATGGTAAACAAAATGGAATGCTAAACATCGATTAAAATCAGATGTTTGCTACTACATACTCATTAAAAATTTTTTTTAAATGAGATGTTTGACTGGGTGCAGTGGCTCAAGCCTATAATCCCAAAACTTTGGGAGGTCAAGGTGGGCAGATCACTTGAGGCCAGGAGTTCGAGACCAGCTTGGCCAACATGACAAAACCCCATCTCTACTAAAAATACAAAAAAAAAAATTAGGTGGGCATGGTGGCACATGACTGTAATTCCAGCTACTTGGGAAGCTGAGGCACAAGAATCACTTGACCTGGGAGGTAGAGGTTGCAGTGAGCCGAGATCGCAGCACTGCACTCCAGCCTGGGTGACAGAGCAAGACTCTGTCTCAAAAAAAAAAAAAAAAAAAAAAAAAAAGAGAGAGAGATGTTTGAAGGGTATTTTAAGTTATGGAATGTTTGCAATGCTACAGTGAATATCCTTGTACTGAATCATGTACACTGATGCAAGAAATTCTGTAGGATATATTTCCAGGAATGGAATTGCTCACTCAGAAAGCTTAACTATTTTGCATTTTATATATATTGGTGAGAAAAACTTCAAAAAGATTGTACAAACTTATAATCACAAAGCAGTAACCGATTGGATGAGATTTTTTTTAAGAGACCATTTTTAATCCATCCAGTTTAGTCTAGCAACAAGCTGGAATGCTCTAAAAGAAACTCTAAAACACTAATTTGTCTTTTCACTCAAATATGTATCTTTTTCTGAAAAAATGTCTAGTGAACTATATATAAAAATCATTCTATAAAGCATTTCTTTTATGTTACTAAATTAATCAGTAGAAAGGACATGTATTATAAAAATATACTGTTGAAAACATGTTTTCTCAACATCCTAAAAGCTTCAGGCTGTATAGACACAACCCAACTTTGTGTCTAAATGCTGTGTCGTTCATATGTTCCAGCCTTGGTTTCCTTATTCTTAAAATGAGGAGTTGGAATCTAAGGTCGGTTTCAGATGTAACGACTCCATGATTTTACAATACCTCTTATCAACTGATTGTAGTAACCAAGAGAACTTCCTTCTCTCTCCTAATAATGACTTTTTAAAAAAAAAATTGGAGACAGGGTCTCACTCTGTCACCCAGGTTGGAGAGCAATTATAAGATCCTAATTCACTGCAGCCTTGACCTCCTGGACTCAAGTGATTCTCCTGTCTCAGCCTCCCGAGTAGCTGGGACCCTGGGTGCGCCACTATGCCCGGATAATCTTTTACTTTTTGTAGACACAGGATCCCAGTATGTTGCCCAGGCTGGTCTCGAATTCCTGGACTCAAGTGACCCTCCCACCTCGGCCTCCCAAAGCGCTAGGATTACAGGCTTGAGCACTGCACCCAGCCAGAATGACATCGTTTGTCATAGGTTGTGTTTAGTCCGCACAAAAGCACTTTGAGGTCTCAGTATCATTGTGCCCATCTTACAGAGAGGAAACTAAGGCACGGAAAGGTCAGTAACTTTTCTGAGACCACAGAGCAAGGCAGGGGTGGCAGAGGAGCAAAACTGCAATCCCCGGGGGCTGGGACAACAGAGCCACATTCTTTCTCTTTTCCTCCCTTTCTTCCCTATTGTTAACAGATGGAAGCAAATCTCAAAGTGAACCCTACAAAAATTTTGACATTGCATTCCATAGCTTAGATAGACAATGTTTGTTTCTGTGATCCAAGGGAGAAGATTCTTAAATTATGTTCAATTGAATGTACACATCCAAACGTGGCTTAGCTTCTTTATGTCTTATGCTGTAAGAGTCTTTTTATGATTTGTTTTGATTTTTATGTTTTTTAAATTTTTCTAGGATATGTGCTTGATAGTACTGAAACAAAGGCAGAAAAGAATCCTGGGGTAGGGGGGTGAGTGGGAGGGAAGTCTCTTTAAGGTCAAATTGAGTTACTGTCTCTTGCAGATGAAGATGAATATGCTCTCTCTCACCAGACAGATTCTTGTGGCCCACGGAGAAATCTGAGCTAGTTCCCTTTTCTTGCTAATGAAGGGTCATCACTGAGGAGACTGAAGGGGAATTTTTCAAACCAGGTGAGACTAAGTGTGCAGGGTAGGCTCTCAACAGATGTTGGCAGCTGCCTTTCCCTCAAGGTCCCACCTCCCCCACCCCAGACTTCCAGACACAGGCAGCTCAGGACATTTTCGTACTTTGTGCCAGGCAAGAGATGCTCTTCAAATCTGTGACACGTTGGAAAGTTTTTTTTTTCTTTCAAATCACTTGGATGTTCCACATCTCCAAATAGCAAGGAAAAATGCTTGATCTTGCATTTTAAACTTTCTTTCTTGTTGGTCTTAATTTTCTTTATGTATTTATTTATTTTTTAGAGACAAGGTCTCCCTCTGTTACCCAGGCTGGAGGGCAGTGGTGTGATCATGGCTTACTGCAGCCTCAAACTCTTGGGCTCAAAGGATCTTCCTGCCTCACCCTCCAAGTAGCTGGGACCACAGAGGTGCACCACCATGCCCAAGACAAAGAGTCTCAGGCTGAGAGGCAGCAAGTGCAAAGGCCCTGGCAGGGTGGGAGACTGCTCACTGTGTCGCAGGGAAGGAGAGGAGACCTACAGTGACTGATGGGCGGTCATGGCGTGTGAGCAATGAAGAAGGCTGATGAGGCCCCACCCATTGGCCTTATATCACTGGGATCTTTTTCTCATGCAATGGGCAGCTAATGGAAGGTTTAGAGCAAGGGAATGAAGGGCTCTGATGATTCATAATAATAATAGCATAGTGTGACTATTATGATCATTTTAGAACTATCACTCTTCTAGCAGGATTAGGAAAGAGGCCCTACACCAAAAACATAGACAGGGAGACCCAGTCCAGGAACAGGTGGAGATGATGGATTAGCAAGGGAGGGCAGGGACTGAAGAGCCGTGGGTACTGAGTGCACCAAGGGCACTGAGAGAAGGCCTGGGCTGCTGATTCCATGCTCTTGTGTTGCTTTGCTTTAGTGTTACTGCTGTCCTGCCCTTTGGCCAAGGGAAAAGATAAGAGTAATTTGAAAGGAAATATCCCTGGGAGAATAACAGCTTGTTTACCTGAAACGGATAATTCCTTGGAACAGGACTTGCCAGCTTTCAAGGATTCTAAAATTATGAGGCCAATCTGCACTTTAACCTGGACATGATCAGGATGTACTAAACTGAGACCGGGGAACCAGCCCTGGAGTTAAGACTCCTATTTTCAGTTTTGCTTTCGACCTTCCATAAACTGTTCCAATTCTCACTCATCTCCTGATACCATATTATTTTGGGCATCACATTTCCATGACTTGACTCCCTACACAAATTCTGCTTTGAAGCTTTTTCTATGCTGAAGCCACAATGGATCAATTCAGTCCAATAACAGCTCAGCGGAAGGGAAGGGAAGTCAGTCAAAGCAGGGATTTGGTGTCAAGTAAACACAATAATAGGCTTTTAACTGAATGAGTCTTTCCCTTTTTATTTTCACTTTTTTATTTTTTTATTTTTATTATTATTATTATTTTTTTTGAGACGGAGTCTCGCTCTTTCGCCCAGGCTGGAGTACAGTAGCGCAATCTCGGCTCACTGCAAGCTCCGCCTCCCGGGTTCACGCCATTCTCCTGCCTCAGCCTCCTCAGCAGCTGGGACTACAGGCACACGCCGCCACGCCCGGCTAATTTTTGTATTTTTAGTAGAGACGGGGTTTCACTGTGTTAGCCAGGACGGTCTCGATCTCCTGACCTTGTGATCCGCCCGCCTCCCAAAGTGCTGGGATTACAGGCATGAGCCACCGCGCCTGGCGCGTCTTTCCCTTTTTAGCCAATTATTTTGTTGTGTAGACAGAGCCTCAACCAGCCCCGGTACCATTTGTCTCTTCCCAACGACTCCTCCCTATTCTCCTTCCTGGTAGTTCTGTGGGCTCCTTCATGCTGGTTTCCATGCCACAACCTATCTGGAATCTTGGAATTGCAGAACTTCAGAGGAAAGAGAAGTCTGGAGTATATCTGAAGTCATGACAAACAACTTCCTTTCCCCATAGCTGATAAAGAATGGGCCTGCAGGTCCCATATGAAGGGAAGGTGTGAACACCCTGCATGATAGGAAACAGTTTACAATGCCCTGGAGGTCCCTATGATTCACTGAGCAGTGCTGGACAACTAGACAAAAGCAAATATATCCACCCGGTTCAGGGGGCTTAGCCAGCTGTTTACCACGCCAGCAGTTTTCCTGTTTCACACCCCATATCCTTAATATAGGGCATTCTCTTAAGGGACCTATCATGTCCCTTCCAGTACACTCATTGTCAGTCTTTCCTTTTTTCTCCTCCCTTCACTCTTTCCACATTTCATCCAAATTGTTCTCTTTTCCTCCCCCTCCAGGGGAGAACAGGAGGATGGCCTGTGCCTGTTTCCAGTCTTACCATGAGCACAGCCAGTTGGTGTTTACACATGAAACGGAACTAACTGATCTCCTATGCATGTACATCAGAGGGAAGTACCTGTTTTCCTTTGAATTCAATAGGCAGCTAATGAGTTTTCCATTCCTTCTGATCTCAACCTGCTGTCACGTCCACTAGTGGGTGATCTTCTTTCTGTTGCAAAAGAAGACTTTCTGAACTCCTATGTGGGTGGTCATTTATGAAGGTTGATTGGTGTTTGAAAATAATTTAGAACTCTGTATGTTCATATGTGTATGTGTGTATGTGTAAAAATAAAACTTGATTGGCATGACATCATGGGTGCTGGGAGTGGGTCTGGTAACCAGAATAAAAAGTGGTCTTCTCTGTCCCTTGTCTAGCCACAATTAGGAGAGAGTATGGATTGTCAGGAAATGGAGCTTGTTCCACCCTCTCACTGTGGCTTAAGAATTTTCTTCTCAACAATGAAAAGATGCACAGATCATAGTACAGGAGATAATAAGAGTCACTCTTGCTATCTTCAGCAGATCATAGTTGTACACCATTCTATAAAAATATGAGAGAGAGAGAGAGAGAGAGAGAGAGAGAGAGAGAGAGAAAGATCTTTGTAGGAATAAACATAGAAAGCCATTTTATCTACAAAGCCAATTCAACCTGGACTGCAGTACTTACAATCATAAAGTTCTAGTTAGGTTATTAGTTAGTGGTTGACAACCATAAAGTACCAGTTAGGTTATTAGTTAGTGATTGGAGGGATGCAAAAGCTGACTTGAATACATGACTTCAATCACTTGGACACATGTTTAATTTCCTGTAAGAAAGCTGCAGAAAATCAATGACCTAAATATCTGAACTTGGGTATTTCCAAGGAAACCACCAGACTTCCCCATTGTCTTAGATTAAATACAATTAATAAAATGCCTAACAGACCCCAGAGTTCTTCTGTGTAATTAGATCAATAGCAGTACAACATCTGAGATTTACTTCTCTCTCCAACAAGACCCTTTAGGCTTGGTAACACATCCAAGTGGAAGAGGAAAGAAAGAAAGAAAAACCCAAAACCAAAAGCACAAATAAAACTACCGCTGAAATTAAGAAGTTAGGATCTTCCCAAAGGCAAGCAACTAAACTCATTCTACCAGTGAGACTGAGTGGAACCCTCTGCTCAGCCATTCCTCAGCATTGGACATGGCTTATTCTTGATGTTTGTATAAAATATGGGTTGGTCCACAGGAAAGACATTCATTTTAAAAATAAGATAAAAAATATGAGTTAGCATCAATAAAATTCTACGTTTTAAGAAATGCAGGTTGGTATTATCAGCCCTGATTTGCAGATAGAAAAACTGGCTGTGAGATCATCAGCAATCCTGACGTCTAGAAGATTTCAAGGCCGGGACTCAAACCTACGACTCTATAGTGTAGAGCTTATGCTGTCTCCTTAAATAGTCATGGCTTCGCTAGGCTCACTAGAGGGAGATGATTTCACATACAATATTTAAAAAGTAAGGATGTAGGGGCAATGAAAATGTGGCCCAACTATATCTTAAAAGGAAGATAGTTCACTGGCATATCAGGTCATGAAACAACCACGAGTGTGAACTAGGAAACCACAATGCATGTGAGAATGGCCCAAACACAATTGACTGCACCATCTGGAGAAAAGGTGAAGCCTACACAGAATGCCAAGTAGAAAAATGAGATGGGTTTATGTCAAGCGAAGATTAACATTTCATGTATCTTCTCACTTTAAGCACTTCGTCCTGCTTCTGGTATATCCCTTCACCCTGAGCTGAAGCGAGTTCATTAGTTAGGTGGAAAACAAGAGGAAAGCCAGTGGAAACTGACACTCTTTTTAGATTGTAACCCCTACTTGGGGCAAACCTACAGGATCTCAATGACAGAGGTTTGCTTTCTTAGTAAACAGCCTTGGAAATTCCCCCTCATCTTCCTTCATGGGTCTGGTGTTCTTCATCATTTTACCAGTGACTTATATGTTGGGAGAGAAAACCTGCTTGCTAGATATTAAGCTTATTAAGAGAAGAGGATAGGAGTTGGAAGGGTGGGAGTTGAGTACTTAGCATCTTGCAAGACAGTATCAGAATTTGAAAGAGATCAGAGGAAATTGAAAAATAATTCATAAACATAAAGTACAATAAATGCTTGTAGAATAAATAATAAAACAATGCAAAGCAATTATCCTAGGGAAAATAGAGATAGAGAAGTTGGTTATAACGCAAAAGGTCTATGGATCATGGTGATGGTACTTTTGCTTCTGAAATAAAAACTTAAGATGTATCACAACAAGCATAAATGCACTTCATAACACCAGTTCATTGAGTGCCTACTTAATTAATTCTGCTGAGATACTGATGAGGTACAGAAAAGGAAAGCGAGAATCAAAATAGTTTGACTGCCTGTTGGGCACTCAAAGGGTAGTTCTTGATTGATGCATTAAAATGTACTGTTTTTGCAGTCTTCAGCTTTATTGAGGCATCACTGACAAACAATAAACTGCACCTGTTTAAAATGTGCAATATGGTGAGTTTTGATGTATACACACATCTGTAAAACTGTCGCCACAATCAGGATGATCAACTTATCTATCATCCCTAAAACTTCCTCATGCCTCTTGGTAATCCCTCCCTCTCCGCTCCCAGTACCCGGGCAACTACTGATCTACTTTCTGTGACTATAGATTATATTTTATAGACTCAATTTTATATAAATGAAATCACCCAGCAGATCTTTTGAGTCTAGCCTCTTTCATGCAGCATAATAATTTTAAGAGTCATCATGTTGTCTTAAGTGTCAATATTTCATTTATTTTTATTCCTGAGTAGTGGTGTTTCATGTAGCTTATTTTTTGGTGCTCAGTTATTACTTCCCTGGAGAGATTAGTCAGTTGACACATTCTTATCCTATTTCTTTATTCTGTACTTTTTGTTTAACTCACATCATAGACTCACTAAATATTTATATGAATTTATTCAAGGATTTGGTTCAAAAATGAACATCTCTTCGAGAGGATTCTATTGGGGGTCATTCATTCATTTGTTCATTAAGTCATTCAGCAAATATCAATTAAGCCCTTACTAGGTCCCAGGCACGGTGCTAGGCACTGGGGATACAATAATAAAGAAAAGAGACATGCATCCCTCACATTCTAATGAGAGGAGACATGTGGCAAACACAATAAAAGCAAAAATTATTAGTATGTTAGAAGCCAACACATGTGATTTAGACATAATAGAACAGGCTGAAGAGCCAACAGGCATCATCCTAACAATGCAGCCCGGATTCCAAACAGCTCCTGCAAATTGGACTGAGTGTAGACTTTGGCATGGTTTTCTCAGTCACACTTATAAAAGCCCCATGGAAATCAACTTCCAACAGGACTTCAAAGAAACGGAGGCTGCCATGAATGGTCAGGTATTAGGGAATGAGGTCATCCTTCCACTGAACACTCCCCTACATCCCCTGCAGGTGTGTATGTCTTAAGCTTTTGTGCTCACCTGCAGGAGAAAGGCCAGAAAGTGGCTGCCACATTCTTCTCCCCCAACTGCAGGAGTGAGGCCACAGAGGTTTACCTGGGAAGAATACTCTCCACAAACTTAAATCTCAGCACATTACACTGGTAAATGTCACATTCCAGTTCCAGATATCAATCTGGATCCAGGAATGTATGTGCTTCACTCATTCCAAGCACTCATTTGTTTGGTTTGGGGGAGGAGAGACAAGGCTAGAGCAATCTGAAAGTTCAATCAAGCCAAAATACCTTGCTCAAAAACTGATAAAACAGGGCCCCCAATCCATAACCAGAGAATGTTGGGCACTTTCTTCTCTGCAGAAATGTTTTTGCATTTAAGTTTAGGTAGATTTAAGAGAGGAGTGTAAGGAGAGAGTTTCTGTAACCAGAGGAGGGGAGGCTTCCCCGCCTGCCTCCGGAGCTTCTCCTCCAGGGTGATCTGGCAGCCATTCAAGGCAGCCTGAACTTTCTGAGAGACTTGATTTCCTGTTCCCACTGCCTCAGCCGACTGGAGGACTAGGGTGACCCGGGGTGGGGAGCAAGGGACACTGGTTAGTTTAGGATCAGCGGGTGGGAACTGTTTATCCCAACATGCTTAGAAATTCTTCCAGCAGCAACTGTAAAAATAAAAGTCTGAACTGTACAAGAAACTTAAGTTATTTCAACAGTGAACTTCAATCATGAGATTCTTGAATATCTTTTGGGAAGACAAGTTATTTTGTTTGTTTCATTCATTTAAAATATAAAACAACAGACTTCTTATAATGCAGAGGGGACCTCACTGTCACCTAGTTCAACTCACATATTTTACAGATGATGCAGAGTTCAGAACTATTCATTGACAATGGCTGGGGGGATGGGAGCAAGATCCATGTTTCCTGGCTCTGAACTCAGTGCAATTTCCTCCATGGATTATAAAGAAGTGCAATTCCAAATGCCACGCCTTAGGGGGAAATTTACTATATGTAAATTATACCTCACAACCTGACTTAAAAAAAAAAGTATATGTTATCCCTGCTTCCTCCTGAACCTGGGTCTGCCTGACACCAAAGCCCCGGGGCTTTCCGCTCTCTGCCTCTCAGTAGTCTTATTGTCATTCCTGTGAATCCATGGTCCTTTAGTGGTTTATGTTTGAGGAGGGAGCTGTGGACTGAATAAACTATGCAGCACAAAGGCATTAACCATGGATTAATGGGAAAGAAAAGCTTGCTGAGTTCTGAGTCTGACGGGTCAAGAGCTTCTGATGGTGTCATGCAAATTTCACTTCCCAATGAAATCAGTCACTCTTCGTGTAGAGGGGCCATCATATCTTAGCCAGTTCCTGCTTGGGGTTCAGAAGAGAAAACAAAACAGTTTGCCCCATGGTGGGAAAGGGACATTTGGTATTCTCCTTGGCTTCCTAGCTAATTACAAAGTGTTAATGACATTCAAAGGAAACTTGCCTCCTTCAGGGCTTTACAAATAAGGAAGGGCGGGGGAAGGTGAGCCAAAGAACAGACAGGGGCTCCAGTGAAACACAGGGCACAACCAGTCAGCTCCCAGAGCGGGAGGCAGCCTTAATTTACAAAGGAAATAGACACCCCAGCACAGGCTGAAATTGGGTGGGACCAAGAGTTCTTAAACTAATCACAGCTGGTTTCCAAACCTCAAAGATTTGTTATTGCAAAAACATTCTCAAGCAGTAGATGAATAGATTGAATGGCGACAGAACAAAGAAAAGATGGAGACATTTTCCCCACAGCGGCTTCAAGACAGGTTCAGAGAGGTATGAACTAGCAAAGTAACACATTTATCCAATCAACATTTTTTACCCATCTCCTACACTGGGTCTGAGGACACAGCTATCACATAACATTTGACCTCCTCTAGTATCCTACAGAAAAACAACTAAAGCACCTTTGTGCAACTCAGAACTACAAGCTCTTCCTTATGATTTGGACAACAGGTGCCTTCAAAGAATGGTTCTTTTTCCTATATTTTCCTTCCCTTCTCTTAATGGAGAATTTTTTCTTCCACCCTAAAAAGGAAACACGACCATCAGTTTCCCAAATATGAAGAGGGAAATGCATGTGTGTATAAACAGTGGTTACCACCTAGTAGAATTTTAAGCCTTTAAGGATTTTCCCCCCTAACGATTGCAATTTCCTTCAGTTACTATTGTCCTATGTCTTATATCCAATGTATTATTTAGGTATTTCTTTACAGGCTTTTTAAGATTTACAGGTGTACCTGATCAAAAATAGCTGGAAAGATCTGAGATGTTTTTTACTGGATAATTTATTCCGTGTGTACCCAACAGCCAAGCACTTGGCAAATGACCAAAAATATGATTTATTTTTATTTATTTTGTTGAGACGGAGTCTCACTCTGTCGCCAGGCTGGAGTGCAGTGGCACAATCTCGGTTCACTGCAACCTCCGCCTCCCGGGTTCAAGTGATTCTCCTGCCTCAGCCTCCCCAGTAGCTGGGATTACAGGCGTGTGTCACCACACCCAGCTAATTTTTTATATTCTGGGTAGAGACAGGGTTTCACCATGTTGGCCAGGCTGGTCTCAAACTCCTGACCTCAAGTGATCCGCCCGCCTTGGCCTCCCAAAGTGCTGGGATTACAGGCATAAGCCCCTGTGCCTGGCCAAAAGATATGATTTAGAAAGCCAGAATAGCTCATGCAAGAAATAAGCAGCTGACAGATTAAAATGGCAACTTTATGCTTTAATGGCAACGTAAACTATCCAGAAGGGACATTTATTGGTTCAACAAGAATTGATTTTCTTCGCTCTCAACTATTAACAGGTCTTCTCTTTCTAAAAGATAGGAATGTGTGCTCCAGTAACTAATTTGTTTATGTGTAACTAATACATTGAGAGAATCTCTGTAAGACATCTTTCTCTGGCACTTATTTTATCTTGATCCTGGATGGAAGATAATGATAACCAAGTGACCTGTTTGTTGACTAGGGCACACTTCAAAGCAGGTATGGATATCTGATTTAATGTACATTAGCAGGACATCGATGCAAGCGTATGAGTACTGAGACAGGTAGGCAAGTGGCAGGGTGAACTTCACTCCTTAAAATAGTGAGCTCAAGAGACATAACTACCTAAGCTGTCTGATTTTGTTCCATATGCTCTTTTAAAGTGATATAAGGCAAAATATATTTAACTGGTTAATTAGTGAAAATGTACCAACAAAGGATGTCTGGTTAATTCATGGAAAATGGGAATTTTGAATAAATTTAAAGGTAATGTTTGAATTAGGCAAATAAAATTAATTCTTGTGTTTGCATAAACACAGAGATTGGAGAATTGCTGTGTATTCAGTGTTCTTTCAAATGACCGATCATTCATTTATTTAGTACATGTGTATTGTGCACCTCTTGTATGGGTGGGAACACACCAGGTTCCAAAAATAAGACTGGGACTATGATAAAATTTTTACTCTCAAGGGTAACAGTTAAGTAAATAACAGCCACAATATGGGGTTTGAGAGGTACACAACCACTAAAAGAGAGGAAAAGGGACACAATTTTGTTTGAGAACTAACAGATTCCAGAAAAGGTAAAGAATTAGGTGGTCTTTGACACAAGTCTTAAAAGAGTAAGCAGCAGGCACTTGCCACACATAGAGGAAAGAAAGTACAGCAGACAAAGAATAGGCCAGTCATGGTTATTAACTATCAACTAGTCCATCTTTACCACTTACTTGCTATTCGTTCCTGGACACAATTGATCTCAGGGAGGTAGTGAGTAGAATGGTGGTTACCAGAGGCTGGAAATGGTAGGAGGGATGTCAGGGAAAAAGAAATGCTGGACAATGGGTATAAACATACAGTTAGAGAGAAGAAATAAGCTCTAGTGTTCAATAGCACACTCGAGTAACTACAGTTATCCTGTATTTCAAAATACCTAGATGAGATTTGCAATGTTCTCGGCACAAAAAATGATAAAAGTTTGAGATGATGAATATCCCAACTACCCTGATATGATCTTTACATATTCATGAATCAAAATATCACATGTACCCCATATGTATTTACAACTATTACATATCAATAAAAATCATGAAGATATTGATAACTAATAGCTAACATTTATTCAACATGTACCATGTGTCTAACCTTCTCACCATCATTGTTTCCTCTGACACTCACAGTAACCCTCTGACACAGATACCATCATCACTGTCTGTTTTACAAATAAATAAGAATAAAAAGAATTGATTTCAATGTGTTTTGGGTGAGCAGCGCTGAGAGAGCCCTGATTCACTTGGATAAGAATGCAATGCGCTGTCTGGTTCTGGTTCAATTTTACATCTCAGAGCTTATGTACTGTGAGTGCAATAAATGAGGTGTGTGCACAGAAATTCAGGGCAGAGTTAAGCTCCTCCTAAGGAGTGAGTCAAGTATTTCTGATTTGACTGGATCACCTTAATTTAGATATCTTTACAAAGATATTAACCCATCAATCCAAGATGAAATTTTAACTAACATCAGGGAGATGAGATGGCCCTTTCCCTCTGGTATCAAAAGAAACCCTCTCCAAGAGGCAGAGGCAAGAGACTCTGTATCTCCTGGGTTTCAGTTGCTGAAGGAAAGGACTTGCCACTGGTCTGTGGGAAAACTTTCTTGGGAGCTGTCTTTGCGTTTGAACTCTGAATTTTGTTCAGTACATCATTGTTCTAAGGATATATTTAGTGTTTTGTGAGTGTACATTTCAACATTCAGCTGTTGAGTGAGACAGTATTACGAGACATGATGCTCTTGATATCAGCCATTCTTCAAAGGGGGCGTTTATTATGGAACAAAAGAAAATATGTGCTTCAATCTAGAATTTAAAAGCACTAACTGCAACGTTTCAAGCATATATAAATAAATGTTATCTGTCTTACCATTTTCGGGAGAAAAGTGAATCTTTACATTTGTTTTAGTGTGACTTGTTTCTGATATTCTAACCTAAAATTTCATGGTCACAAAAAAGTACAAATTAAATGTTCTCTTTATGAAAAATAAAACAGGGACTATAGCACAGGTGATGTGAGAAAAATAGTCACTAAAAAAAAAAGGAACCAAGAGTGAACAGTGAAGTAATCTATGGACTTGGGGTGATAATGATATGTCAATGTAAGTTCATGGGGTGTAAGAAAGGCACCACTCTGGTGGGGGATATGGATAGTGGGGAAGGCTATGGTAGGAGAACAGGGGGTAAATGAGAAATCTCTAGACCTTCAGATCAATTTGTTGTGAACTAAAAACAATTCTAAAAAATAAAGTCATATATATGTGTATGTGTGTGCATATATTCACATATACGTATATGCATATTATATATGTATAGATACGTGGAATGCATATATACATAAACACACACACACACACATATATATACACATTTATACACACACATACACACACCCCTAATAACTTTTAAGGACAAAAACTTTCTTCCCTTCAGAATATCTGCCAAAGTGACTTAAAGTACACCTTTACTCATTTGAGGTGGTAAGGGGTGGCATAAATATCAACTGTTTCATCACTAAGTACATTGTGTCCTAATTCTTGTCCTTCCACTATGGAATAAACCGTTATATAGCCCAGTGTGTATAATAGAACTCTCATATGGACCTCTGCAGATCTCAAATGAGGATCTTCTTAGAAACTTGAAGTAGTAGTTAGACTTATACACCAACACATGCTTTGGGTAAAAGGAAAATCCTTTATGAAAATGCAAACTTTAGGAATTAAATGCTCCCCATAAGGACTCACTTATTCCTGCATAAGTGATTGCAGGCAGAAAAACAGAATCTGAATGAACTTGTTTTTCTTTTTTTCTTAAACTTGGAAAACCTAGAAAAACAAGAGTGGTATATAGGGGCCAATTAAAATAAAAAGCACAAGGAAAAATGAGAGGAAGTCGCTCCTCTCCTCCCAATGGGAGTATTGTGTTTTGAACAATTCATGAATGGAATTTCAGAAACTCAGCAAAAGAATACATTTAACTGACTTACTCCAAATATATTCTGAATTTCATATTTACTAAATAAAGTGTTTCCAAATGAACATTTTGTATGTTGTTACATGTAACAACTGCACATTACAAAAGGAAAGGTAGGAGAATTCATCACTTAAGTTTTTAGATGCATGTATACTTAAACTTCCACATACTCCACAAATACTAAACTCGAAAAACAAAGCACCCTACATAATTTACCTTGCCACAGATGTGAAATAATTGTAAGCATACATAAATGTTAATAAAATACTTTGAATCAATGTTAAGGGGAGATATCACTGAATGGTGGACCAAAACAAACCAAATGGCAATTTGATGTCTGTGGAAATGACATACCCAGAAGCCGGTGGCTCAGCACTGATATTAATATATCTTGCTCAGTTGTCTCAATCATTTATAGTAGTTTAATTTTTTCAAGAACACAGATGTTAAGGTACTTTTAATAATTTTGAAAGGCCACAGAGTTTATCTATTTTTTGAAGTCTTGCTTTCATTGGAATTGCTTCTTTAACTTAATGAGTAAATACAAAGAATGCACAGATAAAATAAGGGTTTGTCTTCTTTTATTAGAGAAAAATGTACTTTTCCATGCCCGTGCTTTCCACATTTTGGAACTGATACAGATCCACAGAGGCCAAACCTAAAACTAAATTATCTTTAATGTTAAAATTTAATTGACTGTGTATGTAACTGTGCAATTGCTGCTTTCTCACAGAACTGTCTAGGGTTCATTCAACAGATCATAGAAACGTGGTCTGGCATTTAACAAACAGACTAATAATAGAAGAGATATACTAATTTATACAAGAATTAACTAAACACTGTCATGTGGTTTAGTGTAGCTCAAGTTATGCATGTATCATATAACATAGGTTCAAGTTCTTTTGTCAGTCACCAGAATAACAGAGGTTGAAGATACATCTGAATAAGTGCCAACTCTTGCTGCAGCTGTTTCAAAAAAATAAATTTAAGTAATTGCGATACACATTTCTACAAATAAAATATTCCAGTGCTTACATCAATCCTGAGTTTTTAAGATAAAATATGCACTACTTACAATTACCACAATATTATTTTGGAACATGGCAATTTATTTTTTAAGTTGACTCTCTTCACCAAAAAGAGGGCTTTCATTATACTCTTCCAAGTCCTCACACTCTAAAACAAAAAGTCTAGTTCACTGACAAACCATCACTTTACAACTCACATTTTAAAGAGAGTAAATTAAATGTCAAAAGGAAACAGCTTTTAATATTCAAAGGATGCTGGTCATTTATTTCAAATTTAAAAACTGTAATCAGTACATGGAGCTCCAAATACTTAAAATTTTTAATGCCAGATTTTAGTGAAATATTATTATAGCAGGTCCAACAGTCATGTACTTTGCTTGAAGAAAATGGTTTGATGAATATGTTATGGTCAAGATGGAGCAAAAACAGAAAAAGACTGGTAGTCTTAGATCATGAAATACCATATTTTTTCACCAGATAGTGACCCATTTGTTATCACTAATAGTCGACATAACATGGTTTCCACTGAAGGGATAAAATGGTCTGTGACATGACCTCATCAAGTTAGAGAAAACATAACTATGTTTGAAATATATACTATTCTCTCAACAAATAGTTCAACAGTTCCTACTCCCTAAAAAGTGGTATGTTAATGCTGAGGAAGATGTAAAAAATGAATACACAATCTCTTCCATATTCCTGTGACATGAGCAAATATGCACGAATAAAAAAAATAATACAAAACTTATGTAACTGCTGTGGAAGAGCAACTCACTCGGACATGTAGCCAAAAATGGAGACTGATGTCCACTTAGTTGGCAAAAGATTTCAATCGATCAAAAAAAAAAAAGGACTTTAAAAGCATTGTGAGGGAAGAGCATGAGCAAAGCATGAGAGTAATGGAGAGGTCGTTCAGAGAAGGCTGTCAACCTGGAGAGGCGGGAAGAAAGACAGAAGGCAGTAAAACAAGCCTAAGAGGGGGTCATGTAAAGGGGAGAGTCTCTGAATATCTAAGAACTGACATGTGGATACCACTGATAGGCTGGGAAGAGTGAAGGGCTAGAAGCATTTTAGGAAGGGAAGAGTTTTAGGAAGATAGTATTTCTGATCAATGAAGGGTGGCTCAGAAGAGAAGAGAGAACTCAGAAAAGAGTTTAATAGTACAAGCAAGGAAGAATGAGTTCTTGAACTAGGGTTGCCTCAGTGGCAATTTAAAAAAAAGAAATTTAAGGACCATTGCAGAGTAAAACTTGCCTCATGAAAACTGTATGTGAAAGATAATGGACTCAGAAGAGTCCAAGATGATACCGAAGTTCCTACCCTAAGTGGTAACATGTAGCATTAACATTGACAGGAAAACTTTTCTAGTCTCATGTTCATACCAATTAATAAATGGTTTCTGGGGAACATTATAGCAACATGTTCTCTACTTGTGACTTCTATATAAATAACCGTTTTGTGTATAGATAATCTTTGAGTTGCTTGAAAATTCTATTTTCAAACTCTTTTCCCAGTTTATTTAACACATCTCAGTTAGTGTAGAGGAGTGACATATGAACATGTCTTTCCACAAGGTTATTAAAAAGAATATCTTACCTCCCAGAAGGGAATTCCATTGCTTCCTAAATAATATACATCTACATGAAGAAGCGGTCATTGTCCGATGACAATTTGCTAATGTGCTGTACGACAGCAGATAATTCACAATTCACAACATGTTAATAATCTGCTGGCTTTCCCATTCTGTTATACATCTGAACCATCTCTTATGATTACAAATTGTCATGTAAAACCATTACTAGTCACTAATAATTTTGAAAGTGAATATGCCATAAAACACTCCTACATTACAGCAGAAAACAAAAGAGATACTCAGTAGTTACATTTGCCTACTTCCTATTTAACTAAAACTCTTGAAACAACACAAGTAAAAAAGACATCCAGAAAGGACTTATGGACTTTCTGCCTTCCACTAAAGATTTGTCGCTGATCTCCTAAAAACTGAAAATAAAGTCTTCATTAATGTGTTCATAAGGTATCAATTTTTATACACAAGATGTATATTTCTAGGTAAAATTTCCAATTTACCTTTTCCTGTTCTAAATAACTCCTACAAAACTATTCATGAATCCTAAAAATACTGTTTTATGTTATTTTATGTTATTTACTACTTATGTTAAATCTGGAACAACACATTCAAAGTGAAAATGGTAAGTAATTTAAAATGTATAACCAAAATGTCTTTCCATACATTCAGAAACAAGCAGATTGTCTTCTATTTTTATGCATGTGTTGTATTTTATAAGAACGTATTGTGTTACCAAATAGAACAGACCTTTGTGAATTGCTCGTGTGGTGGCTCAATCTCTTTCAGTTCCTTTCCCATCTTGTTGCCACCTCTTTTGTTGCTCTTGAAATATTTTCTAGAGGCACAAAACAAAAAAGTGATTAAAATTGGGTAAATTTTAATACTTATAAAACATTCTGCATTAAAGAAATACTCTTTAAATCAATACTTCTGAACACTTTCTTTTAGACAACGTTTATGACCAATTTGAAACAATTGTGTTCACCACTCATGTGCTAAAACAATAACCTTTTTCATCAGTCATGGAGTAAAGAATTTTCTTTCTTATACATATTCAACACATACGTCTTAATTCTTGATTTCAAATGAAGAGTATTTGATGACCCTTCCTATAATTTGTTGACCACAGATAGGTAAGATCTATACAGAAATTAACTAAGAAACATTCTTTCTTACTAAGATTTTAAACACCTGTTAAATCTTGGTCATTTCAATATGTACATAGATAAACCTTCCATTAATGATTGCCTTTCTGCACCTTGACCTAATCTCCAACAATAGTGTTCTCCTCTCCTCTACGTGGCACTCACAGTCATCCCCTAAATTTTGTCATTCCCAGTGACTGCAGTATCTACATAATATTAATAATAGCAATGATAAACAGCAACCATGGGTCAGATCGCATCCTGAAAAATTTAAATAAACCTGTTACACAGGAACCCTTTAATCCTCCAAACAACTCTGAAATAGGTACCCTCACCATGTCTCCTTTCGTATATAAAGTAACTTTAGCACAGAGATAAATAATATGCCCATGGTTCCTGAACTAGCAATGGTCAAACTGGAATTGGATCCCAAGCAGTGGGGCTCCAGAGTCGCAGCCCTTGACCACTGCACTCATCTGTTTCTCCATCTTCCCAACATACAGCCACTACCTTCCTGCCACTGTAGGTCACTCACTTCAGTACTACAGCTCAGGAGTCTGTAGGGACCTGACGCCTATTGAATGGAGCACTTTTCACTGCCCAATGCCCCACCCCCATGTGCTCAGGTAACTCAGCCCCAGCTGAAATTCCACAGCCAGTCATCATAACCCCATCCCTGCCTCTATGCCCTGTCCAACTCTCCCTCTATCAACATGCTCGGCTACACCCCAACCCAGGAAATTCCAACCCTACAGCTGCTCTTGCACAAATATGCCAACTGAGTTCACTTTAACTTCTTCATCGCTATGATGCTGACTTCAGTTGGACCCCTAATGCTGCATGGCAATTATATTCCCCTAGTCCATGAGTCCACTAATGGGCGACCCTCTCTGGGCTCATGCTCTCTTCCTTCTTTGCTGGATTTCTGCATGAACTATTACTACCTGAGACATTGATACAATAGGTTAATCATAAAGCTAAGCCTGATACCAACAATTTGTTCTTCCTTTTCTCCATCTCCTTCCTCATCTTTCTGCTCATCTGTGATGAACTCTTCAAGGACATTCGGCAACTTCAGAGAAATTCTATAATCACGTTTCTGCCTGTAACACATAATAAGTAACAAGGTCATACGTCATAGAGGGATGAAAAATTAATCCTATTCAAACCAAAACTGACTTGACATAGTTTGTACTATAAAGTAGCAAGGGAGTAATAGCAGCTGAAATCTTCTTTTTGGGAAAAGGTGAAATGAGTTACTGTCATTCTGAAAGGATCCCTTCCTAACTGACTACTAGAGCAGCTATCTTACATTCTTTACCTGCTGAAGACAAAGGAGGGTTTACTGCACTATAAATTTCCCAGAAACAATCTTTTTCTCCAAGAGCAGTTTACTTTTCATTTCTTCTTACTAAATAACATATGCGTTCTCATAAGGAGGTGCAAGAATATCATAGCCATTCATCCCGTAAGATTTCCCGAAAGAAATACTTCACTTAACTATTTCTCCACTTTGGCACGACAATGATCTAAAAGGAATAGTGAAAACAATTTAACTAAAATAAATAACTTATTTACAACACAAGGTTATCCCTTTCTACATAATTGAATATTGTTAAGAATCTACAGACTAAACGTTGAAGACATTTATCTTATATTCACCTACCGTATTTCTAGAAATGGATAAACATTAATTTTACAGGAAGACTTTTTATCTGGAAGGCAAAAAGAGGTCATCTTCATTGGCTTCTAGGTAATATCTCTCAATTCTGTTAAATTGAGGTTATAAAACTAAAGAAACTTACCTGTTTAGGGAACAATCAAGTAAAATATGTTGTTCCCTAGAGACACCAATATGTACAGGATAGTTCTGGAAATTATTTGCACCAATGAATACAAAGAAATGATATAAATATCATTATTCAAAAAAGCCAACAATCATACCTTTTTAGTTGTGTTGTTCTCAAAACATTTTTAATTCTGTTCTTTATTTCGCTGCAAGCTTTTGCAATCTTTTCAATCCTTTTTCTCTTTGCAGCAAGATGCTCTTTAATGTCAGCTAGATAGTAAATGAATATGCATTAAATGTTCATGTTGAAAAGTAGTTTCTTTGCATATATTAAAATCAATATGGGACTTGATGGTTCAGCAATATCAGAAGGACATTTAAAATGTAAAATGCAAAGATCATTTCAAAAAGCAAGATTTACTTACTTTATGTAAAACCTTTCAGGTATTAGTATTCCAATTTCAGTTGGTATAACAGCAAATCACTTAATTGACAGATAATGAAAAAAAGCAAATAATTAAAAGTTTCTATTTTTTAAGTGTGCAGAAAGGGTTACAAACACAGACTTTAATTTCTTTTTTTTTTTTTTTGAGACAGAGTCTCGCTCTGTCACCCAGGCTGGAGTGCTGTGGCACGATCTTGGCTCACTGCAGCCTCCGCCTCCCGGGTTCACGCCATTCTCCTGCCTTAGCCTCCCGAGTAGCTGGGACTACAGGCGCCCGCCACCACGCCCGGCTAATTTTTATATTTTTAGTGGAGACGGGGTTTCACCGTGTTAGCCAGGATGGTCTTGATCTCCTGACCTCGTGATCCACCCACCTCGGCCTCCCAAAGTGCTGGGATTACAGGTGTGAGCAACCGTGCCCAGCCACAGACTTTAATTTCTACATTTATAAAATGTCCTACAATTCAAAGGACATGTTTCCGTGAAATACTGTCACAACTCATTATGTAAAGCACAAAAAAGTATCTGATTTAATAAGACCATCAAAAGGGTAGAAATAACTTAATACACAATAAAGAAAGTATTTTTAATCAATAGTTGATGCTATTAACTATATTTTAATAAAAGAAGCAATGTCCATGGGTGTAAACATTTAGGTTTAAATAGATAAATACATTCAAAACACATTTGAAATATTTTCTGAGAGCTTTTTATATGACATTTTTATCCACAGTGCAGTGTTTCAGAAAACTGTAATACTGCAAGGAATGCTTTCCTAAACATGGTTTCACATGAGAGATCTACCATCAATTGCTGAGAATAGTTTTGAGCAATCATAAAAGAGCTGCACCATAATACAAATTTTTTTACATACAGTATCCATCTATAATGCTCATTGTATTAGACAAAACCGGCACTTTGTCACCACCAAGCAGAGCAAAGCTTTCCAAATATACTGCTTATATGAATTATCGCTATAGAAGAGCTGAAAACTAAAGTAAGCTTTTTAAAAATAAGAGTATTGTCTTCATAATCTCTACAGAAATTTTCTCAAACTTTTTTGAAAATATGGTCCCATAACAGTGCAACTAATATTTCACATGGCAATATAAAGTTTATGAGTTTTTGGATCCAATTGTATGCTTCTCACTGGGTAGAAAAGTTGTCTTTCCTTTTCTACTACACAGCTTGTTACTGGAATAATAATAGAAAATCATCATTTTAGAGAATTCAATTTTCTCTGGTACTTTAAAGAAAACAAAATTAGAAAGTTGTGACAATAGCTAAATTAGGAAGATGAAAAACTCATATTAAAAACTGAGTACATACGGACAGGAAGAGGTGAACAACACACACCTGGGCCTACTTGAGGTTGGAGGGTAGGAGGAAGGTGAGGATGGAAAACCACCCATCAGGTACGATGCTTATAATCTGGGTGACAAAATAATCTGTATACCAAACCCCTGTGACACGCAATTTATCTATATAACGAACCTGCACATGTACCCCCAAACATAAAGTAAAAGCTAAAAAAAAACCTGATATATGACTTAATGTGTGTACACTGAAAGGAACGAATAGAGCTGTTTCTCCTCCAATGTCCTCTAATATCCCCCAAACAATTAAATTTCCACGTGTATGAAAGAAAAGCCACCCCTCTTGCTTCACCATTATTAGAAGCATTCTCACATTCCACATCAACAATTAAAAAAGTAAGTAAGAAAAATTATTAAACAGATTACATTAAATGCTATATATGAGAAGAAGGCATTTAAGACAGTCTTGTCATCCACTAATTCATATAACCTACTGTAAGGGTTGTATGGTTGAAAACAATTTTCATAAACCACAAATAGCTCGTAAAACATACCTGCAATATCTTCTAGCTCCTTGGTATCAACCCTGTAACAAAAAGTTGCAACACAATTTTAACATAATGCTACACAAAAGGCCTTGTTTGTTGGGAAGAAATGTCTTGTGTGAAATGTTCTGCATAGAACATAACAGTGATGACATGATCCAAAGCTGACTTTTCCTAAAAGACCTTATCTGACAGGCAAAAGGGACTTAAACACTTTACCCCGTGTGTTCATCTGTTTCAGCAAAAGATCCTCTTTCCCCATGCTCATCAGTTACATCTCCCTCCTTTGTCTCTGTAACAGGTTTTCTTTCCTCATGCTCATGACTTACTGGATCCTTTCCTGCATTAAAATAAAAAAGACAAACCTTTTTTAGAGGAAGACGCTGTTGTGGACATTTTTCATAGAGAAACGTACTATTTGTAGACTTTTTTGGCTCTCCGCCAATTAAAGCTTTACCGCAGAGCTATACATGGAATCGCCGGCTCCTAACCATTTTACGGAGGCATTTTTGGAAGCCCTTCGGGTTCAAGTCCCAGTAAACAACGTTCACAGGTCAGATCCCTTGGATGTCAGGACCGCATCCATGGAGAAGAGCTGCTCTGAGAGCATCTGTAACCCTGCTATGAGGGGGAGCCTCCCACGGGAAGCCTAAGGCCCTTGAGCCTGCTTTGAAAACCTGGGGCATCTCAGCACATGCACGGTGAGCTCCAAAGCCACGAAGGGGCCGGGGGCCTCGGGCTGCCCATGTGCGCCCCGCCCAGAAAGCAGACAGACTGTTGGGCGTGCACCTTCTTCTAGGTCCCCTTGGGCTGTGTTTACCTGCAAGCTCCATTTCCTGGGCGGCCATAACTTGAACCTCCAACTGGTCCTTGGCAGCCATCCTGCTGCCCTTCCTGCCCACGGGCTCCGTGGCTGACTGGCCTGGGAAGCTAGAGGCGACCTCTGAACCTGGTGAGTGCAAAGACACACTAAGGACACTAAGGAAACGAGGCGTGTTAAATGAAAATCATCAGGATCGCAGGTTCAAGGGCGCCCCGGGTCTCCCGTGGGAGCAGGAGGGGACGCGGAGAAGATGCCATCATCCCCTCCTGTCCTGGCCCGTCCAGCGCTTCCCCGGGGCTGGCTGCAGAGCTCGCAGAATTCCGCGGCCTCTGCGGGATTCTTGCAGTGCCCTTGGGACAGAGCCTGGCCCTGCCCCTGGGTTCCCCAGCGACCCAGTGGAGTCGGGAGGGCCGCGGGGTGACACAGGATCTCCCCAGCCATCTCCATGGGAATGAGCCGGTACGCACCTGTTTCTGACAGGGGCAGGGACTGCCCATTCGCCAGCCTGGACGCCCAGGGGACCCCTGGTGACCCCAAGTATCCCGTCCTGATGGGCAGCCAGACAAGACGGACCCACGTTGACCCCCCGACCCCCCCCCAAACGCTGCACACATGCACAGGCCTCCGGGACCCTCCTGGGTCCTGGGGACCACTCAGGCAGCTCCAACTCCCTGCCCTGACCCAGGCCCCAGGCGACAATGCCTGGGCCATTTCCTCACAGATCAGCCTGGCTGCCCCGCCCTTCACACCCTCTTCCCCAAAGGGCCTCTGGCCCGCCTTCCCCGCATCCCCACCGAGGGCGTCTCACCTGAGGGAGCCCTGATGTTGCTCCCTCAGAGGACCTGCAGAGGCTGGCACCGCGAAGCTCCTCCGAGGGCCTGGGTCCTCTGTTCTCACGAGAGCAGCAGCCGCCCCGGCTGCCCGCGCTCCTCGCTGATTGGTCGGCCCAGTGCGCATGCAGGTGGCGGGCGGCATGGGGCCACGCCCCCTGCAGGCACACCCTCCCCCTCACGGACTGTCCATGGCTGCTGTGGACTCATTGGGTGGCTCTCTGAGGCCTCTGTCCCCACGATATTCCAGCTCCTCATCCTGGTGAAGGAAGCAAGGACTCGGGAGTGGTGAGTGCCAGGGGACCCTGCCCTAAGGAATGGAGGCCAAGTGAACGGGGCCTAGGACCTTGCCCCCAGGCTCGTTCCAGCCACTCCTGCCCCTTTGGGTGGAATGGCCATCACCCTGCGGGTGGAGCCCAGGCTCCCTCCCATGTCCTGTGTGCTTCCAACACGCCCAGCTGCATCCTTTTTATCAATGGATTGTGCTTTTATGTTTTATCTAAGAAAATTGTTGACTCCCAGCAGGGGCAGGTAGTTTTCTCCTATCCTACTCCATTCCCTCACACTGGGCATTGCATGATTCTGCAGTGGATATACAAAGTTAAAGACTTTATGTCTAGATTTCTCATGATGTGGTCATTTCTTTTCTTTCATTTTTCTTTTTTCTTTTTTTTTTTTTTTTTGACAGGGTCTTGCTCTGTCACCCAGGCTGGGCTGCAATGGTGTAATCACTACTCACTGTAGCCTCAACTGCCCGCGCTCAAGGGATCCTCCCACCACAGCCTCCCAAGTAGCTGGGACTACAGGCATGTCCCACCATGCCCAGCTAATTTTATTTTATTTATTTATTTATTTTTAGAGACAGAGTCTTACTCTGTCCCCAGGCTGGAGTGCAGTGGCACGATCTCGGCTTCCTGCAACCTCTGCCTCCCTGGTTCAAGCAATTCTCCTGCCTCAGCCTCCCAAGTAGCTGGGACTATAGGCGCACGCCGCCACGCCTGGCTGATTTTTTTTTTTTTTTTTTTGTATTTTAGTAGAGACAGGGTTTCACCGTGTTGCCCAGGCTGGTCTCGAACTCCTGAGCTCAGTCAGTCTGCCCGCCTCAGCCTCCCAAAGTGCTAGGATTACAGGCATGAACCACCGCTCCTGGCCAATTTTGTTTATTTTTTGCAGAGATGAGGTCTCACTATGTTGCCCAGGCTGGTCTGCAACTCCTGGGCTCAAGCGATCCGCCCGCCTCAGCCTCCTAAAGTGCTGGGGTTACAGGCTTGAGCCATCGTGCCCAGCCCGATTATTTCCACAGCTGGGTTGGAAGCCATCTTTCCCTGACAAGGCAGCTCACCTTTATATCTAAGAGTTCTCTATAACCTAAAGAGAATCCCTAATTACTGACACTAAATACCACCAGCTGTCCCCATTTCCCCACAATCTACTTGGTACCCAAATTAGCCAATGAGACATCTTGGGGAATTTTAAGCCATGATTGCTTCAGGTTTCTCTCTCTTTCGAGCTTAAGATGTGTAACATTAAGAAAGAAGACAAATCTTGCAGAGGGCTTTGTGCAACCAGTCTTACAGCTTTCTATCCCATCTGGATCAATGTAATTTTCATATGCTTCATCAAAGATTTCAGCTGAAAGTACTATACCAGGTTCTGTCTATAATTGGAAACACATACACACATACACCAACTACTGGTATTCAGCTAAGAATTCAATGCTGGCTCATTTTTCTTTAAAAGAATGTCAAATCAAGGAACAATTCTCCATCACAAAGTGGAATTTGATGTCAGGTGAAGACAAATGGGGATTACAGAGCTACTTCTTTGGCATAACAGCCTAGAAACAAACTGAAAAGGATTCTGCAATTTTAAATAGGCACAAAGACATTCTTTTCAGAACACCAAGTGTCCAAGTTACAAAACCCTGAAGAAATTCTTTTAAACTTTGGATGGAGCAATTTATCTCTTTTTCCCAACTGGAGTATTTGTGAGATGTCTCCCAGAAAGAAACAACTCA